>NC_000015.10:23276874-23579904 GCF_000001405.40 Homo sapiens | reverse complement strand
ATTCTCCCAACAGAGTGTGTTTTTAAACATCTGGGTTTTTGACAAATTGAGAGGAAACTGAAACTTCATCAATTTTAATAAGTATTATTAGTGATGCTTGACAACTTTTCCCCTCCTTCAAACTATATGCATTTTGTTTATGTGCAAGAGGTATACTTTTTGTTAAGGTTTTTGTTGATTAAGAAGCCTTTATGTATTATAGAAATAAATTCTCAACCCATTTTATGACTTTTTTATAGTTTGATACTTTTTTAGGGGTGGGGAAGTTGCTCATGTCAAATTCATTAGCTCATTTTAAACTGGTTACATTTGTAAGGCAGAGCAATTGGTGTGAGTCCCGCCCTGCAGTCAGATGGGCGAGTCTATTAACTGTGTGCCATGGACATGTCTACGAGCCTCCCTCAGCTTCAGTGCTCTCAGCTGCTACAAGGGGTTAATAGTGACTACCTCTTGGGATGGTTGGAAGGATTAAATGGGATAAACCATCTCAGAACAGCGCCTGGCACACAGTAGACCCTATGCAGTTATTGCTACAATTATGGTCAAACTTTTAAGAGTTTTATAGAATATGTCATTGTAAGACATTCTTGACTCCAAGACTTTAAAATAAAAAGAAAATCCTTTCCTGGTTTTGTATTTGTCTGAAATTTTGATGTAAGTGGAATTTATACTGCTGTTAAAATATGGTATTTGGAGCCCATGACTCCTGAATTCACCCGACAACCTTTATTAAATAATCCTGTTATTTTTATCTTTATCATCAACTCAATACATATGTCCATTTATGAACCTTTTTAGCATATATTTTTTATCAATTCAAGTCCCACTATCTGCTTTTCATATTGCTGGCAATATGACACTGTTTGAAGACCTGGTAAAGTTCATTGAATGGATGCTTTTCAATTCTAAAATATTCTGGTCCTGTTGGCTTCCTGCCCCCCCCAACAGATCAACTTTCACAATAGTTTTTTGTTTAGTTATAAAGAACTAGTTTGTACTTGTGTTGTTATGAGATACACACACACAAACACAAAACACACACACACGTTTTCATTTACGGTTCTTGGCTCATAACTCCCATAGCCCTTGTTACAGTCTTTTTAAAAAAATACTGCGTGTGTTAGGCTTCAGGAGCAGGACTTAGGAAAGAGAATCTCTCTGACCTTCTCCTGACCTCTTTTCACCCACCTCAAGGCAGGAGGATTCCAATCTCCCCCAACCTTTCTGATGTGGATCATAAGATCCTCATCTGATAAAGGGTCATACCCCCCATACCTTGGGGGAAGGAATGCTGATGTCATGAAGCTTCCATAAAAACCCCAGAGCACTGGGCTCAAAGGCTTCTGGATAGCTGAACACCGGGAGGTTCCTGGAGGGTGGCACTCCAGGAGGGCATGGGAGCTCCACCCCATTCCCCCATAGCTTCCTCAAATGCATCTCTTCATCTGCATCCTTTGTAATATCCTTTATAATAAATCAGTAAACATAAGTGTTTCACTGAGTTCTGTGAGCTGCTCCAGCAAATTAATCAAATCCAAAGAGTGGGTCGTGGGAATGCCAACTTGAAGCCCACTGGTCAGAACTTCCAGAGGCCTGGACTTTGTGACTGGTGTCTAGGGAGTGGGGGGAGTCTTGAGGCCGGCCCCTCACCTGCAGGATCTGACACTATCTCCAGGTAGATAGCCTTGGAATTAAATTGGAGGATGCCCAGCTGGTGTCTGCTGCTTGGTGTGTGTGAAATGCCCCCACATTTAGCCACTGACATTTTCTGCATTGATGATTGTTGTGATTGAGAGCACAGGAAGGACACAGTTTAAGACTTTTCCCTAAGCAGTACTTTATTAGAAATTTTGTAAATTCATTAAAAAATTGACACATTGGTGATGTTAAAGTTCCCTATCAAATTATATAGTATATATTATCATTTGTTTAAGTATTTATGGTTTCCTGAAGGCACTTAACACATTTTTAAATTTATTCCCAGTTTTTATTTATTCCTAAATTTAAAGTACATGGTTCTTGTGTACTTTAAATTATTGTTGTGATAACAAAAATAGGCATTTCATTACATTTTCTATATTATACGAAACTTATCCACATTTATTATTTTTCTCCTAGAATTTTACTGATTTTTATTTTTTAAAGTTTTACAGAAATTTTCAGATTTTCAACATACAACATCTCAGAGAGAGGAATTTAAATCCTTCTTTGAAGGATGTATCATTTATATGTCTCATTTTTTGGCCTTGTATACAATTGCATTGATTGATACATCAAAATAATAACTAACAGTGAAGAAAGGAGAGAAAAATCTAATTGTTTTTGCCTGATCAAAAGAGATGATTATATGATTACCTTTTTTGGCTAATTAAATAAATACAATGCTGAAATATTTTTATTCTAATATTTTCTTAAAATTTTGCATCATTATTCATAAACTTGATCATTAGTTTGCATGTATTTGTGAATGTGTGTTTGTGTGTGTTCACTACCTTAGTTACACTCTGATATAAAATTACGTGTCATTCATAATTAAACAAGTCAGTGACCCTTCCTTCCATTTTAAACTTCTGGATTGTGTTACATAGCACTTTAATGATTTGTTCTTTAAAGGTTTTATGACAATCCCTATTAAAATTGTGATAACCATTTTATTAATTTTATGTTAACTAGTAGGTTACATTGTCATGTTTTGTAGCCAATGTTTGATAAATTATAAATGCCTGGAAAATCATCAATTTCAGTTTTGCAATTAATCTTCATCTAGTTGAGTGATGATTTCTTATGTTTGTTTAATAGAATGTTGTGAATTCCTCCTATTGAATGTGTGTATGTGATTTTGTTTTTATTTTTTCTCATTTTCCTCATTAATTTAGTTAGTGGTTTATCTATTTTATTAATTGTTTTCAAAGTCTCAGCCTTTATATTTAATATTTTAATCTTCCTATATTTTTTATTTCTTTTCATTAGTTATGTGTTTTTGTGTGTTCATTTCTCAAAAATTTAGATTTGGGTAATATACACATATAAATATATTTATGCTCTAAATAGCTGTATTATATACACTAAAGCAAATTGATCACAAATTTGGGAGATATATGAAGTTGCTTATATGATTATTTCCTTTGATATATTAAGAAAAAATATTTTTTCATATTGTACCATCTTTGTTTTCCTGGAATATAATCCACTACTTCCTGAAGTCTTATTTTTTAACAGTGCTATTCTTTCACTTTCTAATATTTCATTTCATATTTTTTGCATCAATATTTATAAATGAGATAGATCTCTAGTTATTTTTGTATTATACTATGTTGGTACTATGGTTTGAATGTGTCCCCGCAAGAGGATGTGTTGGAAACTTAATCCCCAATATAACAGTGTTGGAAGGTAAGGCCTAATGGGAAATGTTGAGGTAATGAGAGCTCTACCCTCATGAATGGATTAATACCAATTATAAAAGGGCTTGAAGTTTTGAGTTCAGGCTATTGCTCTCTTCACTCTCATTGCCCTTTTGCCACAGGATGGTGCAACAAGAAGGCCTTCACCAGATATTGGCCCCTCAATCTTAGATTTCCCAGCCTCCATAACAATAAGCCAATAAACTTCTGTTCACTGTAAACTACCCAGTCTCAGGCACAGAGGGGCCCCAGTTTATGATGGTTCAACTTATGATTACTCAACTTTACGATGGGTGTATCAGGACATAACCCCAATGTAAATCAATGAGCATCTGGACTTAACAATGGTTTGACTTATGATTTTTTTGTCTTTATAATGGGTTTATAGGGACATTAAATGCATTTTCAACTATGATATTTTCTACTTATGATGAGTTTATTGGGACACAGCCCCATCATAAGTCAAGGAGCATGTGTATTCTGTTACAGCAGCACAAAATGAACTAGAACTGGCAATATTTTGATACCATGTTATATACCATTCATAAGTTATATAGGTGCACCTTTATTTTATAAAATAGTGCTTCTCAGTCTGTTTGTGTTGCTATAAAGAAATGCCTGAGGATGGGTAATTTATTTAAAATACAGGTTTCTTTGGCTTATGGTTCTGGAGACTGTACAAGAAGCATGGCACCAACACCTGCTTCTGGTGAGAACTTCAGGCAACTTCCACCCATGCCAGAAAGGGAAGGGGAGTAGGCATCACATGGCAAGAGAGAAACCCAGAGAGAAGAGGAGGAAATGCCAAGGTCTTTTAACAACCAGTTCTCTAGAGAACTCAAGAGTAAGAACTCACTCATCTCTGCAAGAATGGCACCAAGCCATTCATGAGGGATGCACCCCAATATTCCCAACACCTCCCACCAAGCCCCACCTCCAACACTGGTTATCAAATTACAATATGAGACTCGGTGGGGCCAAAGATACCATATCCAAACCATGGCATTCTGCCCCGACCCCCTAAAACTCAGGTTCTTCTCACATTGCCAGATAAAATCATCCTATCAACAAAGTCTTAACTTGGTCCAGCATCAACTCAAAAGTCCAAAGTCCAAAGTCTCATCTGAGACTCCAGGCAAGTTCTTTACAGCTGTGAACCTGTAAAATAAAAAACAAGATATTTACTTCCAAGATACAAACGTGATACAGGCATTGGTTAGACATTCCCATTCCAAAAGGGAGAAATCAGCCTAAAGAAAGAGGTAATACTCCCCACATTAAGTCTAGAACTCAGAAGGGCAGATATAAAAACTTAAAGCCCCAAAATGTTCTCCTTTGACTCCATGTCCCACATCCTGGGCACAACAGTATGAAGTGTGGGCTCCCAAGGCCTTGGGCAGCCCTGTCCCAGTAGCTTTGATGTGTGAAGCCCATGTGGCTCTTATCATGTACTGGAATCCAATGCTTGCAGCTTTTCCATGCTGAGAGTGCGTGCTGCTAGTGACTCTAGAATTCTGGGGTCTGGAGGATGGCAACCTTACTCCCTCAGCTCCACTAGGTGGTGCCTGGTGGAGACACTACGTGGGGGCTCCAACCCACAAAGAGCTCAGCCAATCTCACACTGTGTGCCTGCAGTCTTAGCACCACATGGAAGCCCCAAACATTACACTTTGCACCCTCTGAAGCAGTGGTCTAAACAGTAGCTTGAGCCCTTTGAGCTTTAGCTGTGGTCCGAGCAGCCAGGATGTGGGAAGCAGCTTCCCAAGATTGCACAGGGCAGCAGCACCCTGGGCCTGGCCCAGAAGTCATCTGTCCTCCTAGGCCTGTGGACCTGTAATGGGAGGAGTAAACTCAGATTCTGAAATGCCTTTGGACTTTTTTCACTGTTCTATTACCAACTGGCTCTCTTTTACCTGTGCTAATCTTTCTAGCAAGCAGTTGTTCAGCTGCGCCCCCCCTCAGATTTCCTCTCCTGAAAAATGCTCTTTCCTTCTCTTTTGCATGGACAGGCTTGAGTTTTCCAAATTTTTATGCTCTGTATCCCTTTTAACCAAAAGTTCCAACTTTAAGTCCTTCCTTTGCTCCCAATCTGTTGATTGTTGGATGCAGCCACACCACTTCTTGAATGCTTTGCTGCTTAGAAATTTCTTCTGCCAGATACTTTAGGCCGTCACTCTTAAGTTCAGCTTTCCACAAAGTGCTAGTGTATACACAATGCAGCCAAATTATTTGCTAGGGTATAACTTTGCTTCAGTTCCCAGTAAGTTCCTCATTTCCATCTGAGACCTCCTCAGCATGTCCTTTATTATCTGTATTTCTATCAGCATTTTGGTCACAACCAGTCTCTAGGAAGTTACAAGCTTTCCCTTCCTATCTTCTTCTGAGCCCTCTAGACTCTTCCAGCTTCTGCTCATTACCCAGTTCCAAAGCTGCTTCCAAATGTTTAGGTATTTTTATAGCAACGTTCCACTCCTCAGTACCAATTTTCTGTCTTAGTCCATTTTTGTTTCTATAAAGGAATATATGAAACTGAATATAATTTTTAAAAGAAGCTTATTTGGCTTATGGTTCCGGAGTCTGTAAAAAAATCATGGCACCAGCTGGGTGTGGTGGCTCATGCCTGTAATCTCAGCGCTTTTGGAGGCCCAGTCGGGTGGATCACCTGAGGTCAGGAATTCGAGACCAGCCTGACCAACATGGTGAAACCCCGTCTCTACTAAAAATACAAAAATTAGCTGGGCGTGGTGGCGGGCACCTGTAATCCCAGCTACTCGGGAGGCTAAGGCAGGAGAATTGCATGAACCCCTGAGGCAGAGGTTGCAGTGAGCCAAGAGTGTACCATTGCCCTCCAGCCTGGACAACAAGAGCAAAAATCCATCTCAAAAAACAAACAAAAAAAAAAGCGTGGCACCAATATCTGCTTCTGGTGAGGGCCTCAGCAAGTTTTCACTCATGATGAAAGAGGAAGAGGAGAAGACATCACATCATGAAAGAGAAGGCAAAGGAGTTGCCAGGTTCTTTTCCTATTTTTTTAGAGACAGGGTCTCACTCTGCAGCCCAGACCGGAGTGCAGTGGTACAATCATAGCTCGCTGCAGCCACGACCTCCTGGGCTCAATCAGTCCTCCCTCCTCAACATCCTGATTAGCTGGGACTACAGGCATGTACCACCATGTCTGGTTAATTGTTTCTATTTTTTTTATAGAGATGGGGTCTCACTATGTTGTCTAGGCTGGTCCAAACTCCTGGCCTCAAGCATTCCTTATGCCTCTGTCTCCCAAAGTGTTAGGATTACAGGCATGAGCCACTGTGCCCAGCCTAGGCTCTTTTCAACAACCAGTTCTAATGGGAATTCAGAGTGAAAATTCACTCACTTTCGTGAGGAGAGCAGCAAGCCATTCATGAAGGATCTGCTCCCATTACTCAAACACCTCCTACTGGGCCCCACCTCCAACACTGTGGATCAAATTTCAACAGGAGACTTGGCGGGCTAAATAAACCATATCCATACCATAGCAGTTCTGTATACTGAATGTCTGTGTATCTCCAAAATTTCTACGGTGAAATCTAATCTCTAAGGTAATGGTATTAGGAGATGGGACCTTTGGAAGGTGTTGGAGTCATGACGGTGGAGGCCTCATATGTGGAATTAGTGCCCTTAATAAAAGAGGTTCCAATTTGCCAGCTCAAATGGTATATACAGCTTTGTGTCTAAGCCCCCACAACTGTGATTCCCTCATCGTTTGTATTGTATTCTTGATGAACTTGCATAAAACTTTCACTATAACGTTATCATATGACATTGCTTCAAGCACTTCTCCACTGAAAAACAAACTACCCATAAAAAAGAAAACAAATATATTTATGTAATTATTTAGTTTTTAATACATTTTATTGTACATTAAAACAGCACAATTAAAGGGGTCCCAACGAGGTTGGTAGTGCCTTCCACTATGTGAGGACACTAAGAAGATGGTCATCTATGAACCAAGCTGCCGGTGCCATGCTCTTAAACCTCTCAGC
The DNA here is from genome assembly GCF_000001405.40 of Homo sapiens. Classification (NCBI taxonomy): domain Eukaryota; kingdom Metazoa; phylum Chordata; class Mammalia; order Primates; family Hominidae; genus Homo; species Homo sapiens. Next base: position 23,572,481 of record NC_000015.10, on the reverse strand, counting down.
CTCCAGAACTGTGAGAAATAAATTTATGTTGCTTATAAGCCACCTAGTTTATGATATTTTTTAACAGTAGCTCAAATGGACTAAGAAATGGTTTATACAGCATTGCAATATATTTAATTAAATGTTTAAGTAAATTTCAGGGGATAATGTCTTCTGTTTCTTTCTGTGTGGAGTAGGGAGTAAGTGAATTTTAGACAACTTCTTTTTTTGTTGTTGTTAGTAATAGGTTCGTTTAGATTTGTCTTCTGGATTGATGTTTGGAAATTTATATTTATGTTGAAACTGTTAAATTTTGTTTCATATTTTCAAGTACATTTCCCTCAGGTATAACAAGGATTTATTTCCCATTTCTTTAGTGTCTTTTTAGCTCTAATTACCTCTGATTAACATTTCCTATTTTAATTGCACTTTATCCTTTATTTTTTAAGTTAGTGGTTTATCTGTTTACTAATTATTTTTACAAAAAAAAAATCAGCCTTTACATTTTCATTCTCTGTTCAACAAATTTTTAGTTTAATATTTCCTAATTCCTCCTGCTTACTTTAGTTGTGTTTGTATGTGTTTGTGTATATGTGTGCATGTGTTCATGTTGTGGTCTTTTTAAAATTTAGGTTTGAATACCTAGTTAATTAGGCTCTTTGTTTTTAAGACAATATACATTAGTATTTAAAATTAGGAGTTATACTCTGAGTACAGATCCAGAAGTATCCTGTATATTACGGTGTGTATAATTTGTCATTGTCATATTATATTCTTCTAAATGATTTTGAATTCACTCCTACATCAAATTATTTATGAGAGACAATTAAAAGTGGTAGTAGCTTATTTTCTTTTCTTTGTTTTTTGTTTGAGACTGAGTCTTGCTCTGTTGCCCAGGCTGGAGTGCAGTGGCGCGATCTCGGCTCACTGCAAGCTCTACCTCCCGGGTTCACGCCATTCTCCTGCTTCAGCCTCCTGAATAGCTGGGACTACAGGCACCTGCCACCAACTCTGGCTAATTTTTTTTTTTTTTTTTTGTATTTTTAGTAGAGACAGGGTTTCACTGTGTTAGCCAGGACGGTCTCGATCTCCTGACCTCGTGATCCGCCCGCCTCGGCCTCCCAAAGTGCTGGGATTACAAGTGTGAGCCACTGTGCCCAGCCGGTAGTAGCTTATTTTCTTATATTGACCTCAGAAAATGTTGCCTGTACTACTTTTATATCTAGATCTAATTGACAGTTTCACTGTACTCTATTTCACAATTATTTTTGTTATTGTTCCATTAATATTGGAAAATGTGATATATATTTTCAAGGCAAAAATTGACATGAATTAGTTTACTTCTTTGCACTAGTACTGGCTTATTTCCCACACATCCCTGTTCCCAGCCCTACCCTAACTCTATCCCGCACTGAAGTTGTAGTTTAGTATTAGTTGTGGCAACAGAAACCATGCCTCTATGACGTTTGGAAAACTGTAAAATGGAAGAGCATATGGACATAGACCACAGACTGAAAATGTTTCCCTGTCAGTGAAATTCAGTGAATTGATTTAGTGACATGTGAGCCATGAGACAAAGTGATTTCCATATCTTCAAAGGGGAGGAATTACTAGGTAAATTTCTCTTAGTATATTTGCATGTGTGGATATCCATCAAATCGAGACACATGAAACCTAAGCAAAGCAAACCTGACTTGTTTTAGGCTTTTTAAGTTGTAGCTGAAATGATACCATTTTTGTGGACCCCAGGGCTGAGTCCTTGAGTCCTCATAGGGGCGAGGGCCAGCACACACTCTGAATCACTCACAGAGCAGACCTTTGTGTGGCAAAGGCTTCTTTGTTCCTGACTGCAGCAGGGGAGTGGTCAGATCGTGGGAAAGCCCTTGGTAACATTTCACCCAGACCTGGTGGCAGTAATACTTCTGTTATTTGACATTTTTCTGAATGAACTGATGAGGGAACAAGGAATCCCATATATTCTAAAAATGTCCCTTTGTTATTTTCCTCACCTAGAACTCTGCCAAAAATATGTATTTCTTTTGTTATATTTTAAGTAATTGAATAGCACATATTTAGTTTCAAATGAATAATTTTTGCTGAAAAAATACTTCATCTTTTTGAAATTATGAATGTGAGGGTAATATACCCCTTGCTTACCAAAATAATCATTAAATGATAACATTACATTAATACAAGTTCCAGAGATTCTCAAAAAGAAAATCTTGGTGATTAATTTCTGTGCAATCACCTTTTCATGTCCAAAAATATGCACAAATCTCATATCTATATATAATCACTAAAAAAAAAAAACCTATGTTTCAAGCTTTTTGTCCAGACTACATTTGATCCTCACAACAATCCTGCAAAAGTAGGTGGAACTGTACCCATTTCTCATATGAAGAAACTGAAGTACAGAAAATTTAAGTAACTTGCTTAGACTGTGAAACTGAATGGCTGGTAAGAAGCAGAGTCAGGATTCTAACTATCCTTGGTCTCTCAAGCCACTTTATTTTCTACTGACGATTGTCCTACTATAAATACTGAACTTTATGATTATCTGGTTCAAGATACTATTTGAATAAAAACACAATATTTCACAATGCAGGGAAGTGTACATTTGGAGAAACTTTCCACAGCTTTCTGGGCTCAGCTTAAAAACCCCTCTCTGAAAGCTTTGCCACTATTTTCTGAGACTTTGGTGTTGGCACAGTCTTTGAGAGTGCACCATCTGGTCTCATTCTTTGGTTGTTTAGTTCATCTAATCTCTCTTTCTCCTGCACGACTGCAGGGCAGGGACCTCAGATGTTTGGAATTTATTTGGAATCTGTCACTCACCTTGCATGCCAGTGATAGTCAGGCATCAAGGGTGTCCTGATTGGTGAATTCTTTGGCTAAGAGGAATCAAGAGGAAAGGAATATGGCAAAAGGTCCAGGCAAATAGGCTGAGGTACTTAATAGGAGAACCAGGAGTCATGTAAGAAGGGAGAGGCAATGTAAAAGTATAGGAGGCTGAGGCACACTCTGAAGCAGTGGACTAAAATCACTGAGCTGGCAGCCTATAGATAAAAGCCCCATGGCTCCTACATTCTGTGGGAGCTTATTCAAGTCCATCTTTGCTCCACTTGGCTGAATCATCCATATTTAAAGGCTGTACTTGCATCTCCAGCAGCTACATTCAGCTGGTCGACCTGCTCCTAGTGAACATGGTAAGTGCGAGTGCTCTGGACAAATACTGCTTGAGTTCCAGTCTTTGTTCCACTAATTCACAGCTATGGGTCGTAAACTCTACGGGCAAAACCTTTAAATTCTCTATTATTTACCTCATCATGATAATGAGAAAAACTATAGCAAGTACCACATTAGGTAGTTCTGACAAATTCATCCTTTTGCATGCAAAGTACATGGTATAAACTCTGTAAATGTGCCATCTTTGTTGGACAGTCAGGACAGTGTGAATAACCTGGGACTCAAGATTCAGACTCCCAGCATATTTTTCAGCTACTTCAGCCAAGATAAGTGCATTTGCAGTTGATGCAGATCATACGTTGTACAGGTAAATCATTAAAATGGCATCATTCTCTTTCACATTCATTTTTTCTTTGCTTGTTTGGTTACTAAAAAGATGTATTAAAATTGTCCACTAAGAGTCTGGATTTAGGATTTTCATCAGTTGTGTATCTGATACAATGTTATTAAATGTATACAAAATTTGAAGTTATATATTCCTGTGAATTACAATTTAATGTTTATGTACCATTCCTTTTTATCTCCAGCAAAGTGTTTATCCTTACTATAAACTTTGTCTACAATCAAGAGAGTCCACAGCACCTGTTCGGCTTTTTCCCATCCTACTACTTTGAGTGTTTCTGTATTTTCATGTTGTGTGTATTTTAAACAGGATGTTTCATTCTGATTGTAATGAAGTCTTATAGCCTTTGACTTTCAGTCTTTAAACTGCTTTCATTTAATCTAATTAAGTTGTATGTAGATTTTCTATATTAGTCTTACACTTAGTTTTTAGTGCTTTCTATATTTTATTATTTTATCTTTCCATTCTTTTATTCTCATTGGTTTTAATATTTTTGTTCTATTTTCCCTTTTATAATCTTGTTACTTTTATGTTGAACTCTTTTGTCAAAAGCCCCTTGTTGGGAAAGTCTAGAGACTTTGTATATCAAATACAAAGCACTGTGCCTCTGAGCCTAGGATTTGCTGTTACAAAGAATTAATGAGAAGGTGGCTAAACTGCATAGGAAAACCATTTCTGTATTTATAGAGTAAGCTATTAATGCCATTGTAAGAATTACCAATATAGTGCTTTGTAAGTCCTCTAAGATCTGCATCTGTCACATTTGGCCAGACCCACTTGAACAGTCCTTTTCATTAGATGCTAATTACTGGCTTCTGTGCGAGGGACAGAAAGATTATTCACACAACTCACATCCACACAACAGCCAATCCTGTTAGGCTTTGACCTTCAGCTTTCAGCTCTGTATTTACTTTATTACATAAACATAAATATTATATTGTGATGTATATTCTTTTATATATTTTTTTCAAATACATAACTCTTATACATATATATTTTTATATATATAATTCTTAAATATATATTTCCAAATATAAATTATTTCATGTCAAGCTAAACAGGATAAAAACATGTAAACATATACACTTGGTTTTGGTCAAGTAAAACACAAAATCACAAGTTCATCACAGTTTAACAAGTGCACTTGAAGGGGAAGGAGGGAAAGAACAAACTGTAAACAAACAGATGAGCAGCTGCAAAGCCCTGCAAGGGTCCATTTGTTAAGGCTATTATAGCACAAAGCTACTAGTTCAATTAAAACTTCTCCTTTCACTCTGCCACATTTACTCTTGAGGGTCTTCAAAATAAGTGTGGAAATTCAGTAAACACTACACTAGAACTGAGTTAATCCTGTTGACAACAGAGATGACAAAAAAAAGCCATAAGCTGACATTAATATTAATTTCACCAAAACAGTAACTTTAAGGACTTATTTTTTAACACAGATAATCACCATAATCCTAGGGGGAAAGATATGCAGAATAGACAAGAAAACAGAAGCACTGCCTCAACAGCCCCTGAAAGCAGTAAGAGTGTCAACACAGGGAAAACAGGCAATAGCAGACGACAGAACCTCAGCAGACTAGACCACATGCCACAGCACGATGCTACAGAATCAAATTGAAATATTCTTCCAGCTCATAATGAAGCAAGTCCCACTGGTCCTCAGAGAAGGGTAACTCATCTCTCAGTGAAAGAAACCGCTTAAACAACAGACTGGCCAGCCGAAGCACGACAAGCTCCTTCTTAATGCTTTTATAGAGCATGTTGCCCTCTCCCATTCGCACAGGCTCCACAAGTTGATGCCAGTATGCGCTGAATGACCCACCACCTGGCCCAGGAGGCTCATCTCCCCAGCCCTCAGGGTATTCATGCTTGTAAAAGCATGTGTCTCCAAATGGGCAGTTACCCCTGCCTTCCGCAAAATACCTGCAGGCCTTGTTGCTCATTGCCTCCTTGTATTGCTGAATAAGTTTCTGCTTCTCTTCCTCCTCCTCCACCCAGAACTCACTGGGAATGACCAATTCAGAGGTGACCCTGCACTGTGGGCAAGACTTGACGATCCTGTTCTCAAACTGTCTGGCACTTCTCCACCTGCGGATACACCTAATACAGAAGGAATGGTTGCAATTGGAAAGAATGCCAAAGCGGCGGTCATTGGGGTTGGCCTTCTCATAGACAACCTCCATGCAGATGCCACACACCTTGTCCATACCACGCTGCACAGCAAACGAGAGTTCCATATCTTTCTCGTGTGCTTCAATGCAGGCCCTCATATGTTCTTCCCTCTGGGCAGCATCCATGGGGTGCAAGGTCTGCAGCCCACACATGTCGCATATGTCTCCATGGAGGTACATACAGCTCTCCCCACGAAAGCAAACTCCCCTGGAAGCATAATAGCAAAACCGCAACCCACTGCCCACAGCCATCTGCTTCCTCTCAGTCTCTGAGCTCTGTAGAGGAGCCTCGGGGGCAGATGCAACCCAGCGGCCCCGGTAGGGCTGCCCTGGAACAAACTCAATGGCATCCGCCCAGCTTTCTACACCTGCTCCTCCAGCAGCTCCACGGTCTGCATTGTCTCTCTCGGCTTCAAAGAAACCCCTTTCAGCAGCCGAGCCAATCACAGGCAAGGAAAGGGAGGATGCAGCCGGGGGGGCTTCCGCCACTTCCTGAGTCGGGGGCTCGATGTGCGCAGCCGTGCTAGGGCCTCCACCTGCAGAGGCCCCAGGCGGCGAAACGCCACCCTCAGTGGCCATCTTCCGACCAGAAAGGTCGTGCGAATAGCGACAGTTCTCCCCCTCCTTGCACTGCCCATGTATATAATACCTGCAGATGATCTGCTTTGTCCAAATGCCGCTGCTTCGGCTTGGCAACGGACTGGGCCAGGCTCCTCCTCCTGAGGCTGGGGCAGGCCTCAGGCCTCCTCTGCGGAGGTGGGCAGGGACTGGAGCTACAGGGAAGGGGGCCCAGCCCCTTGCCGCATGTGGCAGGGCTGAATCTGGAGCAGCAGATTCCCCGGAGGGCTCACAGACGGGAAGGTCCGGCCCAGACACACCCTCCCTTGCTGCCTCAGCACCTGCCTGGGCCCCGGCTGCCTCGTGGGCTTCTGAGGGAGCTGCAGGCTCTTCCATGGCTGCTTTGGCACCCCGAAATGGTGCCAGAACCTCTCCGGTATTTTTTCTTTATGGGCTTGAGGCCCGGAATGGCGGCCGCGCTCGGAGGCTTCTCTGGGGGAAGTGTGCATCTCTTTTTCCTTCCCCCCTGCTTTTGGGTCCCTCTGACTGTGTGTTCCTACCTACTTCCGGGCACAGGCAGCATGGCGGACACTTCCTGTGGGGGCAACGTACGTGCTCTGCCTGGTTTTTACCGCAATTTTCCAATCTGACATATTTTTTCGTTCACACAGGCGGGGACCAACCCAGCCCCTTTTGTCTGCCTTCTGCCTCTGCTTCGCTGTGTTCCGGCAGTCCCTAAGTCCCTTCTCACACGATTTCCTCAGGAGAATGAGGTTTTACTTTAATCTCTTCTGGTTTCGGTCATGCACGCTTCGTTGTATTTTCGTATCTGTCTGCCTTAAAAAAAATATAATCCTATAGATTCTGAAACATTTCATCCATGAATTATATAAATTCTTTTTTTATTCACTCCATCTTATGTCTGTGGTTTTTTTCTTTTAATGCCCGATCGCGGCAGGAAGCTTTTTTCAATTCGTTCGGTTGACAAGGCGCCGTTTCTTTTGGTCTTTGTTTTCTGGGATTTCTGAGGGCTTACACTGGATACGCTTTTCACCAGCAAGGCATTAGCAGAGAGCACTTCTGATCCGAGGCTAAGTTAGCACCTTTCAGATGTCTTTCTTTATTGTGATTACTATGCTCATTTTCCCACTGTGTTAGAAGCGCCAGACTTCAACCAGTCCTGATGCTGGCCTAATAAGACACTGTCCCCTGCATGACCCAGGCTTTTATTTTCTCTACTGGTTTAATTCATGGCAGCCCTTTGTTTCCCTTCCTTTCTTTCAACCCCATCTGTGCTGTGTTGTGGCAGGACAGCCTTTCATAACATATCCTGTGCCATATTATCCACAAAGGAATGGTCTTTAATTTCCATGTATGAGCGTTTTGTCATTTTTGCAGATAAATGTAGTAGATTAATCATTTTTTTGTATTCCTACTTTGCTGAGAGTACGTATCATGACTGCATACTGAATTCTGTTATGTAGTTTTATACATTTTTTGAGACAATTTTGTTTTTCCCTTTATTCTCTTAATGTGATTATTTGCAGCTATGAGTTTCAAATATTTAACTAACCAATTTGTTTCTAATAAGAAGCCCTTCTGTCATGATATATCATTTTATATATTATTGGATTTTTTTTCTATAAGTTTCTTTGAGGAAATTTTGTTGCCTAAATCTGTAAAGTGGAAACATATCTGAATATTTATAATCACCCAAGTCAACAAATTAAATTATAATTAAGTAGGTAAAAGCAATGAAAGCAGAATGAAGCAAATAATAAGGGCAAGAAAAGCAATGAAGAAAAACAAATATTAAATAAGGGAAATAAATTAAGTAAAATCCCTTAAACTGCTTATTGAAGCCAGATAATTTCTGGTGAAATTTATCAAGGAAAAATGAAGAAGGCTCTAATACCCAAGATCAGTAATTTCAAATATGTTATCACTACATTAATAACAGACATTAAAAATCATTAGAGAATATCAGGAACAAAGTTAGGAGATAAAACTTGAAAAGTTACATGAAATAGTCATATTGGTGGAAACATCTATTAGTAAAAATGACAGGAGCAGAAATACATGTGAATATGGATCTGTTAAATTACATCTGTAATTTAGATAATTATCTAAATAAAGGTCTCTAAAACTTTCTCTCTGAAATAAATCTAAAGGCAAAAAAAATCTGTATTTATTATTGCAAGTCCTAGCTAGTGTAATAGCAAAGAAATAAAAGATGTTATAACTGGAAAGAAATTATTGATGGAATGCAACAGAAAATTGAGAATAATTTACAGATAAGCTATTAGATTTAATAGGTACATTTAGCAAGGACACTGGACAGGAGTCCAATATATGAAAATCATTTTTATTTCTCTATCATCAATAACATTTGAAGTAAACATTTAAAATTAATAACATTCATAACAACATTAAAAGTTAGCTAACCTAGGAATTAAACTAATTAAGGTTATACAATAAAATTAAAAACATTTTAGCTTCAGAAGACCTAAATAAATTGTGGGATACTTTATATATAGTCTTTATAGTCGGTCAGTAGAAGGCTCAATGTTTTTAAAAGGTAGTCTTTTCCTAATTTGATAATTATTTGAAAATGGTGCTGATTATTCATCGTGAATGTAGGAAATGTTGGATTTATCTTTCTCCTTTTCATAGTTACCAAGTTTTATATTTTGCATGCAAGCTGTCCCAAAGTCTGCCTCACTTGAACTTTCTGAAACAAACTTTCTCTTTATCAGGATTTGTTTGTCAGCCCCAGTGATTTTTACAAGAAAAAGACTTGCAGCACAGCTCTCAGGCTTCTACGCCAAGCTCTCTACAAATTCACAAACATAAGAATCCTGAATATAAAATTATTACTGGCTTAATTGTGATATTTTCCTAGCACTGCATCTATTATTTGCTTAATTGTGATATTTTCCCAGCACTGTATCTAAATCATATTTGACCCTCTCTTGATGCACCAGCACTGTCCAGAGGAACTTTCTGTGAAGAATTTATATATATGCATGCTGTACAGTATGAAAGCTAGCCCCATGGGGTTCTTGGGCACTTGAAATGAGGCTAGAGTGACGGAGGAAATGAATGTCCATTTTTTAAATTATAAATTTAAATAGCCACATGAGGCTAGTAGTTACTGCATTGGAGTGAAGTTCTATACAATATTTGACCATCTCATCTCCTAACACAAGGGAACTGAGAAGCATATGTTTCCTCACCTGCCCAAGGCTATGCAGCTGGTGCCAGGCAGTGTTTGCTTCCAAATGCCCACCTGTGTGGCTGCCACTGGTGTTCATGTCTTATAGTCTGATAGTGACTTTATCTTTTAGTTTTGTCGTGACAATATTTCATATAAACTGTTATAAGCCAATATTGTATCCCATGATTTTAAATACCATAAAAAATTGAATAACTGGAAATAACTGGGCAGTGCATCTTGAGAAAAATAAACTAGTTCCCATCCTATCCAAATGTCTTCAGAGATCATTTCCTCTGACTGCCATTGTCTATATTCCTGCCATGATATATACATATGTATATTTTTTGAGCATCAATATTGTTTTTACAGTTCTCAGAAAGTAGACATTTAGTCATTTGTCTAGTTATTTGGCTCAGCTGTGCCTTCTTTTCTAACAAAACACTGACAGCCTCAGAGGCTGGGACCTGGTTTCCTTGTGCACACACCAGTCTGCAGGGTAGCATGGGATCCCCTGGCCGGTCAGCATTTGGGGGTCCGAATGGAATGAGTGCAAGGCTGGGCGATGGCAGAGCTGAGGTGAAGTCCGGGCAGTCTAAGAATATCCTAAGAGGAGGGAGCAAGTTCAGAAGTGAACTGCAGGATGGAGAGAAGCTGCAAAGTCCTGCAGTTTTTTACTCCAAACAGCTCAGGCATGCGCTGCCTAGCCCCGTGTGGTTAACATGTCCGTATTTAAAGAACACACAATTAATTGCCTAAAAGCATTATCCTTCTCAGCACTCTCCTATCCTTCAGATCTAACCTTTAGGCACTGCCGGCTGCCGGCGGGGTCCAGGACCCAGCGGGGCTGGGCGCGCGGAGCAGCGCTGGGTGCAGCGCCTGCGCCGGCAGCTGCAAGGGCCGCAGAAATTAAACGCGAGTGTCCAGAATCGGGCATTGTGGGTTTAAATCCTGAATCCACTGGTCACTATCTGAGACTTTCCCCTGTCACAAATTAGTTACCTTCTTTTATCCCATCTGACAACGGGAATAATAACAGCAAGAATTACACCGACTAGTTCACAGGTTTGCTGTATTAATTAATTTATAATAATTCATTAATTCTTATAAAGTGATTGGAACGATGCCTGATCTTTAAGATACCTGTAAGTGTCTCTTCTATTTTAGAACCACCCAAAGAATCCTGTGACTGAAGTCTTTGTGTCAGTCCCTCTATGTGCACAGCAGTCAGATTTCTATAGGGGCCCTAGAAATTACTGGCACATGAGAGGTGGTGAATGAGTATTTATTGCCTTATATTGATAGACAAACTGATTTTTATTTTGAAATTTAAAGAGCCAGTTTTCTCCAACCCTTAGTTCAGAAGTTTAGTTGTAGAATACCTTTGTGGAGGATTTCTTGTGCTTTCATCACTTGTGGTAGCAGTAGGATTCTGGCTGGAACAGCACTCCTTTAGCTCATTGTTGGCTGTTTTGAATAGACATCTGATCACCCTGAGTGAATAACTGGATAACAAAAAGTTACTTTAAAATGGCTTTAAATTTCAATATGAATATGAAAAAGAGGTGTAAGTACTCCTACAACCACTTAAAGATCATAAAAGATACTGCTTATACTGATTTTTCTATATTGTAATCAAACACTGAAATTTTCAAGAAATCTTCTGTCTACAGATGTCAAAAATTCAACTACATTTCAACTTTAAGGTGGTTAACAGAATTTTGTCATACTGCTGTATTTTATACATACAAAACATGCTTAATGTCCAATTTGTAGTCAGATGAAATAACTTATCTCAAGCTAGTATTTTTATCCGGAACAAGGATAGAAACTGGTTACTATACATGAAGTAAATGCTTAAAAGACAGGAAATAGTTAATGTGGTGAGTGCTCAGGGGAAAAAAAAAGATGGCCTTAAGTAACCTAAATAACCTGTGGGTGGTAGAAGCAATCACAAAGAAAACTGGAAAATATTTTCAACTGAACAGTAATGAGTGTATAACATGTTAAAAGACTTAGGTTGCACTTAAAGTCATGCTTAGAGGCAAAATTTAATGCATTCTTAAATTCTTAAATGCATTCGCAAGAAAGGAAAAAGGCCCATTTCCAAAAAGGGGAAAAATGTCAAAATGAAGACAGGGCATGGGAAGAATGTCAAATGAAAATGATGGAGTCCTATTTTCTCCTTCCTCTTCAGGAAAAGGTCCAGTGAGGTGCATCCTCATAAACCATGTGCCATTCGTACACTTAGATCTGCATGCTGAGGCCACTGGGAAAAAGGACAGAATTAACTGGAATTTGGTGCTTGGAGAATGAGCAATTTTCATTAAAAAAAATACTCATAATTTTACATGTTCCTTTCCTCCTCCAAAATGTTCAGGCAGTCAGTAAAGAAAATTGTACAGTCGTACAGTCGTACAATCATACCTGCATGACCAGACAATGAAGTTCATGTCCTACATAAAAGATTAGAAAGTCCATTAATATATATGACCACGAGAGGGTGGATAGGTAATTGATTGAATAACAAAGGGAAAAGACCACAGTAATGTAAAGATATTTATTCACTTATTAATACTACTGACATAATTGATGTATGTAAAAACACTCTACTTTGTCATAGCAATATGACAAAATTCTGTTAACCACATTAACGTATAAATGTAGTTTAATTCTTGACATCTGTAGAAAAGTATCCAGAAGATTAGTTGAAAATTTGAGTACAATATAGATAAATCAGTAAAATGTTTACAAGCAATATCTTTTACGATCTTAAAACTAAGTGGTTGTAGGAGTATTTACACCTCTTTTTAGAGTGTGCAATATATAAAAAGTTATGACATATTGAACTTAAAGCATGTCCCCACATATTCCAAAGATCGAAATAATTCAGAGTATATTCTGACTCTAGATTGAAATGGAACCAGAAATCACAAAATATAAATAGAAAATAGATTCTTTATTTGGATATTAATAACTATATTTCTAAATGACCCACATGTCTAAGAACAAATACAAAATAATTCAGAAAATATTCTAATTTGACTAATAATGAAGGTGCTATATATAAAATTTTGTGTGCTAGTTGAAAAGCAATGCTTTTTAGGGCAAATTTTATAACAGGATATATAATACATGTTTCTAATATGTAATACATTACAAAATGATAAATTCTGATTTCCTCTGACATAATTATTCAATTCAGAAATTTACAAAAAAGATAAGACATTTAAACAAAATAAAATATATGAAGGAAATAAGAAAAATAACAGAAATTAATTTTTAAAGTCCAAACATATAACAAGAAGAATAGTGAGAGTTTGGTTCTTTAAAAGGATTCGTATACAGGTATTAAAATACCACATGTACTCCCAAAATATTTACAACTATTATATATCAATTTTTGAAAACAGTTAGTAAAACTGATAAACCTCTGGTGAGGTTCACTGAAGAAAAATGATGATTACTCAACTAACCAATATGAAGAATAAAAAGTGATGACATCCTTAATATGCATACAGACTTTAATGAGATCGTAGAAAGATATATACAACTTAGGTCATTAATATGGAAATGTACTTGAAATGGTTAACTTTCTAGAAAACCCACAAATTATCAAAAGTAAAACAAAAGTAAATGGTAAAAATGAATAGCCCTCTAGCTATTAAAGGAAATTAATTACAATTAACAATTTTCTTAAAACAAAAACTCTAGGACCAGAGAGTTTCACAATAAATTCTATTACCTTTTTAAGAAAGAACATTACAGATCCATGTTGCTCATAATCTTTGATGCAAATCTACAAAAGATTAAAAAATGCAAAGAAGGATTCATTCTAGTTATTAAAGGTAATTTAAATATTTGAAAATCAATAGTGTCAATAATCACATTAAGATATTATGTCAGGCAAGGTGGCTCAAGCTTGTAATCCCAGCAGTTTGGGAGACAAAGACGGGTGGATCACTTGAGGTCAGGAGTTGAAGACAAGCCTGGCCAACATGGCGAAACCCTATCTCTACTAAAAATACAAAAATCAGCTGCCAAGTGCCTGTAATTCCAGCTACTTGGGAGGCTGAGGCAGGAGAATTGCTTGAGCCCAGGAGGTGGAGGTTGCAGTGAGCCAAAATTGTGCCACAGCACTCCAGTCTTGGTGACAGAGCAAGACTGTCTCAAAAAAAAAAAAAAAAAAAGATATTAAATGAGAAAAGTCAAGTAATAAGGTCTCAAAATTCCATATTTTTCTGTTAAAATAATAGCTATTTATGAGAAAACTCTTAGGACAATAAGAATAGAATTTCCTTGTTCTTAAAAAAGGAATATTTTTCTCTAATAATCAGTGAAGTTTTGGGAACTTCAAGATTATTTTCAACTAAACGAAATAAAATATCAAGAATAATTTTGAAAAAAATAGGAGCTCTATGATTCCTTTTATCAACAAGTCCTTTTTGATATCAGTAAAATGAAACTGTGGTTTTTCAGTCTTTTTCTTAATGTCCTCATATGACACAGGGATAGGACACAACAGACCTTAAGATATGAATCAATACTATTAAGAAAAAATTGTCCTTAGCATTAGAAATTAAAATAATTATAATGAATTTAACCTTAGACATCATTGGTATACAAGATACGATTTTTTAAATCCATTAAATATTTTTTTTAAAAATTTCTTCATATATAATTGGCATACCATCATAAAATGTTTTAGATGCATAATTCAATGACTTTAATAGATTTATAGATTTTTGCAACCCTATTCACAATATAATTTTGGAATATTCTCACCCTCAGCCTTAGCTAAACTTTAATCTTTTTCCATCTCCATGAATCTGCCAATTATGGATATTTCTTATAAAGAGAATCATGTGATGTGTGGTCTCTTGTGTCCGAATTCTTTCACTTTACATTTCGAGGTTCATTCTGTACATATCATTTCATTTACTTTGATTTTAGAACATTTCATTGTATGAATATACTACATATTGTTTCTCCTTTCAGGAGTTGATAGATATTTGTTTTTTGTTTTTTTCGCATTTTGGCTATTATGAATAGCACTGCTGTGGACATTCACACAAGCTTTTATGTGGCCATGTGTTTTCCTTTTTGTGGGTACATACCCAGGAGTGGAATTGCAAGGAATTATATGTATAACATTCTGAGAAACTACTAGTTTCTTAATGTGGTTGCTGTATTCCATAGTTAAATTAGCAATACATAAGGGCTCCATATCATCCACAGTCTTGCTATTACTTGTCATCTTTAAAAAAATAATTTCCGGCCGGGCACGGTGGCTCATGCCGGTAATCCCAGCACTTTGGGAGGTCGAGGCAGGCAGATCCCGAGGTCAGGAGATCAAGACCATCTTGGCTAACATGGTAAAACCCCATCTCTACTAAAAATACAAAAAATTAGCCGAGCATGGTGGCGGGTGCCTATAGTCCCAGCTACTCCAGAGGCTGAGGCAGGAGAATGGTATGAACCTGGGAGGCAGAGCTTGCAGTGAGCTGAGATCACGCCACTGCACTCCAGCCTGGGTGACAGAGCAAGATTCCATCTCAGAAAATAATAACAATAATAATAATAATAATAATAATTTCGGCCAGGCATGGTGGCTCACACCTGTAATCCCAGCGCTTTGGGAGGCTGAGGCAGGCGGATCACCTGAGGTCTAGAGTTCGAGACCAGCCTGACCAACACGGAGAAACCCCGTCTCCACTAAAAATACAAAATTAGCTGGGCATGGTGGTGGGCGCCTGTAATCTCAGCTACTTGGGAGGCTGAGGCAGGAGAATCGCTTGAACCTGGGAGGTGGAGGTTGCAGTGGGCCGAGATCGTACCCTTGCACTCCGGCCTGGGCAACAAGTGTGAAACTCTGTCTCAAATAATAATAATAATAATAGTAATAATTTCAACTTTTATTTTAGATTCAGGGGATACCTGTGCCAGTTTGTTACATGGGTATATTGTGCGTTGCTGAGGTTTGGGATATGATTGATCATGTCACCCAGCTAGTAAGCATAGAACCCAGTAGTTTTTCAATCCTTTCCCCGTTCCTCCCTCCCCACTCTAGTAGTACCCAGTGTCTGTTGTTCCCATCTTTATGTCCATGAATAACCAATATTTAATTCCCAGTTGTAAGTGAGAATATATAGTATTCGGTTTTCTGTTCCTGCATTAATTCGTTTAAAATAATGGCCTCTAGCTACATCCATGTTGCTGCAAAGGACATAATTTTGTTCTTTATCATGGCTGTATAATATCCCATGGTATGTATGTACCACATTTTATTTATCCAGACCACCATTGTAAGGCATCTGGGATTATTCTCTATCTTTGCTATTGTGAATAGTGCTGTGATGAACATACATGTGTCCTTTTGATAGAATGATTTATTTTCTTTTGGATATAAAACCAGGAATGGGATTGCTGGGTCAAATGGTGGTTCTAAGTTCCTGGAGAAATCTCCAAACTGCTTTCCACAATGGCTGAAGTAATTTATATTCCCACTAAGAGTGTATAATTCTCTTTGCTCTGTAGCCTCACCAATATCTGGTGTTTTGTTTGTTTGTTTTTCAGTTTTTAATAATTGCCATTCTGATCGATATGAGGTGGTATCTCATGGTATTGACTTGTATTTCTCTGAAGATTAGTGTATTAGTCCATTTTCACACTGCTGATAAAGATATACCCAAGACTGGGCAATTTACAAAAGAAAGAGGTTTATTGGACTTACAGTTCCACATGGCTGGGGAGACCTCACAATCATGGTGGGAGGTGAAAGGCGTGTCTCATATGGCGGCGGTGTGGTGTGGTGCTGCATGCCTGTAACTCCAGCTACCTGGGAGGCTGAGGTAGGAGAATCACTTGAACCAGGAAGCAGAGGTTGCAGTGAGCTGAGATCACAACACTGCACTCCTGCCTGGGAGACAGAGTGAGGGGAAAAAAAGTGTCTGTTCCTGTCTTTTGCCCATCTAACATATTAATTTTTTAGTTGGGTTGTTTATTTCTTACTAAGTTCCTTATAGATTCTGGATATTAGACCTTTGCTGTATGCATAGTTTGCAAATTTTTTTTCCCATTCTGTAGGTTGTCTATTTACTCTGTCAATAGTTATTTTGCTGTGCAGAAGCTCTTTAGTTTAACTAGTTCCCACTTGGCAATTTTTGTTTTTGTTACAGTTGATTTTGAGGACTTAGTCATACATTCTTTTCCAAGGCTAATGGCCAGAAATGGTATGGCTTAGGTTTTCTTCTAGGATTTGTATAGTTTGGGGTTTTACATTTAAATCTGTAATCTATCTTGAGTTAATTTTCGTATATGGTGAGAGGTAGGAGTCCAGTTTCATTCTTCTGCATGTGGCTACCAAGTTATCCCAACACCATTTACTGAATAAGGAGTCCTTTCTCCATTGCTTATTTTATTTATTTATTTATTTATTTATTATTTTTTGAGATGGAGTTTCACTCTTCTTGCCCAGGTTGGAGTGCAATGGCACAATCTCGGCTCACCACAACCTCCGCCTCCTGGGTTCAAATGATTCTCCTGCCTCAGCCTCCCGAGTAGCTGGAATTACAGGCATGCACCATCACACCCAGCTAATTTTATATTTTTAGTAGAGACAGGGTTTCTCCATGTTGGTCAGGCTAGTCTGAAACTCCTGACCTCAGGTGATCCATCTGCCTTGGTCTCCCAAAGTGCTGGGATTACAGGCGTGAGCCACCATGCCCAGCCTCCATTGCTTATTTTTGTCAATTCTGTTCAAAGATCAAGTGAGTATAGATGTGCAGCTTTCTTTCTGGGTTCTCTGCTCTGTTCCATTGCTCTATGCATCTGTTTTTGTACCAGTACCGTGCTGTTTTGGTAACCGTAGTCTTAAAATATAGTTTGAAGTCAGGTAATGTGATACCTCTGGCTTTGTTCTTTTTGCTTAGGATAGCTTTGGCTATTTAGGCTCTAAAATAACTAAGCATGTTTACATATTGTCCTTTGAAACTGCTTTATATTATTCAGGAAGCACATTCATATTGCTGGGTGGAATTAAGAAAAAGATTTATCATTTTGACACCAGGTAAAATATGAAAAGTAGAAATAACAAATCCTTATAAACAGTACTGGTATCCATGAACCAAAGCATCCCCTTTATACATACATGATATGGTTTGGCTGTGTCTCCACCCAAATCTCATCTTAAATTCCCACATGTTGTAGCAGACACCTGGTGGGAGGTAACTGAATCATGGGGGCAGGTCTTTCCCATGCTGTTCTTGTGATAGTGAATAAGTCTTATGAGACCTGATGGCTTTATAAGGCAGAGTTTCCCTGCACAAGCTCTCTCTCTCTTTGCCTGCTGCCATCCATGTAAGACATGACTTGCTCCTCCTTGCCTACTGCCATGATTATGAGGCTTCCCCAGCCACATGGAACTGTAAGTCTATTAAACCTCTTTCTTTTGCAAATTGCCCAGTCTTGGGTATGTCTTTATCAGCAGCATGAAAATGGACTAATATGCTGCACATTTTATTTGGCACAAATAATGTTTTCAGTATTTCTGTATATTCAAAGCAACACTGACAGCGGAGTATAATTTTCAAAGTGAAAATTTATACAATATCTATCACACACAGAGAGACAGAGAGAGAGAGAGAGAGAGACAGAGAGAGAAAATAGGTAAATATGTCTGTAGATAACTTAACCTAGTTGTAAAACTGCAGGCCAACCCTATCCAAAAGGCAATAATTACCTAACTCATGTGTCTGCTATAACAGAATTCCATAGACTGGTGGCTTAAACAAATAAACAACAAATAAACAAAAGCCATTTGTTTCTCCCAGTTCTTCACAGTTCTGAACCTGGGAAGTCCATGATCAAGGAAGTGGCAAATCTAGTCTGTGGTGAGGGCTTGATTCCTGGTTTGCAAATGGCCATCTTCTCTCTGTATCCTCACATGGCAGAGAGAGAAATCACCTCTCTCATTTTTTCTTGTAAGGGCACTAATACAATTTATGAGCACTCTACCTGCCTGACCTAATTACCCCACAAAGGTGCCACCTCTAAATACCATCACATTGGGCCACTATACTACACATATGGATTTGGGGTGGGGGACACAAACATTCAGTCACTAGCATGGGGCGATTCAAGGGCCTTTCAGGGGAAAAGGAGGGGGGTGGACCAGCATCCAGCATGCAGACCTCTCAGTGCATTGCTAGGAAAAAGAATGGTAGCTCTGAAAGACTGGGTGAAAGGCATAACCCTGAGATTCCCCTCCCGACAAGAAGCACCAAGAATACTAGTCCCAGAAAAAAATGTCCTTATAAACCAAAAGAGAGATGAAGACTTTCCCAGACAAAGGCTGAGGGAGTTCATCACCACTAGACCTACCTAACAGGAAATGCTAAAGGGAGTACTTTGAGTTGAAACAAAAGGATGCTAAACAGCAACACAAAAGTATAAAACACACTGGTTAAGGTAAATATACATATACATACAAATGCACAGATACATATACTCTATTGATGGTGTATAAATCACTTAATTTTAGTATAAAAGTTAAAAGATAAAAGCATAAAGAATAACTATAACTACAAAAATATGTTAATGGATATATGATATAAAACATGTAGATTGTGACATCAATAACAAAATGTGTGGGGGAAGAAGTAAGGTTATAGAGGGTTTTTTTTGTTTTGTTTTTTGAGACAGAGTCTCGCTTTTTCACCAGGCTTGGAGTGCAGTGGCACGATCTTGGTTCACTGTAACCTCCACCTCCCAGGTTCAGGCAATTCTCCTACCTCAGCCTCACAAGTAGCTGGGATTACAGGCACCTGCCACCACGCCCGGCTAATTTTTTGTATTTTTAGTAGAGACAGGGTTGACCAGGATGTTGACCAGGATGGTCTCGATCTCTTAACCTCATGATCTGCCCACCTTGGCCTCCGAAAGTGCTGGGATTACAGGCATGAGCCACTGCGCCCAGCCAAGTTATAGAGTTTTTGTTTGTGATCAAAGTTAAATGTTGTCAGCTCAAAACTGCTGATTAAAAGATGTTTTATGTAGGCCTCATGGTAACCATAAAGATACTTACAGAAGATATGCAAAAGAGAAAGAAAAAGGAATCACAACATATCATTGCAAAAAATTCCATAAAACACATAGAAAGACAGCAAGAGAGGAAAACAGGAACAAAATAACTACAAGACTGACAGAAAATAATTAAAAATATGACAATAGTAAATCTTTCAACATAAATTATTAAGTAAAAACAAAATAAACTCACTAATCACATAGTTGAATGGATTATAAAAACACAAGACTCATCTACATGCTGTCTACGAGAGAGACTTACTTCAGATGTAAGGAGACACATAGGCTGGAAGTAAAAGGATAGACTAAGATATCCCATACAACTGATAAAAGTAAGCAGGAGTGGCTATATTTATAACAGGCCAAATAGACCTTAAATACAAAACTATCACAAGAGAAAGAAACATATTATATAATGATTAAATGCTCAATTCATTAGGAAATATAAAATTATAATTATATGTGGACCCCAATCAAAATACCTACATATATAAAGCAAACATGACAGAATTGGAGGCAGAAGTACACAGCGATACAATAGTAGAAGGAGACTTTAATGTCACATATTCAGTTATGGATAGAACATCCAGACAGAAAATCAATAAGGAAATAGCAGGCTTTAATGATGTTATAGACCAAATGGACCTATAACATATATACAGAACATCCCACTCAGCATCAGTTGAAGTAATATCACAAACAACCTAACTTTATAACACAATGACCTAGAAAAAGAAGTTAAGGCCAAAGTTAGTTGAAGGAAGGAAATAAATATTAGAGCAGGAGTAAATAAAATAGAGAATAAAAACAACAGAAAAATCAATAAAATTTAGTTTTTTTTTGAAACATAAGCAGAATTTATAAAGCTTTAGATACACAAATAAAAAAAGGAGGACTCAAAATCAGATATGAAAGAGGAGATATTACAGCTGATGTTACTGAGAAAAGGAATCATAGTGATTACTGTCATTATATGACAACAAATTGGATAACATAGTAATGAATACATTTCTAAAACCGTAAAACCTTAAAACTAAAACAGGAAAAAAAAATCAAAACCGTAACAAATCAGTAATGAGTAAAGAGATTGAATTAGTAATCAAAAACTTCCCAAGAACAACAACAACAAAATGCCAAAGACCAGATGATTCACTGGTATGTTCTACTAAACATCTAAGAAGGAACCAATGTCAGTCCTTCTCAAACTCTTCCAAAAAACTGAAGATGAAGGAATACTTCCAAACTCATTTTATGAGGCCAGCATTGCTTGATGCCAAAGCCATATAAAGACACTACAAGAAAATAAAACTATGGGCCAATATCCTTGATGAATATAGACACAAAAATCCTCAATAATATACTATCAAACCAATTCCAGAACCACATGAAAATTATATGCTATGACCAGGTAGGATTAATTACTGGGATGCAAGAAGGATTCAACACATAGAAATCAGTAAATGTGAGATACCACATTAACTGAATGAATAAAAGTCACTTGACCATCTCAATAGCTGCAGAAAAAGGATTTGACAATATTGACTACTCTGTGATAAACTCTTAGCAAACTGGTTATGGAATAAATATAACTCAACATATTTAGGCTTTATATAAAAATCCCAGAGCTAACGTCACACTCAATGATGAAAAACTGAAAGCTTTAAGATCAGGAACAAGGCAAGGATGCCTACTCTTGTCACTTCTATTCAACATAGTGTTAGAAGTCTTAGAGAAATTAGAAAAGGAAATGCAAAGCATCCAAATCAGAAAGAAGACAATTATCTGTTTATAAATATGATATTTTATGTAGAAAATCTTAAAATCTTCACAAAAACACTGTTAGTTAATAAAATAAGTTGCAGCATACAAAATCAATAAACAAAAATTAGTGATGTTTCTATACACTAATAATAAATTATCAAAAAACTATAAAACAAAACTTATAAATTAAGTTGCAGCATACAAAACATACAAAAATCAGTGACATTTCTATATACTAAAAATAAACTATACAAAAAGGACATAAGAATCCCATTTACAATAGGATTAAAAATAATAAAATAGGAATAAACTTAAGAAAGTGTAAGACTTGTACACTGGAAACTAAAAAACCTTGATGAAGGAAATTAAAGCAGATACAAATAAAAGGAAAGACATCCCATGTTCACAGGTTGAAAGACTTAATATTGTTAAAATGTCCATAATACCCAAATGATCTACAGATTTAATACTATCCTCATCAAAATTCCAATGACATTATTTTACAGAAATAAAAAAGCAATCCCAAAATTAATATAGAACCACTAAGACCCTGAATAGCCAAAGCAATCTTGCAAAATAATAACAAAGCTAGAGGCATCACACTTCCTGATTTCAAAACATAGTACAAAGCTAAGTAATTAAAACAGTAAAATACTGGCATAAAAACAGACATACAGACCAATGAAACAGAATGGAAATCTTAAATCAACTCCTCCATATATAGGCAACTGTCCTTCTACAAGGGTGCTGAGAATACAAAATGGGGAAATGATAGTCTCTTTAAAGAAACGAGCTGGAAATGCTAGATACCTATACTAAAAAAGAATAAAACTGAACCCTTAGATTACACCATGCACAAAAATTAACTCAAAATGGACTAACAACTTAAATTTATGATGTGAAACTGAAAATCCTAGAAGAGGGGTAAAAAGCTTCTTTCAGATTTCCAATTGGATTAAATTATGAATCTTTGTTTTAATTTAGTTTTTATATGTATGAAATTTATTTACTCTATTTTATAAAAACATTAAAATAGGCCAGGCACAATGGCTTACTCCTATAATCCTAGCAGGTGTGAGTCACACCTGGAGGGAAGTCACACCTGGTTCCCTCTGGTGGTGCCATTCAATAACTTATCTAGTCAGTAAAAACTGGGAGGGGGGATGTGGTGAATCACACCTGTAATCTCTATAATTTGGAAGGCCAAGGTGGAAAGTTCCTTGAGGCCAGGAGTTTTGAGACCAGCCTAGGCAACATAGCAAAACCTTGTCTCTATGATGTACACCTGTGTTCCCAGCTATTAAAGAGACTGAGGTGGGAGGATCACTTGAGTCCAGCAGTTTGAGGCTGCAGTGAGCTAAGATCTCATCACTGCACTCCAGCCTGGGCAACAGAGTGAGAACCTGAGTCAGTCAGCCAGCCTGTCAGTCAGTAAATCAACCAGTCAATCAATAAAATGTAATATACTTATTTACTTTTTATTTTTCCTCTTGTTTTTAGAGATTTCTCTTTTTTTCTGTTTTAGTTTTTAGCAACCTGAAGCCACAGTTTTTAGTTTTTGTCTCTGGCTAATAAGAGGAAAAAGAAAGGAGTGGAAAGATCTTGGTGTCCTCCTTTAGACAGAAGCCTCCTCTTGGGTCCAAACCTTTACACAGTTGAATCAGTCCCCTTCCTCATCTATTTTTTTCTTTTCTTCTTTCTTTTTTGTCAACTTGTTAGAATGGCTTGTATTTCTAGGTAGATAATATTTCATCCTTTTTTATCTTCTGTCTGTTCCTGATCCCCACCTCCCCCTTTTTTATCCTTTTGGTGTTTACCTGATAAACTTGTGGCAGTCTGAATAATGTCTGCTATGAGTAGCATCTTCCCTTTATTGGGTGTCCCACTAAACCTCAGAGGCATGGCTGGTCTCAATATCCAGGACAGCAAGTGTGGCCTTGGTTTTCTTTCAATCTCTTTGAGTATGAGACCCTTTGTATGATGGTAAGCAGCAGCACTTAAGAGAGCCTGTGAGCATTGATTGAGTGTTTTGCAATCTTTCGTTCATGAGTCACCTCTTCAGAAGGCTTGAGAGAAACTAGAACCAAATGTTGCTTTCCTTTCCCCCTTTCCGTTAAATATTGAGCCACTAGTCTCCAGGGATGGGATCCGCCATATCCCACTGCATTTAGAGACGAAATACAATAGCAAGAAGGCAAATAACAACACAACAGGTTACATCCAGAACAACATCTTTTGTGGGGTGGCACGGTCCTGGAGGTAAAGGCAAACACTGATCCCATGTGTGGCTCGCAACTTATTAGTGCTGCAAAGATCACACTCCTTCTACTAAGCAGAGCAGGCTGAAATGTACAGGAAAATAGCAACTTTCCTTGTCTCAATATTAATCTGTGCTGCCTGTTTGACTGATCAGGTCCATTTCATGGTCCTTGGAGGAAAGTCACACCTGGTCCCCTCTGGTGGTGCCATTCAAGAACTTACCTAGTCAATAAAAACTAGGAGGCAGGACGTGGTGGCTCCCACCTATAATCCTAGCTCTTTGGGAGGCTGAGGCTGGAGGAAATGCTTGAGGCCAGGAATTTGAGAACAAGGTGGCCAACATATCGAGACCCCCGTCTCTTTAAAAACAAAAACAAAAACAACAACAAAAACATAACAAAAAAAAAACAAAAACAGAAGAGTGTTCCTTATCCCAGAATCTAGGCAAGTAGCACACTCAGACCAGAACTCAGGAGCACTCAGCTTTCTAGTTTCGAATTTAGGATTTGAATCCACAGCCACCTGACCAATGCCCAAATAGCAGCTGTGCCAGGGACAAGCAGGAGGCAGAGGGAGTGGGAGGAAAACGTGGACAATAGACTTCATTGTGGCTTCTGTAGGAAGGATATCAAAAGGCAAGAGAAGCAGGCTTTGGATTGGTTAGTTTACGTAGGAAAATCACACTCATCTTTTACTATATTTAGAAATTTGTTAGCCCTGGTTGGGGTATCTCTTCAGGTTCAGTAAGGCCCCAGATGTCAAAGCATCAGAATTAAGAAGATGTTCTTAATATGTTTGATTACCCTGTGTAAACTTCAAAGTGCTAGTAGGGTAGAAAAAATTAATGCAAACAAGATCCAGGGAAGTAAATGAGTGAAATGGCTGGTGAGAATGAGGAAGGATCTGTCCAAGTCTGAAAAGGGCAGATACTACTGAGCCATTGCCAGTTGTTGCTATATGAGAATTTGGGCTCAGGAGTGCCAGTTCTAAATTTTCACAGGAAGCTAAAAGTTACATTTTTATGTAATACTTCACAATTTTAAAGATTGGGAGCTGATTTAATTTGTCTTTGCAAAAGCCACCAGAAGTAGTTGTTTTCAGCTGTCAAGGTTAGTGATACACTCTTACCGTCCCACCTCAGCATTATATTGATATTCCATTCCTATGCCATAATTTAGTTTTCAGGGATCTTGATAATCATTCCCTTCCATAAGACATCATACTGGTCTATTACATTGATGATATGATGCTGATTTGACCTAGTGAGCAAAACAAAGCAACTACTCTAGACTTATTGATAAGACATTTGCAGTCAGAGAGGAGTGAATAAATATGATGCATATTAGGGGCCTTCTACTTCAGTGAAATTGCTGGTAGTCAGTGTTGTGGGTCATGTTGAGATGTCCCTTCTAAGGTGAAAGATAAGTTTTTACATCTAACCCTTCCTATACTTCCCCCACCCAAAAAAAAGAGGCACAACATTGACTGGGCTCCTTGAATTTTAGACGGAACGTATTTCTCATTTTAATGTGTTTGTACAGCCCATTTACAGAGTGACACCAAAAGGCTTCTGGATTTGAGTAAAGCTCATAGTAAGAGAAGGCTCTGCAACAGATGCAGGTTGCTGTGCAAGCTGCTTGGCTGCTCAGACCATATGATCCAGCAGATCCACTGGTAATTGAAGTATCCGTGACAGATAAGGATGCTGTTTGGTGTCTGCAGCAGGCCTCTACACGCGAATGTCAGCACATATCCATAGGATTTTGAAGCAAAGCCCTGCCTTCCTCCACAGGTTACTGCTCTCTTTTGAGAAATGGCTGTTGGCCTACCATGGGGTCTTAGCTGAGACTGAATGCTTAACTCTGGCCCACCAGTAACCTTGCAACATTTGCTGCCCATGTGTAATCTGACCAACAAGTAATAAAGTTGGATGTGCTCAGCAACACTTCATCAATTGGAAGTAGCACATATCTGATCGGGTCTTAGCAGGTACTAAAGGCACAAGTAAGCTACACAAAGAAGTGGCCTAAATGCCCATGGACCACACTTCTGCTGCACTGCCTCTTGTCTCCCAGCCTGCACCTATGGCCTCCTCACTGGGGAGTTTCTTATAATCAGTAGACAGAGGTTGATAAGTCTCAGTCATGGTTTACAGACGGTTGTATATGATATGCAACTACCCCCAAAAATAGACATCTGCAGCACTATAAATTCTTTTTTGGGACATCCGTAAAGGAACTCGATGAAGGGAAATCCTCTCTGTGGGCAGAATTTTGGCCAGTTCACCCAGCTATTTGTCTAAAAGGAGAAAAACCAACACTTAGTCCCTGATATGGCACCACTTTCTGGAGGGATCAGCCAGCTACCCAGTGGCAGGTTGATTATATTAAAGTGCTTCCCTCATGGAAGGGCTAGTGTTTTGTTCTTATTGGACTAGACACTTACTTTAGATACATATTTGCCTTTCCTGCACACAGTGCTTCTGCCAAAACTAATATCCATGGATTTACTGGATGACTATTAACTGCCACAGTATTTTCCAGAGCATTTCTTCTGGTCAAGGAAGTCACTTTACAGAAAATGAAATGGGACTATGGGTCTATGTGCATGGAGTTTATTGGTCTTACTATGTTCCCTTTATCCTTAAGCAGCAGCCTTGATAGAAAACTGGAATGGCCTTTTCAATTCTAAGTTACAGGACCAGCTAATTAGTAGTACCTTGAGGTGCTGGAGCAAGGTTCTCCAGGGAGCTGTATATGCTCTGAATCAGCATTCGATATACAGTGCTATTTCTCTGATAGCCGGGGTACATGAGTCCAGCAATCAAATGTAAAAATGCAAGTGGCACCACTTACTATCACCCTTAGTAATTCACTAACAGGCTTTTTTTCTTTCTGTTCTCATGACCTTATGCTTTGCTGACCTGAAGGTCTTAATTCCAAAGGGAGGAATTCTTCTACCAATGGATATCATGATTCCATTGAATTGAAAATTATGATTGACACTTGGCTACTTTAGACTACCTATGCCCAGGATCAATAGGCAAAGAAAGGAGACCTGCACTCTGAGGTTACTGATCTTGATTGCCAAGGGGAAATTAGACTGACACTCCATAGTGGAGGTTTTGGAAGAGTATGTCTTGAATATAAACTAACATGACACTGCTAGGGTATCTCTTAATGCTACCATGCCCTTTGATTAAAGTCAATATAAAACCATAACAACCCAATCCAGGCAGGACTACTAATGGCTGAGACCCTACAGGAGTGAAGCTTTGAGTTATTCTTCCAGATAAAAACCATAACAAGCTAAAGTGCACAGGACTAGTTACTCTACCAGATAAAAAACATAAACTTCAGCTGGTTATTCTACAGATAAAAAGCATAACCTGCTGAGAGCACAGGACTAAGGAATGGGAAGTGGAAGGTGGTTATAAATCCCAACTATGAACACATGACCATTTACAGAAACACAGGATTTAATTAGGATTTTTCTTATTTTGTTATAAATTCATTTGTTTGAGTGGCATATATATATATATATACACACACACATATATACACATATATATACACACATATATATAACTCATGCAAATATCTTTGTTTTCTCACTCTCATATCCCCTTATCATATACAATGTGATATATTTAACTTACATAATTTTTTTTTTTTTTTTGAGACAGAGTATCACTCTGTTGCCCAGGCTGGAGTGCAGTGGCATGATCTTGGCTCACTGCAAGCTCCGCCTCATGGGTTCACACCATTCTCCTGCCTCAGCCTCCCGAGTAGCTGGGACTACAGGCGCTTGCCACCACGCCTGGCTAATTTTTTTGTATTTTTAGTAGAGACGGGGTTTCACCGTGTTAGGCAAGATGGTCTCGATCTCCTCACCTCGTGATCCACCTGCCTCGGCCTCCCAAGGCCCTGGGATTACAGGCGTGAGCCACCTCGCCCGGCCTGAAGGCATTGTTAACATGTGATTAACACTGAAAAGAGTAGGCTTTGAATAAAGCATATTACTCCCCATAAATTGGGTAGGCCTCATCCTCATCCAATTATTTAAAGATCTTTAGAGAAAAGACTGAGGCACTCTGGGGAAGCAGGAATCCTGCTTTCTGACTGTCCTCAGGCTCCATCTGCAACATAGAGTCTTATCTGGGTCTGCAGCCTGCTGGCCTGCCCTGTACCACCATCTCAATAGATGCAGGAAAAAACATTTGACAAAATTCAACATCCTTTCATGTTAAAGGAACTTAACCTACTAGGAATAGAAGGTAACATCCTCAACCTGATAAAAACAATCAGTGAAAAGTACACAGTAAGAAATCATATTTAATGATGAAAATGTGGATGCTTTCCCCATAATATCAGGAATAAGAGGAGGATGTTTGCTCTTGCTACTTCTATTCAACATTGTACTGTATGTTTTAGTCAGGACAATTAAGCAATAAAAAGAAAAAAAAAGGCTTCCAGTTTGAAAAGGAAAAAGTAAAATTAACCCATTTCACAGATGACTTGGTCTTGTATATAGAAATTCCTAAGGCATCCACCAAAAAAACTAGTAGAACTAATAAACTAACTCAGCAAGTTTGCAGGATACAAGATACATGTGCAAAATCAATTGAACTTCTATACACTTGCAATGAACGAGCCAAAAATAAAATTAAGAAAACAATTCAGCTGGGCACAGTGGCTCACGCCTGTAATGCCAGCACTTTGAGAAGCTGAGGCAGGCAGATCACTTGAGGTCAGGAGTTCGAGACCAGCCTGGCCGACATGGCGAAAACCCATCTCTCCTAAAAATACAAAAAGTAGCCAGGCATGTTGGTGTGTGCCTGTAATTCCAGCTACTCAGGAGGCTGAGGCAGCATAAATCACTTGAACCCAAGAGGTGGAGGCTGCAGTGAGCAGAGATTGCACCACTGCACTCAGTCTGGGTGACAGAACGAGACCAAAATTATATTAAATACTTAGGAATAAATTTAACAAAAGTGTTCAAAACGTTTGCTTTGAAAATTATAAAACACTGTGGAAATAAATTAAATAGTATATTAATAAAAAAGAAATACATTCCATAATTGATCAGAAGACTTAACATTAAGATGGCAACACTTCCCGAATAGATGTGCTAATTCCACACAATCCCTATCAGAATCCCAGACAACTTCTTTGTAGAAATGTACAAGTTGATTCTAAAATTCATATGAAACTGCGAAGGACCCCAAAATAGCCAAAACAATCTTGAAAATAAGCAGACTCCAAGGTCTTGCACTTTCTGATTTCAAAACTTAGTATTAAGTAATGGTACATCAAGACACTATATTACAGGCAACAAATAGACATATAGAGCAATGTAATAGAATTGAGAGTCCAGAAAAACCCCCATAACATCTATGATCAATTGGTGTTTGACAAGAGCCAAAACCACTCAAGGGGGAAATAGTCTTTCAATAAATGGTGCTAGGGCAAGTAAAGCTGCACCATTATCTTACACCATATACAAAAATTAAAATGGATCAGAAATCTACCTACCTGAAAGAACTAAATCTCCTAGAAGAAAACACAGGGTATATCTTATAACCTCAAATTTGGCAAAGGATTTTTAGACTCTGACAACAAAGGCAGGAGAAACAAAATAAAAGGTAGGTAAGTGAGGCATCATCAAAATTAAAAATATTTGTTCTTCAAATGACACCATATAGGAGTGAAAAAGCAAGACATAGATCATCAGAAACATTTGCAAATCGTACAATTGATAACACATTGTACTGAGAGTATATAAGTAATCTTTACAATGCAATAAAAGAAGGAAGAACCCAATAAAAAATGGACAAAGGATTTGAATAGGCATCTGTCTAAGTAAAATGCACAAATGGCCAATAAGCACTGGAAAAGATGTTTGAAATCATTAATCATCAAGAAAATGCAAATGGAAACCTCAGTGAGCTATCACTTCGTACTCAGTTGAATGACTAGAATAAAAAAGCCAGATAACAAGTGTGAGAAGAATGTGGGGAAATCAGAATCCTCATATACTGCTGGAAGAAATGTAAGATACTACTGCCACCTTGGAAAAAAGTCTGGCAGTTCCTCAAATAATGGCAAAGTTACTTCACAACTCAGCAATTCTACTCCTAGGAGTAGAGAAACAAAACAAGAATATGTATAGCAGCATTATTCATAACAGGCAAAGGGTGGAAACAACCCAAATGCCTCAACTGATGAATGGATAAAAATAATTTGGTATATTTACACAGCAGAATATTACTCAGCCATAAAAAAGGATAGAAGTATGGATATAGGATGAATTATGAACCTTGAAAACATTATGCAAAACAAAATAAGCCAATTGCAAACAGCTACATATTATATGATTGTGTTCATAAGAAGTGCCCAGAGTAGGGAAATCTATAAAGACAAAAAGTAGATTAGTGATTGGTTAGGGCTGGGAAGGGTGTGGGGAACAAGAGGATGATAGGTAAAGAATACAGAGTTTCTTTTAGAGTTGAAAAAATATACATAAAACTGACCATGGTAATGGTAACACATACATGCTAAAAAAACATCGAATTGTACACTTTAAATGGGTGAATTGTATGTCATGTGAATTATATCTCAACATGACTACTTAGTCATTATACTATTTAAATTATTATTTATAATTCTAAATCAAAGTATTTCCTTCTAATATAAATTCTTTACAGGACCACTGCAGTTACAGCTTTAACTTACATTCTGTAAATCACATATCACATTTCTTAGTAATTTTGTACCAGCTGATGTTTCATATCTATAATGTATGTACTGTGAAATAAGAAATTATATATATTATATATATATATATATAATGTGTATTTGTGTGTGTATGTGTGTGTGTGTTTTCAGTTCCTGACACAGAGCTCCTAGAATCTCGTAATTTTATGAGTGATAAGGGTGCTACGAAAAGCTTCTGTTTAATATTTGGTCTTTGACCCCAGTTTCTAACACAGGTTTCCTAAAACCTCTGTAATTTCCTGAGTGGTAAAAGTATCTGGCACAGAGCTCCTAAATCCCTTGGAATTTTCTGGGTTATAGGAGCATCTTTTGTTTTAATAAGGTGATCGTTGGTGGGATCCTAGATGGGGCTGGTCACCAGAAAGACCAAGTCACCGTTTGAAGCTTTGAAGCTTAGAACTTTCAGTTCCACCTACCCCCGGCCCCACGCTCCACTCCATTCTCCAGGGAGGCAAGAGGGGCTAGAAAGGGAGTTCATAATCCATTGTGCCTATATGATAAACCTACATTTAAAAAATTCCAAAAGTACAAATGTTATGATTTTTATTGTTACTGTTTCTTTTTATTTATTGATTGATTGATTGAGATGGAGTCTCGCTCTGTTACTCAGGCTGGAGGGCAGTGGCGCCATCTTGGGTCATTGCAAGCTCCGCCTCCCGGGTACAAGCGATTCTCCTGCCTCAGCCTCCCAAGTAGCTGGGATTACAGGCTCTGGCCACCATGCCCGGATAATTTATGGTTTCTTTCTAATTTGAGGTCTCTCTCCTGAAGTGGCTGTAAGTCAAGATAGCCACTCTCTCCAGGGAGCTCTAACCAGGGGAACATTAGGCTTCGATGTGTTGGTCAGCTGAAGTATAATGAAACAGGAGAAATGTGTTACTCACAGTTCCAGAGAGGTCGGGAGTGCTTCTGGGGGCGCTGATAGGATGTCCAGGAGTGGCAGATAGCTCTCCTAGTGTGTGGAGAGTTGGGGGAGAGGAGGAGGGCCTGTGGGGCCAGGCCTAAGCTCCGTGGGCGTTATCCCTTAGGCTTTCCTGCTGGAGTTGCGGACTGGGGAGTTTAAAGTAAACATGTGTGAAGAGGGGACTTATTTACATGACTCCGGTGTGGGCCATTAGGTTTGCTCATGGTCAGCAGCTTTGGGGTTCCTTGGGCTGCGTCAGTGGCGTGAGGAACAAGTGGGTTAAGCAGCCGCAGAAGGAGGACGAGATTTTAACTCCGCCAAAGGTGACAGAGTAGCCCTGGGTGTCAAACAACTTCTGTCAGGCCTGAAAAGGGAAGTCAAATTAAATAATATTCAGCACTGATATTAAACAAATGTATGAAAATCCCTCCTTTAGTCCCTGGAATCACCTTCTGAATGTAAGACAGTTACAGTTTGAGTGGTGGAGATACAAACTATAAGGGGAACAGTATCATTTAACAAACAATTTATGCATTTTAGTAGGGAAGTTATGTTGTTTTGTGTTATGTTGAACTGATAAAGTATATGTAAAGATTAGTAGCATTACATGAAACCAAGGGGCAGAGCTGTTTGGAAATGCAAATTGAGAGATTTGTTTGGATATGCAAATTGAGAGATTGTGGCAGAAAGCTGGAGGGTGTAGTAGGAAACCCATCATGGAGTGGATGGTCCTCTCTCCCAGGAGATTGCCTTAAATGAGGCAGGTGCCACCCAGGGGGAAGAAATAATCTCATTGATTTTAGTAACAGATTCTCCTTTAGGTATGGGAATGTATGGGTGGACATGTGAGCAGACAGCAAGGAGTATACTGGGATCATTGGCTAAGCAGAGAGTGAGTCCAGGAAGAAAAGCAAAAATAAATCCTGTGTCCATTCATGCCTTAGGAGAGGCAGCCCATAGGTGTTGGTGGGGCAGAGTTTTTAGTGTCAGGTGAAATTATTTCCATGCAGAGGGCGAAGTCATCTGCAATGACAGGGTCTTTGGTTGGAGCAATATTGTCTGAGGTTGATGTCGTCATCAGGGGTGGGATTTTGGGCCAGGGTGATGTCATCTGGGATGTGGGACTAGGGTATCCTTTTAAAGTGTGTACCCACTCTTACGTTAGTTTACAATCTTACTTGGTTCACAGTCGGGTCACCAGATTGCAAACCAATGAAAGTGCTCAAATTGGTAGTAATAACACCAGGAGTTAATAGAATGGTGTATAGTTGCACCCAACAGGGCTTTTGTTTCTGGTGGAAGTTTAGGTTCAAATGGATCCCATATCAGATGAGCAGCTGCCTAGTTGTGAGTCTATGGTTAATCATTCCTAGGAGAGAATGTGCCCTTGATCTCACCTCCAATCCTTGTGGGACAGGGACAAGATCAAAAATGTATAATGATAGGTTAAGGTCAGAGAGTTAAGATAGAGAAGTTTAGAGGTTTATTTGTTGTACTGGAATTTGAAAAGAAGTTGTTTGAGGAGACTATTCTGTCTCTCAGTTAAAGCAGTTACTGGTTCGTATCAGGGACATGGAAGGTCTATTGAGTGCCTTCCTCAAGAGCCCAGCATGGTGTGTTCTAAGAAGTGCTATGTGTGTCTTGGTTAGTACCAACAAAGCCTGTAACTCTGAAGGGAAAAAGGGATGTCCTGGCAAAGTTTTGTATTGTGGCCTTGTTATAGGTGGAGATGTGATTTTTATTTATATTTTGGGTGTCCATCAGGCAAAAGATTACTAAAGTGTTTTTGTGTTTTGTTTTGTTTTTTTTACCTTGGAGAGAACAATTTTTAAGTAATGGCCTAATAGTTTATGATAAACATGAGGATGGGGTCATCACTTCGTCAGGGCATCCAGTGCTAAGATGACTGCCTGAACTTGGTCCAAGTCTGTTGGTTTTTGTCCCATCATTTATCAGAGACATCCTGGCTAAGGGATGGGAAGCAGCAGCTCTCCCCTTAGCCTCACCACATAGAATGTTCATCAGTGCTATCTGCCTAGTGTACAAACTTCCATTGCTATTCACTCAGTGAATCCCAAGGGGCTTCCCAGATGGTAAAGAGGTGTGGGGAAAGGATAGCCATATCTAATACCCTGGCATCTGACAAGGGATAGAGGACAGGGAAGAGTCTCCGTCCACAGGTGCATATATCAGAGGGCCCAGGTTTCGCTCCACCCTCTCTTTAGGAGGCCTCTGTAGCCATGCTGAGCTTGTCAGGGCTGTTTCCGTGAACCAAAGGATAATGGGCAGCTGGATGTGGAAGGTCACAGGCTCAGGATCTGTTCTGTGAAAGCCTCTATTTCCAGCCAGTCATTTGTTGTTTTAATGGTGTATAGCACGAGGCTGAGAGAGGCAATTTCTTCCATTAGAAGCCTGGGGCAATTAATGACCATTATAAGTGGTTCAGAGACTCCAGGAGGCCTGGGAAGAGGTTGTCAAAGCCTTTGCCATAAAAGGGTTTTTTTTCTTTTTTTGAAAGCACTAACAGGAGTGTCTATTGATTTTTAATTTATGCCACAGTATTAAGTCCATTAATTTTTTTATCAGTTGGTGCATTTTAGCAGTTGTTAAAGGTGAGTTAGAATCTATGTCATAGAGGCACAAAAGCCTATCAGTGTCCCATTTTATCTTTTTGTTATGTGAATTACTTATATAAAATCCTGTTTCCAGTTGGATAAAATTATAAAAATTTCTTTAAATTTATATTTTATATATACAAGTTATTAATTTATTATATATGTATATTAAAATATATGTATACACAATTTATGCATTGATCTTTTACTTTCCCCTCTGTGTCTAGGGATATGATCTAGGGCTATTATTATATTTGCCTTACTGGTATTTGTTCCGTACTTAAAGTTCATCTTCTTATTTTTTTTTTCTGACTTGTAATCACATGAAGTGGCAATCTTTTTTTGTTTGTTTGTCTTGTTTTCTGTTTTAGGTTTTTAGCCACTTGAAACCATGATTCCTAGTTCTGTCTCTGGCTGATAAAAGAGGGAAGAGAAAATGACCCAGTGTCTCTTAGCAACATTCTTTCCCCAGCTATCAGCCCCTTTTCTTCTTTTTTCCCCCAATTTTTAAATAAAACCTTATAAGGGCTTATATCTTTAAGTGGCTATTTTTTTTCCTTTCTCTTTGAATGTTTATCTGACAAGCTTCTGGTGGGTCCCAGGTGGTCCCTGTTGTGATCAGTGGTCTCCATTTGTGGTTTCCATCAGCCCCATTTGTAGGCAGCCACCTCCCTCTCTAGGGTGTCTGCATTGCATTGAATAGGCTGCAAGGAGCTACGGAAGCAAGGAAAAACAGTGACATAAGGCTCGCAGAGCCTAGCAGCACCACTGCCTGTGGAAGTTCATGGATTCCTGTGGAGGGGGCCCCACTTATTGGATGGTGCGAATACACCATCCACCAACACTGGGCTCTAATACATGGGAGTCTCCCAGCTTCTGTGTCTAGGTTTTGCCAAGCACCTGGTGTCTGTGCCCAATAGCCTCAGCACCAAGGTAGGGGTTGCCAATTTCTTCTCCCAGAACTTTATGACACAAATTGGGACCTTTGAATAGTTTAGCTACCTTGATTCTGACCAGTAGTTCCCATTTAGGGGAATGACAGCAACTATGGTTGCCCCTCTTGCAGTGCTAAGGCTGGCAATTTGTAGATCTTGGAGAGGACTCAGTTTTTTAAAAGCCACAGTTTATAGTCGGAAGTCTTGGTCACACTGGACAGATGCAACAAGGGATGGTGCACAGAAGCACAGATGCAAGTCAGCAAGCAGCAGAACCATCTGGATGGTGTTACACAGGCAGGAGAGCCAGCTGGGAAGTGATGTGCAACTTACCAGCATTCTGTTTCCTTTCTTGTGGTCCTGACCACGTACCCTGTCCGCTGCACCCATTTTTATGATCTTTATTGTTATGGTTTCTTTCCAACTTGACCTTGAAGTTTCTTTGTTGACAGTGGTAATAAGCCAAGATGGTTACCTCTAGGGAAGTCCTGACAAGGGGCAGAGGTGGAGTTCAGTTTGGGTGTGTGGGTCAGGTGAGACATAATGAGGAAGGGAAACCAAAAGCCATGAAATGCAGTAATTTGTTACTTACAAATCCCAGAGAGGTTAGGGCTGTCCACAGGGGCTGCAGGGAACTCAACCAGTGTGAGGAGAGCAAGAGACAGAAAGAGCAAATGACCTGTGAGCCAAAGCCTTTCCTGGGATCCATGGCATCGCTAGGCAGGTTTCCTGTGGGGAGTCCCAACTGGTGGGTTTAGAGCAGGAAGTCACACTGTGACTGACAGGGGATTACTGTGGCCTATCTGTGCAGTCCATATGGCGTGGACTCTCTCTTAATGTCCACTCAGAAATGATTTTGGAAGTATCTACCACTGACACTTACGCAGACTGGAGCTTATGTCAAAAGCCTGTGATCTCTTCCTGCAAGGACTGAGGGGATTTGGGGCCAGGAAATTTCCAGATGCTGCTACCTGGCACACACTATTTGAAAGATAATTGCTAGCTTGCTATTGGGCATCAGTTGAGACTGCCTCAATGACTGAAGGACACAAAATAATCATGAAACCTGAGAAATCCATATTTTGGGTGATATCAGAGAAACACTCTAGTAAGGAAGGCAGTGTCCAGAAGATTTCCATGATAAAAAGGAAATGGCTCAAACAGAAGCATACTACTGGAGAATGAAAGGAGAAAACCATCATATTCCCGAGCAGATGGCACCTTTTCCCCCAGGACCAACTTTGGAACCCTCAGAGGAGCTGCTGGATCAACAGAACCTGAAGAACAGCTTTTGATTGACTAACAAGCTGTTGCTTGGTTTAAAAATGGCGGTTACATGATGAACACACAACATCTTGTTCGGAAAGTTGCAGCCTAAAGACCAGCGGGTGGAAAGGCTCTGATTGAAGATGAGAATAAATCAGCTCAATAGGCTGAATTGCATGCTTTTTTCCTAGCAGTGATGGAAGACATTAACAATGGCACAGGCTCCAATGTTTGGGTTTTTACAGACTCGTGGGCAGAGCCCAAATCCTGATCATATGGTCAGGTAGCTGGGTGATGGAGAACTGGACCATTAAAGGGATGCCTGCATGGGCCATAGCCCTATGAAAGTCTTTCTGTGAATTTAAGGGGGCATTACAGTAAGACTTGTTAATGCCCATCAAGAGAACTCCTTTCCAGGTTTGCCGAGTGATTGGAACCACCAAGTGGACCCTTTGACGTGCTCCCCTGAGATCCATGGAATGAGTGAACATGGGGGTGGGGATGCTGCAGCAATGCAGGGATGGCTGAATCCAGACATGTTACTCTTATACAAGCTGAGGCACAAAATGACAGCAAGAACTATTCTGTGTGCCAGCAAGAGAAACAGAGACCAAAGATGGCTATGGGGAAGGTCACCCAGGGAGAAGCACATAGCTGGCAAGTTGATTACATTGGACCAATGCCAATAGTTCTGGGGGCTGTAAATTTGTCCTGACAGGAATAGATTTTTACCCTGCTGTGTTCTGCATACCTGGTTGTAGACGCAAATGCTCAAAATACTATTAAAGAATCAGAACAGCAGCTACTGTACCAATTTGGGACCTCAAGTTACATTTTGTCAAATCAAACCGATAGCATGCAACAAGGGGCAAAGATGTCACATCAAATGAACACATCATGTTGCATATCATCCTAGGAGTAATGGTTTAATAGAAAATTGGAACAGGCAGTCAAAATAGTTGCTGTTTAAAACAGGGGGAGATAAAAGCATATGGAGCTGGTTGACCGGGCATGGTGGCTCACCCCGTAATCCCAGCACTTTGGGAGGCCGAGGCCGGTGGATCACGAGGTCAGGAGATTGAGACCATCGTGGCTAACACGGTGAAACCCTGTCTCCACTAAAAATACAAAAACAAAAAATTAGCCAGGTGTGGTGGCTGGCGCCTGTAGTCCCAGCTACTTGGGAGGCTGAGATGGGAGAACGGCGTGAACCTGGGAGATGGAGCTTGCAGTGAGCCAAGATTGGGCCACTGCATTCCAGCCTGAGCGACAGAGCAAGACTCTGTCTCAAAAGAAAGAAAAAAAAAAGCATAGGGAGCTGGCTGACCTGCTTCACAAGTGTGTGCTCACACTCAACATGAGGGGGCCCAAGGGAGGGTGTCCACTGGCTAGAAAGGCTAAACCATTAATAAGGGGTCCACCCTCATAACTCAAACAGCTACCACTAGGCCCACCTCCAACATTGGAGGTCCCATTTTACATGAGATTTGGAAAGGACACACATCCAGATTTTATCATTCCACCCCGGCCCTCCAAATCTCATGTTTTCCTCACATTGCAAAATACAATTTTGCCTTGCCAGTACTCAAAGTCTTAATTCCTCTCAGCATCACCTCAAAAGTCCAAAATCTCATCGGAGACTCAAGGTAGATTCCTTCCACCTATGAGCCTGTAAGATCAAAAACAAGTTATTTACTTCGAAGATATGATGGTGGTACAGGCATTAGGTAGATATCCCCATTCCAAAGAGGATAAATCAGACAAAAGTGCCAAAAATGCTTTTGTTTTTGGGAAAACTCCCTTTTGACTCCTGACATGATATTGAAATGGCTACGTTGTCTAGGGGTATGTACTGAAACAGCTACATTGTCTGGGGTATATACCCTGGGGTTTGTTGTCTTGCCCTGAGAAAGAATTCAAGACAGAGACACATGTGAGTGGGTTAAGGAGTGGAAAGTTTAATAGAAGAAAGGAGAGAGGAGAGCAGCTCTGAGAGACAGAGAGAGAGAGAGAGAGAGAGACATCCAAAAAGCGGGGAGGGGACAGGCCACAACAAATTTTATAGGCACCCTAATCTTACTATGCAAATGGACTTTCCAGTTGATGGGTGCCATCTTGTTTTCTTCTTACTGTAAACTTGGCTGACAAAGAGAAAGGAAGATGGAGCTGCCATCTTGAACATGATTGGCACAACTGCTGGTATCTATGTCTGCCGCTCGATTTTACAGGCTGATCCTCATTAGAAAGGAAAATAACTTGGAGCTGGTTTTCATTAAAAAGAAAAGCCTTACCAAGGACTCCTATACCTTTACTATCTGCCTAAGTAATTTATTCTTAACTCCTATAAATGTCTGCTGCCTTCAACACTTTGCTGGTACAAAGAAAGTGACCTCCAAAAAAATGGGCAAACTTTGGAATGGATTAAGTTGGTCAGAATGCCCCCGACCACTCTCTGCCTCTTTTGAGGTGTTGTTGGGGACCTGCTGTACTTAAGACTTGGCTGCTGGTGACACCATTTGAGCATTTGTATTTGTCTGCCTGTGCAGTACCATAGGAGCTTTGCTCAGCTTGGACTCAGCTGTCTATGGAGACATTTGGACCTAGGGAGCAGGATTTAGGACCTCACCCAACCCCTTGACTGCGGACTCATTTGGAAGCATGCTATTTGTTTGCATGTGTTGATAGATTACTTTGTGTGTGTGCCTTGATTCCTCCTGTACTCTCCACCTCCAGTTTCACCCTCCTGATCATCTGGGAGAGCTGCCCACCTGGGGTACTGAGACTTCCTGATGGAAGATAAATGAGAATGGTGGGGCAGTCACCCCACACTTTCTAGGGGCTGGAAGGCTCCAGAATTTCCTGTTGGTTGCTTGAGTATTTTTGTTCCCCTCTTTTCTTTCTCACACTCTACTTGTAGAAGTTGGTTCTTATGCAGAGGTCGGCCAGGCTACAGCTTTCTCTGTTTTCTTTTCTGCATGCTTTAAATCTGCTGTTACTTTTCTGCTGGTGCAATGATAAAACCACTGTTTGGATCCAACTTTTTTTTTTTTTTTTTTTTTTGGAAACTGGTGAGTTTGTATTGATATCTTATGGCTAGAGTTCTGAAATAGAAGCTATAGGAAAGTTAAGGAGTATTCATAAATTAAGTGAATAAGCCCCAGTGCTTTACAAGTTCACGTGACTTAAGTAAAATCTTTAATAAATAAGCTGACTTTAAAATTATTGGTAAAATAATATGAGAAATGTCTTGAGAATTGCCAACATACAAAATACAGACCCAGCCCCAAACAGAAAGATCTTTCTATAATTTTTATAAGACGTTTGATATTATTTAATGAAAACAGCCAAATCTTCTGAGTTATCAACAAAATGCCCACGTATTTAACTTTACAATTCTTACTTAGATAAACACCTGATGTTCACAAGCTTTAAAAATGGTTAACATGGAAGTAACTTTAAATAATGACTGACCTTGTGTAAAATATCAGTTTTCAGAAGTAATATAATAAATGGTTAAAAATGGGAAAATTAGGTTTATATAAATGATATAAATGCTTGTCAGTAAACTTTTTGTATAATTGAAAATCTTAAAATCATTTTGAATGGTTATTGGATGTCTGGGTTATTTCCAGTTAAGAAAGAGTTATTATACGGGAAACATGTTCCAAAATTGTGGAATGGTTTTCATCTGTAAAATGCTAATATCTGATAAGCAGTTTAGGATTTCTTGCTTCCTAGGTTTGTATCAAATGTGCCGAAGAAGACATCTTCTTATTGAGAAAAAGAACATTGTCTAATTTGAAAGTTATCTAAAAGTTCATTCAAATTATGGACTTGAAAACATTATTGCCTCCATGTAACTGTCTGTTGCTTTAAAAGTTCTCATGCTGTTAAATTATAAGGCTTTGACTCTTGAGTCTGAAAAGAGGACATGATAATATTATGGCTAGCCTTAATTCTCTTGAGTAGTTAAAATCCTTTGCAAGCTCAAAAATGACTGCTTTAGACACCATCTGGGAAAAGCACCAGCTGTTGCCTTGTGCTACAGCTCAGTAGCTTAGGCTTTGCTCTTTCACATGGGAATGGTAGGTTCAATTCCTAGATTCGAGAATGAGTCATTTCTGTTTTCATAGTTGTGAAACTTTTGCCTCTTGTTGATTGTTTTTCCCTCCGGGGACAGCTTCTGATTTTCTGTCTTGAATTTTCTTTTATCTGAGCTACCCTGGGGCAATTCTGGACCTTGTGAAAATTGTTTGCCATCTCTTTGGAGACACCTCACGCATCCGTGGTTAAGTCATAACTTTAGTGAAGGCTTATTGGGCTCACTTGGGAGCACAACTTTTGGGGAAAAAAAAGAGCTTAAAAGTCAGAAGTATCAGCTATTTGTCCCAGTTAGAGTCTGGTAATAAGAGATTTTAAAAGATTTTCTTTAAAAAGCTCTATGGTTAAAAGTCAGCTTAACTAGGATAGGCAGCGTGGCTCACGCCTGTAATCCCAGCACTATGGGAGACCAAGGCGGGCGGATCACGAGGTCAAGAGATCAAGACCATCCTGGCCAACATGATGAAACCCCGTCTCCACTAAAAACACAAAAATTAGCTGGGCGTGGTGGTGCGCGCCTGTAGTCCCAGCTACTCAGGAGGCTGAGGCAGGAGAATTGCTTGAACCTGGGAGGTGGAGGTTGCAGTGAGTCGAGATTGCGCCACTGCACTCCAGCCTGGCGACAGAGTGGGACTCCGTCTCAAAAAAAAAAGAAAAAAAAGTCAGCTTAACTGAAAATTGATAGCCAGCTCTCTCTCTGTATATATAAATTTAAAACGCCTTTATGCTTTTCCTCTTCTTGGATCTCTTTTTTTTTTTTTAGTGTTTTTTTTTTCTTTTCTTCTTTTCAGTCAATCGAATTCCGTTTGCTTTCTTGCCACCTTTGATGCCCACATTAGAGGACCTAAGGTAATTTCTGACAGTCTGGGACTCCTTGAGATAAACAGAGTAGGTGCCACACACTCTATTTTGGGAGAAACCTTTGTTTTCCTCATGGAACCCCAGAAATTATAAATGGACAGATCCCTCTCAAAATCTAAGGCTCTGTTCTATTTTGCATCGTGTTACCTGCGTTTTTTGACTCTGGGGGGGACAACAGAAATTACTTTGCATTATGAGAGGACTTTTAGCCTTGGTGTGTAATAGTGAGGTAGGAGATGTGTTTTTAGGGAAGACCAATGGCAGTTGCTTACAGTGAATGGTCATTACTGTAGGC
Organism: Homo sapiens; assembly: GCF_000001405.40. Lineage (NCBI taxonomy): Eukaryota > Metazoa > Chordata > Mammalia > Primates > Hominidae > Homo > Homo sapiens. The sequence continues at coordinate 23,531,108 of NC_000015.10, read as the reverse complement.
TGATATTCCTTTCTTCTCATGCTTAAATGAAAAAATAATGCTCTAGGGCAACTGAAAGGTATGGAATGGGGGATGAGCTGATTACAGAATGGGCTGATTGGCTTGGCTTTGCCCACCAGCCATGGGGGAATGTTCTTGACGTGAGATGCATGGTAAAAGCACTGCACTTTGTTCTGTAGCATTTCGCTCTTTTTTGAGACTCAGGATTCAGTATAAAAATGGGGTCTTTAATTTTTTTTTTTAAATCTGTTCTGCTTTCTAGCAGTGCCTCCTTCTCAGGTATGTAAATGTTACGTCCTTAAAACTGCATGCCGGGCCGGGCATGGTGGCTCACGCCTGTAATCCCAGCACTTTGGGAGGCCGAGGCAGGCAGATCACAAGGTCAGGAGATCGAGACCACCCTGGCTAACATGGTGAAACCCCGTCTCTACTAAAAATAAAAAAAAATTAGCTGGGCGTGGTGGCGGGCGCCCGTAGTCCCAGCTACTCGAGAGGCTGAGGCGGGAGAATAGCGTGAACCCGGGAGGCGGAGCTTGCAGTGAGCCGAGATAGCGCCACTGCACTCCAGCCTGGGCAACAGAGCGAGACTCCCATCTCAAAAAAATAAACAAACAAACAAAAAAAAACTGCATGCCTTCTCAGTTCGTCAAAGGGCTCCACCATGAAGCCAGCAATCCAATTAAGAAACTTAAAAACCAGCAAATGAAAAATCGTGCAACTAGTGATTTTCTTCTGCCTGTCTGTGTATTTATATATTTGTGTTGTGTATGTGAACTTGTATATATAAGAGCTCTAATTATTTGGCTTAAAGAAAAATAAGTGCTTAAATGAAACATACCGGTCAGAAAAAATAGAAACTTGAATGACTTTAGGTCACATGACCCTAATAACCTTTGAAAAATAAAGACAGTTCAAAAGGTTATTGGTAAATAAAATAAACAATTCTTCGACATTTAGATGTTTGGTTTAAATTAGGCAGGTCAGGTACTGTTTGCTAGATGCTTTGAGGTCATGAACTGCTTTTATGAGTTTTAATAATTATTTGACTTGTCTATTTTATAGCCATTAGATTCTAGGTAAGACCTGGTGACATGTGGAGTCAGCCAGGTCCCTTGGGTAGGCTGGAAAGTGTCATTGCCTGTGGCTTGGTCCTTGTCCTGGGCTCTGCAATCTGATACATGGTTAAAATTGCTACTTACCAGATTTTTCACTAGAACTAAAAGTTGCTAAGAGTTAACATTTTAATATGTACTTAATATGTACTTGAGACTACTGAATAAATAGTTTTGCATGCAAGGTGTATAGGGAAAGTAGAATGTGTTTTTGGTAAAAGATTTTAAGAAGGCATGGAAATATGATTTTGTTAAAGGGGATATAATTTTGTCTGTTTCAGAGGTTTTTAAGGATGTCCTAACCTAAAATAGTAACAGGACTAAACCGAAGGTTTAAACAAGTTGTAAACAATTTGTTAAATTTTGATCTTGTAAAGGGAGTTCTGTAGATAAGAGGAAGTTGGCTATGATTTGAAGGGGATTAATTCATTCTTCTGGAAATTAAACATTAGAACAAAAGCACACTGATGCAGGGCCAGAATCTAGGTCCATGTGTCTGAATAGCATGGTTTTTTTTTTTAGAGAGTTGACCTGATGCTTAACAAAAAATTTTTAAGGGTTATATAAGGCTTATTGAAATCTTACATTATGGTTAAAGTAATTAAGATTGAATAGATTTGTTTATAAGGTTTTATTAAGAATCAGGTTTAATTAATGGAACACTGTTGCAAAGGTAAAATTTGGCTTCCTCTTTTGAGCAGGATTTTCATCTAATAGTAAAGGATAATGAAAGAGTTTTGTTCGCCTTTTGAATAAATGACAGAAGAAAAAAAGGGAAGGGAAAAAAAGACAGATTCAGTTGGCCTCACAGAGTTTGTATTGGGTTTTGTTTGGAAAGGTGATTCTGCCCTCTATCAATGGCTAAATATTTTCCCTCTAATTTATAATGACCTGGGTTTCTAATTTATAATATCAAGTGTTTAAACCTTTGATATTTGAAAAACTTTCCAAAGTTAAATTCTAAATTAAGCCTTTTTTGATCTGGTTAATCCTATTAGATACTAGGTTTTCTCAAGCCCAAAAGAGACATATGGGACTTATTTGGTATATTAAAATCACAAAGTAAACATTGTCAAATATAAAATAGTATTTAACTTTCTTTAGGATATATTCATGTAAGTGTGTTATTAGTATGTGTTCCAAAATTGTATAAGATTCATATAATTGTTATGTCTCAGTATATGTTATCAGTAATAATTATGATAGCTCTATTAAATTATGTGTGCCACAGAGATGACCAGATTTTAACTGTGACTGCTCTGAGATTTTTATCATCCATAACAGTTATTTTACTTTGATTCTTTTCAAAGGCAGCTTTATAATACAGATATAGGACTCTGACAGGCACTCTTGAATGCAAATTTCTCATAACTTTGGAAATTGTGACATTAAAATAGAAGAAATAAACTTCCAAGACTCCCATAGAGAGCCAATGTGTTCAGGAATATCACACAGAACAGGAGTTAATTACATAGACTGAACTAATAGAAGAGCGAAATAATCTTTTGTGACTTTTTGTTTAAAACATTTAGTGATTCTTTTTGTTTAAAACATTTAGTGATTCTTTTTGTTTTGCTTTTCAGTGTCTAAAAATCTTTCTCTTAAGCTATTTGCAGCTTTTAACAATTGGGTAAAATACACTTCCGTTAAGCAAAACTTGAGGGACATTTCTTTCTCTCTACCCTGATTTCCCCAGAATGTAAGAACTACTTGTAAGCATATTTAATTTATGGCAGTCTAGTTATTTGCCTAATCCAATAAGAATCTGTTTTCTTTTGTAACAGGACACAATTGGAGAAACTGGTTATTTACCAAGGCTTTGACTGGAATGGCATACTTTCAGATACAAACAGACTCTTTTAAAGAATCAAAGTTGACTTATAAAGCCAATAAAAGCTTCTTGGGAAATTTGGCCCCATACTTTGTCTAGGCAGTCCCTGCTCAGGGTTTCTGGCCTATGGTAAGTAAAGAATGTCACTTTCTGACAGAGCAAGGAGTCCCAAATTATCTTGGGACCACAAGCAGAGGAATTCACTCAATTCATACAAATATTTGCAGGCACAGATAAAGCCATGGCTGGGCTCAAAATGCTTTTAAAGTCTAATTTGAGATTCCTTATGGAATAAAGTTTCAGCAAAGCCAAATTTAAAAAGAACGTATGTGGCCAATAATCATTCTTGCTGCACTATTTGCAAATACTCAGGTCAAGCGTAATAAGACTAAAACTTATTTTGCAAATCAATTGTTCCTATTATGATTTGTCTTTAGTAAAAACTGGGACTGAACAGAGAATAATATGTTTCGGTTAAAAACTATAGTACACTTGGTAGACTCCAGTCTTGACCACTGTTTTTTTATTATTCTATGCAATTCGGCCTGAATCCTGAATTCTTTCTGGGATATAAGTCTCAAATTAACACTTTTAAATTTTTCTTCCGTTTTTCAGATTTTGACTAAATGAAATGACTATTACATTATTCCTTGTAATACAGGCAAGAAAAAATTGTCAGACTGCCACCACCTTCCCTCTCTATAACTGAAGATGCTTTGAGTCTGACATATGGATAAATTGTGCCTAACATTACACTTTGTCTTTCTTCTGTTTCCATAGAAATGTCTCTTATTAAAAATCTGTTTGCCTTCATTATATACAGAGGCCTCACCCATCTGCAATGTCACTTCCTAGATGGGATGCAACTACAAAACTAATCTACTCTCAAGAACTAGACAGGATTATGACTGCCTTCATGAGTATTCACAGTTCTTCCTGTAACCTGTTGAATATACACTTAGCCAATCTTTCATCACAACCAGTTACTATTAGAAATGGGGAGCATGCCTTATAATTAAGACTAACTTCTGTGTATACATCCCAGGCAATTTGGAAAATGTCTCAGATAGCCCTGCAAGATATGCACCAATAAAACAAAGCTATGCCTTATCCCACATTGTCACTTGACCAATGGTTAGTGTCCTGGTTCAGGTCAGGACCATCCTGGTGGAAAAAGCTGCTTGTAACATTGGCCCTGGTTGCAGTAGACATTTCCCTCTGTTGTGAAGTTTTCTGCTGTTGCACCCTCTGTAATAAGAATACACAACAGGCTTTCCCAGAGACCTTGCACCATAATGGTCCAAAAGTATCCTCTGTAAGTCCAGGTATTGTGAATATTTCCAACTCCAAAGAGATCAGTTTCATCCTGACACCCAATGAGTATACCCTCTTTCAGCAGGAAGTAGCCAGAATAAATATGACACAAAAATCCCACAGAAAAAAAAAATGGAACTTGGCAGTAGGAAATTGTAACCAAGTGCCCCCATTTTTCAAAGAGAGAGTTTAATTATCTTTCTCTCTTCTTTTCTCTTTCCTCATTTTCCCCAATTTCTATTTAGCCCTTTAGGATTACAAATATAGCATTTTACCTGCCCTTCACCAGACACTCCCTACAGAGCAAGTTCATCTAACTACATGCTTAGGAGATCCCAAAAGGAATTCTAACCCACCAGCAGGTTGCCTCGAGAGATAACAGTCAATTTACAACCCAAAGTATGCCTGCCCGTGAAGATGCCAGCAGTCACCAGCTTGACCACGCTGTAGATAAAACACTAAGCTAACATGCAGACCCCTCACCTGCTTGCTTTCCCACCACCCACATGCTGTTCATGTTAGGTACCCTTTCAATGTGCTCACATTCTTCTCCAAAAGTGAAGTGATACCCTAAAAGCAGGAAGCTGGAAATTTTTCCCCTAAGCTAGCTTTGGAATACAAAGTCACTTTCTTTATACCAAACTTCACTCTTATCAGTTGGGCTCTGCAAGTGGTGAGTGACTGAACCAGCATTTTGATTACACTGTAAAGAAATACCTGAGGCTGAGTAATTTACAAAGAAAATGAGGTTTATTTTGTCTCGCAGTTCTGCAGGCTGTACAGGAAACATGGTGCTGGCATCTGCTTCAGGTGAGGGTCTTAGGAAGCTTACAATCATGACAGAAGGTGAGGGAGAGCCAGCACGTCACACAGTGAGAGAGGCAGCAAGAGAGAGAAGAGGAACTCCCAGACTCTTGTAAACAACCAGATCTTGTGTGAAGTAACTGAGAAGGAACTCACTCATCATCAAGAGTATGATGCTAAGCCATTCATAAGGGATCCAATCCCATGACCCAAATGCCCCCCACTAGGCCCACCTCTAACATTGGTGGTCACATTTCAGCATGATATTTGGAGGGAACACAAATCCAAACCATACCAAGAGGTTGGGGAAGGATTCTAATACAACTACACAATTCTTCCCCATATCTCCTCAGTTGTCTTTTTTCCTACCTGATGCAGTGATTCCAAGACCAGGGGTGCAACTGCAGGTACTGGAAGCAGGCTGATTCCTAAGCAAGAAACTATACCTATACCTTTAAACTTTAGGCCAGAATTTCCAAAAGCCTGAAGGATGGACTGGCACAGTTGGGGTTGACAGTGAATGCTACCATGTTTCCTAGTGGTTAGAATAGCTCGTATTTTTATCTCTATGTAACCTCAGCCTGTATCAGTGGGACTGAGCTGAGAGCAAGGCACTTGGTAGAATAGTATTGCTAGCAGTACTGTAGACCAAGACAGTGGTTGAGCACATTATCCCTCTAAAAGGTGGAGAGTTTGAGTAAAAATAAATGTCAAATGGAGAGAAGGAGAAATAATAGCTGAGGGTAAAAGACTAAATAAGTGGATTATGCAATGAGAGAAGCCTAATGTTGTATTAATACCTCAAGAGAGGCTCAGAGCAAGAGAATGATATTATCTCCTAGCACAATTATACCAGATGCCCAGAAGGGTGAAGCAATGTGTTTTCCAAGACCACCCCTGCTTTTGAAACCTGACAAAGTTGAATGGCAGCCTGCAAACCTGAGTGGCATCCCTCTAGGAAACATTCTGGTCACACTGTGTGATGAAATGGACTGACTGTTAATGACTAATTGGGCTTGAAATTGAGTTAATAATTGATCATCCCTATGTGATGATGCATCCAGCAAAAAAAAAAAAAAAATAGAAAAATCCCTAACGTATGGGGCTTGGGGAGCTTCCGGGCTAATGAATAGAAACATTTCCACGTGTCAGGAGAGTGGCACACCCCAATTCCATGAGGCCAGAAGCTCCTGCATTTGGGACCTTTCTAGACCTCACCCTATGTATCTCTTTATGTGGCTATTCATCTGTATCTTTTGAAATGCCCTTTGTAATAAGTTAGCAATAATAAGTAAACTGTTTTCCTAGCTTTTGTGAGTTTGCTAGAGAATTTCGTGGTGTATGGGGAGAGATCCCCACATATCTGATATCAGAAGTTATCTGTGTTGAGGATATAGTAGTAGAAAACAGTTTTGTTTTGTTTTGTTTTGTTTTTGGAGATGGAGTCTTGCTCTGTCGCCCAGGCTGGAGTGCAGTGGTGCGATCTTGGCTCACTGCAAGCTCCACCTCCCGGTTTCACTCCATTCTCCTGCTTCAGCCTCCCAAGTACCTGGTACTACAGGCACCCGCCACAACGCCCGGCTAATTTTTTGTATTTTTAGTAGAGATGGGGTTTCACCGTGTTAGCCAGGGTGGTCTCGATCCCCTGACCTCATGATCCACCCGCCTCGGCCTCCCAAAGGGCTGGGATTACAGTGATGAGCCACCGTGCCCAGGCAGAACACAATTTTTTAAAAAAAGATTGTACAATCCAAATGGAACAAACTTGCTTCTTATGCATTTCCTGTCAATAATGTCAAAATTGATAACTCTTTTTGTAAAAATCTATGAAACTTATTAGAAAGGATAAAGAATAAAAACTACAGTAACCACAGATATAAAAATGTAAATTGTAATATTCATTCATGAAAATGCAATATTCATTCATATTCAACATGAAATTTGCCTAAGTACACTAATAAATGCAATTTCAAACCTAAAGCTAAAATGCAACTTTAACACCTAAAAGCTTATATTCCAAAAGGCCTTGCTTGCTATCTTGCAGTCCCTATGTAGCCTCTCAATCTCTCAATTACTTTTTTGCAACGAATGAAAAATTGGTAGAAGTCTATGGTCTCTAGAAGCTATAGTTGATGCGGGGCTGAAATGCCTTAAGGAGATACTTTGTTTAATCTTGGACAATAAAGGCAGGTGTTTATCTTGCATCATAGTTCAGCCATATTCTGTAGTTCAAGCTATGTGTCTAAAAGGCATCATTCATTTTTGATATTTGACTTCTGACAGCTTTCAAGTTCCATAGCTCACGCTTCCATTTCTACCTCACATATAGACAATATGATAAGAAAATGTGGGTACTCCATCCTTTGGTGCAGGAGCAGGAAATTAAAACCATGCAATGGAATGCTCATCCCAGCCACACTCCTAACTACCTTCAAAACCACAAGTCCATTTTCTTTTTTCATTCTCTTAAGCCATTTTTGGACCTGCTTTGGAGCTGCCTTGCTTTCCCCGGAAATCTTCATTATGTGAGCAGTAAACATATTTATACCCTCTTGAGTTGTGTGTGAGTCTTATCAATTCGGATATCTAAACCCAGTTTTGGGTGAGAGGTTCATCCTGTGTCATCGAGTTAGCTAGGACAGAATATCTATGTTATATAGTGGGGTTTTCATTTGTTTGATTGTTTTTAATCTTCACTCAATTTTGAGGTTCTTGCTAGAGGCTGGTCAGTTCCTCTTCTTAAACAGCTCAGTAAGTCCGTACCCCAACCACTTTCCTTATTAGAATCTCACCCTCTGGGCCATCATGCATCAGCCTTAAGTGCACCGGATTCAGGTACCAGACATCTAGGGACAGCTCCTATACCCTGGGGCCTAAAAGAGTATTCAAATTAGACAATCCATGAGGAGTTCACAAAACCTAGCTAACCCCACCCTATTTGCCATATGTAAGTTTCCCCCTACAGTTCCATGTTGCTATTACCTTACCCTGTCTTCTGATGCAATCCCCTGTTTCACCCTACCTGGCAATCTCCTCTCCTTTGGAGCTGTATATAACAAAAACTTCTACTTCTCTTCTATTTGAGTGTTATTGTGTTGTGTCCTGCCATCAAAATAATTGTTTAATCTTAAAAAGCAGTTGGCATCTCAAACAGGATGGCCATGACCACGGAATCTTGCATGGCTGCAGGGAGGGACTTCACTTGGCTTGTGAATCAATTCCAGTCCACCATAAAAGAGGCTTGGTACAGAACTTCCACCTATGGCAAGCTTGTGCTTTAGCCTTGTTGCTTGTTTCTGTGCTTTCTGGTGTTTGCCACATTGTTCTTTGCCCAAGTTTTCTAGTTGTTACAATATTAATAATGAACTTTACTAATTGGTTAAACTTTGGGGGCTAGATACCGGCTCAGTTGGTGACGCACCCTAGGGCAATCAGAATGACAGGCTGGGTGTGGTGGCTTACGCCTGTAATCCCAGAACTTTGGGAGGCTGAGCTGGGCAGATCACGAGGTCAGGAGATCGAGACCATCCTGGATAACACGGTGAAACCCCACCTCTACAAAAAATACAAAAAATTAGCCGGGCATGGTGGCGGGTGACTGTAGTCCCAGCTACTCGGGAGGCTGAGGCAGGAGAATGGCGTGAACCCAGGAGGCGGAGCTTGCAGTGAGCCCAGATCGCACCTCTCTGCACTCCAGCCTGGGCAACAGAGCAAGACTCTGTCTAAAAAAAAAAATGACAGGCCACTGAAGCCACAGTTTCCAGGGCTGGGCATTCTGGTATGTTTCTGGTCACAGCCTGTGTTTGGCAAAGACCTATTTCAGGGGTCAGTATTTCTTAGTTATTTATATGGATTAAATGTGTCCTCTAAAAAACAATGTGAAGGAAGCTTAATTCTAAATGCAAAAGTTTTGGGAAGTGGGGCTTAATGGGAAGTGTTTAGGTCATAAGGGTTCCACCCTTATGAATGGGTTAATGTGGATTATAAAAGAGCTTGAGGCTATGAGTTTGATCTCTCTCACCATGTGATACCTTTCTTTATGTTATGATTCAGCCAGAAGGCCCTTACCAGATGCCAGCCCCCTGAACTTTCTGGCCTCCAGAACTATGAATCAAACAAATTTCAATTGTTTATAAATCACTCAGTTTGTAGTATTCTGACATAGCAGCACAAAATGGAATAAGACAAAAATTTCATACCAATAAATGGGAGTGTTGATATAACAAACACCTGAAAATGTGGAAGTGGCTTTGGAACTGCATAATGGGCAGAGGCTGAAAGAATTTGGAGAAATAGGCTAGAAAAAGACTGTATCACTGTGAACAGAGCATTAGGGACCCATTCTGTTGAGGGCTCAGAAAAAGAGAACTGCAGGGAAAATCTGGAATTTTTTGTTTTGTTTTTTTTTTTTTTTTGAGACAGAGTCTCACTCTGTCACCCAGGCTGGAGTGCAGTGGTACGATCTGGGCTCACTGCAACCGCTGCCTCCCAGGTTCCAGGGATTCTCCTGCCTCAGCATCCCAAGTAGCTGGATCACAGGCACATGCCACCACAACTGGCGACTTTTTTATTATTAGTGGAGATGGGGTTTCACCACATTGGCCAGGCTGGTCTCAAACTCCTGACCTCAGGTGATCTGCCCACCTTGGCCTCACAAAGTGCTGGGATTACAGGCATGGGCCACTGCGCCCAGCCAAAATCTAGAATTTCTTAGGTATCACTTAAGTGGTAATAATTAGAATGCTGGTCAAAATATAAACAGTAAAAGCTATTCTGACAAAATACTAGATGGAACTGAGGAACAAGGCATTGGAAGCTGGAGTTAAAGGCCATTCTTGTTAAATGGTTGCAAAGAACTTGTCATAATTTTGTTCATGTCCTAGGACTTTCTGGAAGGCAGAACTTTAGAGCAATAGGATTTCTGGCAAGGTAGGACCTTGAGGGCTACATTTTCAAAAAGAGGCATATACAAGATCTCAGAACTGGCTACCCCGGGCTACCTCAAGACTCTGTTCCCCACATTCTGGGGCAGCACTCTTTGGTCACCCCAGCCTTGGCTCAAGTGGGCTCAAGTGCTGCTTAACTTACTGCTTCCGAAAGTAGAAGCAGTAAACTCTGCAGCGTGCACATGGTGCTAATTCTAGAGGTGTGCAGCGTGCACATGGTGCTAATTCTAGAGGTGTGCAGCGTGCACATGGTGCTAATTCTAGAGGTGTGCAGCGTGCACATGGTGCTAATTCTAGAGGTGTGCAGCGTGCACATGGTGCTAATTCTAGAGGTGTGCAGCGTGCACATGGTGCTAATTCTAGAGGTGTGCAGCGTGCAAGAGCTGTGGCTCCCTGGTAGCCTCCAGGTCCTACCTTGCCTCTAAGATTCTTCTGAACTACCTTCAAGTTCATTTTCCAATTGCTTGATGACTAGAACCTGGCTTTCTTTTATCCATATTAATCTCTTTAGAAAATGGTCACTTTGCCACACCATTAGCATTCTCTCCTGAACGTATTTCTTTATTCTTTACATGGCCAAGCTTAGGGTTTTCTACATCTTTCCGTTCTGATTCCATTTGAATTATAAATTCTGTCTTTAAATAATTTCTCCCTTCTCTCATTTTACTCTAAGAGGAAAAAAAAAAAAAACCATGCCACACTTTGCTTGACCAGTAGATTTCAAAGGATGCTATGGAAAATCTAGGGGCAGAAACATGGGGCAAAGCCACCACAGAAAGTCTCCATTAGGGCAATGCCTAGGGTAGCCACAGGGGTTGGGGTGCCACTGAGACCCCAGAACTGTTGAACTACCAGTGTGCCATGCCAACCTGGAAGAGACACAGGAATTGAGACAGAGCAGGGATGGGGTTTGGCTTCAGCTCATCCCCGCTAGAGCATTGTTTCATGCATTCTCACTGATCACAAAACCCATACCACTACCTCATTGATTCCATATCTGCGAATAGTCCTTTTACTTCATTCCAGGAACTGGCCTTAGGAGATCAGAAATACTGAACCAAGGTTGCTGAGTGTCCCACCTTGGGAAGGAATGTTGAACAACTGATTTACAGCCTTGCTGCTGTTGACTAGACCACCTGGTGGCCCATTACTCAAGACAACCATCGCAACCAGATATGCTGACCTGTGTACCCTACTCCTCACGTGCTGTGCCCAACCCAGCCTCCATACCCTACCCCTGATGTCAATTCCCATGCTTTGCCTACTAAAAATTCTATACTGGCTCTTTTTGGAGGGCCAGCTAAAGAATCCTTGCACCTCCACTGTCTCCCTTGCACTGGAATACAAGCCCAGAAATAAAAACCTTGTCTGGGAAATCTGCTTGGCCCCATGTTAATTTCCATTATATGGGTCTGTAACAGATTCTCTGGTGACTGCAGTAGGCCATGGGATGTGGGGAGAATTTTCCTCCCTGGAGAGGGAGGTTCATGAGCCAGTGGGATGCCCAGACATGACCCCTTCACAGCTGAAGAGCGGCTGCCTGGATCTTTGATTCAACGTTGAGGCAACTGGTGAGTTTTTCTCCAGCTTCCTGAAGTCTCCTTTCCAACCTTGCAGACAACACTTTCCCTCCCCTCCTGTCCCCGATTTGTTGTGTCTTTTTCCTTCTTCTTCCAGCTTTCCTTTCTTCTTTGCTTTTCGTTAACTTCATCGGCTTCACCTGAAAAGGTACCTGTGAGGGACGGGCTGAAACAGTCGGTTGGCTCAGTCTTAATAGGCATCGTGCAGGATGGATTGAAACAGCCAATTGGTTCAGTTGATAGGAAACTCTGTCTGGCACCCTGGCTTGAACTTTGTAATCTTCTTAAGTCTTCTAAGTACTTTTCCTCCCTTTGCCACACTTTGTGGAGAAGGGAAGTCTATGGGTTGTTCTGTCATCTGTCTGTTCCAGCCTGTGAGCCTATTGACTCTGTGCTGTCTTTGTGAGGAGAGAACGTGACAGCATGTGGGTTTGAAGTCTGCATCACTGACATCCTGATCTGCTTTTCCTTTTGTGTGTTTAATTTGACACCTTTTTTTCTCCATGCAACCCATTGGACAGCATCTTGCAAAAATGAGAGACTTTGTAACACAGCTTGGCCCCCACAGCTATGGTGCAGTGAGCAGGATCATCAAAAGCCACTCTACTTTTCTGGAAGTTACAGAGAAAGGGAATCTGGAATCCTGGAATGCTGGCAAAACAATAAGAGTTTATTACCAGCCAGGCTTCTGGCCTTTCTCTGTGCAAACCAGTTAGGTGAATGGTAAAAACCATTGTTTGTCTCCTCTGCATGATTTTAATTAATGGTTAAAAAAAAAAAACAAAAAAACGGGGAGGCTATAGCAAATCTGGTGTACTTTGTGCTGTGCAATTGTGTTTCTGTGTTGTTCTGTCTTGGAAAGGGGTACCACAGGATAGAACGTGGGCCTAGGACCTTGTAAGCCTGCTGTTCAAGTTGGCCCAGCCGACTGGTTAGTTACAAACTTTGCTTCAGGTCCCAGAAGCAAAACTGGTAAGGTTTCCCTTCTGTCTTGTTTTATGTCCTTGAGAAATTGACTTTGCAACCATATTGAGGTACTCTTTCTTGGTCTCGGCCATCTGGAGGGTGGGAATTTTCAGGTTTACGTCGGACATCCTGTCTCAAAGAACACATGATAATGTCATGGCTAGCCTTAAGAATTCTCTTGAGCAGTTAACATCTTTTGCAGGCTCAGAAATGACTGCTATAACTCTTTCTGGGAAAGACATTGGCAACCGCTTCCTGCTGTAGCTCAGTAGCTAAGATTCTTATCTTTTCATGATGGCACCCCGGGTTCAATTCCTGGCTTAGGGAGTGAATTCTTTCTGCTTTGATGCATGTAGGACTTTTGCCATTTATTGATTCATCTTCCCTCCATGGACAGCTTCTAATTTACAGTGTTAATATTTTTTTTCTGAGCTACATTAACAGTGATTATAAATCTTGCAAGAACCACTGCCATTTCTTTGGAAAAACCTCATGTATCTATGGTTATGTCCTAATCATAGTTAAGGCTTATTGGTTTCATTTGGGAGAATACCTGGGCGGGAAGCAGCTTAAAAGCCAGAGGTGTCAGCTATTTGTCTTAGCTATAGTTTGGTAATGGGCGATTTAAAAGGTTTTTGTTTGTTTGTTTGTTTGTTTGTTTGTTTGTTTGTTTGTTTTAAAGAGCTCTATAGTTAAAAGTCAGCTTAATTTAAGAAAGATATCCAAGTTATACATATATTTAAAAGAACTTTATGCTTTTTTCTCTTATTGAATCTTGTTTTTTGAGAAAAAAAGTTTTTCTTCTTCTCAGTCAGCTGAACAATTTCTCCATTGATTTCTGTCTGTTTTCTTGCCATCCTAAATGCCCACACAAAGGGACCTAAGGTATTTTCTGACAGCCTGGCGGACCTTGGGAAGAAGAGTGGTGGTGCCATAGGCCCTGTTTTTGGAGAAACCTGTTTTTCTCATGGAACCCTAAGAATTTTAAGTGGACAGATCCCTTTCAAAATCTGAGCCTCTGCTCTGCTTTTCATCGATACTTAACTTTTTTGAGTTTGGGGAGCATCAGAAATTACTTTTCATTATGAAAGAAATTTTAGTCTTGATATACAGGTAGAAGATATACTTCTAGGAATGGCTAATGGCGGTTGCTTACAGTGAGTGGTTATTACAGGCTAATACTTCTTTCTACACACATTTAAGTGAGAAAAGCATGCACTTGGGCACCCTTTAAGGCATGAAATGGGGGAATGGACTGATTACAGAATGGGTTGATTGGCTTTGGGTTGCCCACAGCCTTGGAGAAATGTCTTTGAAATGATATACATTGTGCAAGCATTGCACTGTCTTGTCCCGTAGCATTTCCCTCTTTTGGGGGACCCAGGATTTGGTGTAAAAATCACGTCCTTAATTCCTGGGGAACTGTTTCGCCTTTCAGCTGTGCTGGCTTATTAGGCCCTACAAACCACGTGCTTTCTTGGCCCTGTTCCTTGAAAAGCTCTGCCCTAAAGCCAATAATACAATGAAAACATTGACATGTTTAAGGGAATCTTCATGTATTAGAATGTCTGCTTTCCTGGACATCTTAGCTGAACTTTCACTCACACCATTTTTTTCTTAGAGTAAAATATAAATCCTCTATCCTGTTTTACCTAAAAGTTTTCCTTTAGTAATGCAAATTTAAAGTTTTCTAGCTGACAATTGTTCACAGCAAGGAACAGGTAATCAAGAGACTGATGGTCTAAAATGGAAAATAGAAACTTAAACACTGGAAAGTAAGAAATATTATAATTCTACTAGTTCTGCTTCTGTCTATTTATACATGTTGTATGTGGAATATTTATATAAAATTAATGACTTAAAGAAAAATAAGCACTTAAAATATTTTGTCAGAAAAATGGAAACGGAAACTTTAATACCTTTAGTTCACATGACTTCAGTAATCTTTGGTAATTAAAGACAGTTTTAAAGATTATTGGTAAAATAAATAAAAAGTCTTCAAAATTTAGACATTTGGTTTAAATCAAGCAGGTCAGATATTGTCTTTGCTAGATGCTTTATGGTTATAAGCTGCTTTTATGGCTTTTGATAATTGTTCAACTTGGCTGCATTAGGGTGACTAGATTCCAGGTAAGGCCTGGGTACATGTGGAGTTAGCCATGCCCACTAGCTGTGCTGAAAAGGGTCAGACATTATCTGAAGTTCTTTCCTGTGTTCTAGGCTGTGCACCCGATGTATAATTAAAATGATTTCCCTCCTATGTTTCTCACTAAAAATAAGAGTTATGTGCCTTTGGTAAAATATTATAAAGAGGCATAGGAGTGTGACTTTTTAAAGAGAATGAATATTGTCTAGTTTGGAGATTTTAAATTCTCATTTATAAGTGTAAGCTAAGCATTGAGTACATATGGACACAAAGAAGGGAACAACAGACACGAGGATCTACTTGAGGGTGGAGGGTGGGAGGAGGGTGAGGATTGAAAAACTACCTAGTATCGTGTTTATTATCTCGGTGACAAAATAATCTGTACACCAAACCCCACAACATGCAATTTTTCTTCATCACAAACCTGCATATGTGCCCCAGACCTAAAATAACATTTGAAAATAGAGATAAGATTAAATTTAAGATTTAAGACTGGGCATGGTGGCTTATGCTATAAACCCAGCACTTTGGAAGGCCAAGGTGGGAAGATCACCTGAGGTCAGGAGTTCGAGACCAGCCTGGCCACCATGGTGAAACCCCGTCTCTACTAAAAATATAAAAAGTATCCAGGCATGGTGGTGGGCACCTGTAATCCCAGGAGGCTGGGGCAGGAGAATCACTTGAACCTGGGAGACAGAGGTTGCAGTGAGCTGAGATCATGCCACTGCACTCCATCCTGGGGGACAGAGTGAGACTCTGTCTCAAAAAAAAAAAAAGATTTTAGTAAGTTATAAAAAAATCTATAAAATATTGATCTTAGAAGCGAAGTCCTGTGTATGAGCAAGTTGGCCAAAATATAAAGGGGATAATTTAGTTTTTCTATGGACAGCACATTAATGTAAAAAGTACACTGATGCAGGCCCAGAATCTGGGCCTCTCTGCCTAAATAACAGGATTTTTGTAGAGCATTAATTGGCTTTTTAATTAAAAAATTATAAAGGGTTTACAAAAATCTTACCTTGTGATCAAACTAATTAAAATTGAATAGATTTATTTCTTTTTTATTTTTATATAATGTTAAAAATAGTGAAATATTTTTGTTTGCCTTTAGAGTAAACTGCAGAAGAAAAGGGGAAAAGAGGGGAGAAAGAAGAGACAGACTCAGTTGGCCTCATGCTGTCTTTATTGGATCTTGTTATTTTTAAAGGTTTCAGCCTTTTTGAAATTTTTTGAGTAATAATTTAGGCTAAATGAATGATCTGTGATCTTATTTATTGATATCAAGTGTTTTTTTATTTTTTAAAGTGAAATCAAGTTTATTAAGAAAGTAAAGGAATAAGAATGGGTATTCCATAGGTAAAGCAGCAGCCTGAGCTGCTAGTTGCCATTTTTATGGTTATTTCTTTTTTCAAGATGGAGTTTCGCTCTTGTTACCCATGCTGGAGTGCAGTGGTGTGATTTTGGCTCACTGCAACCCCCACCGCCCAGGTTCAAGTGATTCTCCTGCCTCAGCCTCCCAAGTAGCTGGGTTTACAGGTGCCAGCCACCACAACTGCCTAGTTTTTGTATTTTTTAGTAGAGATGGTGTTTCATCATGTTTTCCAGGCTGGTCTTAGTTATTTCTTGATTACATGCTAAAGAAAGAGTAGACTATTCATGAGTTTTCTGGGAAATGGGTGAGTGATTCCTGGAACTGAGGGTTCCTCCCCTTTTAGACCATATAGGGCAACTTCCTGACATTTCCATGGCATCTGTAAACTGGAGTAGCCTGCTTTCAAACTACTTTTTAAAACATGTGATTGATTCACAAAGCCAATAAAAGTCCCTTTGCACAAATGGCCTCATGCCTTGCCTATGTAGTCCTGTAGAGGGTTTCTGACTTTCGGTAAGTAAAGAATGTCACTTTCTAACAAGTCCAAGAGCCTGAAGTTATCTTGAGGCGTTGAGAGCAGAAGAATTTACCCAATTCATACAAGTATTTGCAGGCATGGATAAATATGTGGCTGACCTCATGACCTTAAAAAGTCTTATCTGAGATTCCTTATGGAACAAAGTTCTAGAAAAGCCAAGTAAGAAGAGAACCCATAAGGAAAATAATTATTATTGCCATTCTTTATGCAAATAAGGTCATGCATAATAACACTGAAACTTATTGTGCAAACAGATCAGTCCTATCATGGTTTGTCTTTGATAAAAATGAGAGACTGGAGAGAGAAAATTATGCTACAACAACAATTTATAAGACAACTGTTATTAGAGTCCAGCCTTGTCCATTTTTTATTGGTTTTTATTATTTTCTGCAATTTGGACTGAATCTTAAATCCTTTCTGGGCTACAGGTCTCCACACTAACATTTAAAAAATTACCTTCCAATTTTCTGACTTAAACTCAATAGAATTGCTATTACCTTTTTTCTAAGACCCTACAACCTGAAGCTTATTCCTTGTAACATAGATGAGAATAATGTGCCAGAATGCCACTGATTTCCTCCTCTGTAACTGAAAATGCATTGAGTCTAACATCTGGATACATTATGCCCATGATTAACATTTGTTTTTCTTCTGTTTCTATAGAAATACCTCTACTAAAAATCTGTTTGCCTTATATTTCAGACAACAAGAGATTGGTTTTCCAGTCTATTCACTTAGATTCTAAATGACATCTGATCTATTCTTACAAGCATTGTTAAACTAGGCTTAAGCATTTTATTAATGATCATTGGGTGCTATTTGATTTTTAAAATAATTATTTGTTATATTCAACAGAGGTGCAGACTGTTAAAGTTTATCTCTTCTAGGTCTCAGCAGTCCACGTCAAGCTGATGGTGGTGCAAGGATTTCAAACCCTAATATCCTACGGGGAGGAGCTAAGCCCCTATAACACATTCAATTAGTCAGTAAGGGATTTTTTGTGACCTCAAAAATTAGGCAGGGATGATGTCCCTGGCTAGTGGGAAGCAGATTCAGAAGAGGAGACCTTCAGACCTTTGTCTCTAAAAATAAGGAGGATAAAATTTTTCAGGGAGGATTGAAACAGAGTAGGGAAAGGACTTGGCTTCAACTCACTCCCACTAGGGCATTCTTTCATGCATTCCCACTGATCACAAAACCCACACCACTACCTCACTGATACCATACCCACTAATAGTCCTTTGACTCAAAGAATTCCAGGAACATGCCTTAGGAAATAGCCAAGATTGTGGAGTGTCCTACCTCAGGAAAGAATGCTGAACAATTGATTTATAGCCTTGTTGCCACCATCCAGACCACCAAGTGGACCATTACTTAAGATAGCCATCACAACCAGATATGCTGACCTACATACCCCACCCCTCACATGTTTTGTTCAACCTTGTATACAAGGGGAAGAAATACCCACCGCAAACCCACTCCTGATTTCAATGCCTACGCTTTGATTAAAAAATTTCTACCGGCTTTTTTAAAGGGGCCATCCAGAAGGTCCTTGTGCCTCTGCTGTCTCTCTTGCACTTGAGCTCAAGCCCCACAATTAAAGCCTTATCTGGGAAATCTGCTTGGCCCCGTGTTAACTTCCATTACATGGGGAGCCTAACAGTTTGTAGTTTGTAACAGAATGAGACTTCAACCTTAGATAGCTGAAGCATTGGTTGAGCCCAGTAAAGCCGTGGGGCTGAGGTTGCTGAAAACATTGCAGGCCCAACCTACCCCAGAGTGTGCAGAAGGTAGCCCATGGAGTAAAAAGTTATTTTGAAGTTTTCACATTTAATGTTATCTTTCTCGTTGGGTTTTGGACTTGCTTAGGGTCTGTTATTTTCTTTTTCCCCATTTCTCTCTTTTGGAATGGACATGTATGCCCCATGCCTGTCCCATAACTGTATTTTGGAAGCACTTAACTTGTTTTGATTTCACAAGCCAGTAGCTAGAGGGGAATTTGCTTCAAGGTGTGTTGTGTCTTAAGTCTCACCCATATCTTATTTAGATGAGACTTTGGACTTCAGACTTCTGAGTTAATGCTGGAATAAATTAAGATTTGGGGGTTATTGGGTGGAATGAATATATTATATATGTGAAAAGGACATGGATTTGGGAGGCCAGGGACAAAATGTTATGGTTTGAATGTGTTCCCCAAAAGCATGTGTTGGAAACTTAATCCCCATTGCAAGTGTTGGGAGGTTTTTATGTCATGAGCTATCCACCACCATGAATATATTAATGCAAATTATAAAAGGGCTTGAGGCTGTGAGTTTGATCTCTTGCTCATTCTTTTGTCCATGTGATCCTTTCTGTCATGTTATGTAGCAAGAAGGTCACCAAATGCTGGCCCCTCAATATTGGACTTACCAGCCTCCAGAACTATAAGAAATAAATTTATTTTCATTATAAATTACCCATCTCTGGTATTCTGTTATAACAGTGAGGGAGAACAAAAGGAAAAAATCAGGTAAACAGCTAAGGGTGGTCCTTGGAGAAGCAGCCTGCCTGAAAAAGTACAGCTACAGGCAAAAATACAGCAGCCTAGGGAAAATTCAGGCTGTACCTGCACAATAAGCAGGCAGGGTCCTGCACAGGGGAGTTGTGCAGACAGCTTTTCAGATAAGAGAAGATACTCAAATAGCTACAGAGATGAGAGGAATTTCTTATAAAAACTTTGAATTCCACTGTAAAAATGGCAACTCACTCTGGCTCCCCCTCTCTGCTTGGAAGAGCTTTCCTCTTTCATTCCAACCTCATCTTTTGCAATCACACTTCTTAATTTTCTTGGATATGAGACAATGAGCTCAGACAACACTTTAGACAACAAGATCAGTGACCCTGGTCTGTTTCATTAGTGGGGGCTCATCTCGGATCTATCGAAAGGGTGAGTAGGAGCAGAACCATAACTCTAGTTTTATTTCCAGGGTTTCTCGCCCTCTGTTTTTTTTTTTTTTTTTCCTCTCAAGAGTGAAAAAAAACACTGGGCCCCTGTTAGCCATTTAGATATATTTAGTGTGGCTGCCAGCCTTAAAATTCAGGCAACAGGCTGAATTGCCCTTGAGTGTTGGGAATGTTGGCTCTGTTCCAATACAGTTTCTTCTCACTGAGGGCCTGGTTATCGTGTGGGGCTGCAAGGAGGTCCTGGGGCAACTGAAATTTTCTGGCTGAAGCTACACCTTGGTGTTACCTGAAGACCCCTGAACTAACTCCAGTTCCTGACTGCCCATTGAGTGTTGACAACAGGACCTCCAGACTGTTATATCACATTTTCTTCCTTTCTTTTCATTGCTATTATATCTCCTATCCCTTCTTTGTATGCAATGTTGTGGGTGTTTCTACAACCTGGGGATATAATCTTATTGGGTAAAGTCAGCCAGTGCCTGAGTAATCAAGAATGTAATTAAAAAACTTGCTGTCTCTGTGATTCTCTTGAAATTGGGGGATTCTGAGACCTATTTATTTCCCAATAATAGCACTCACTGGGGTTGGATGGGCGGTTATTTCTCCCTGAGTGACTATCCCCCCAACCCCGATCCATTTAAGCTGTTTCTTTTTCCATGTGAGAAGCCAGCACTGTCCAGAAGAACTAGACAACCTCTCTATGAGACGGACTATTGTTTATCTTGCTGGGAGCATGTTGAAAAGATGGCCTATCACTCCTCAAACTTCCCTCTCTAAGCTTTGTCTGGAGAGCATTTGGAGACTACTATTTGGTGTTCCAATCTCTGACATGCCACCTAGTGGAATGGGATTTTTTTCTCCATGGGGGCCCTATTGGCCCGTTGGCCAAAACCTCTCATTTCCCAATTCATTTCCCTCCTATTCCCTCTACTGGGTACCAGGCTCCATGCCCCATTTGTAGACAGAAAAACTCCTCCTTCAATATCTGGAGGAAGCTACCCTTGAGAGACAAATTCTAGCCTCAGTACTGTCCCCATCAAAGGGACGACAGCCATTTCATCCTTATGTTCTTTTGAGACACCTGTTCTGCATCCAACTACATTGGCATTTAAACAAAGAGGGGTTTTATGTTTGGAAGTCAGTTGGACCTATTCTCTATGAATGAATACTTTAGTCTGGGCCATAATAGTGGAATATAGAGGTAGAGCCAGAACCCTCCCTTCATTAAGGGGACTTGCCCAGCAACAACTATTATGCAGTTTTTCCCAGGACCCATCCAATTTGTCTCCCCCTACCTGGGGGACCTAGTGGCCATACTGGTCATGCAAGATTAGGAAGTTAAAGGGGAAGCACCCACGGAAGACTAGGGCTATGAACAGTTAAGTGTGATTATTCCTGCCAAATAGCTTCTCTGGATGCATGGGTGAAAGCCATGCTTGCATCCATGGGCAGCACCTGTGACGGTCACTGGGACCCAGAAGATGGGAGGAAAGTAGTGAAGGGGGATTCCCTTTCATCTTTCTCTCTACCCTGGGTCACTCCAAAAAAAGAAGGAAGCTTAGGGATGCCTTGTCTCCTACTCTTTTTTTTAGATGGGTAACAACCTATCTTCAATCCTGCACTTCCCTCAAGTGCAGCTTGAATCTTCTTTAACTCTCAGACCCTGAAGTTCACTCTGAGCAACCCCCAATTCTGCTGTTGCCCCTGCAGGAAATGTCCAATGGACATGGTGCTACTAGAGTTCAAGTTCCCTTCTCATTGTAGGAACTTAGACAAAAAAAGGGGGGTCCTAGGCAAGTTCTCTGATGACCGCAATAGATATATAGAGAGGCTTTCCAAAATCTAATTCAAGTGTTTGATCTTACATGAAGAGATGTTGTGTTACTCCTACACCAAACCCTAACTGCTGCTGAGAAACAGGCAGCCCTACCAGCAGCAGAAAAATTCAGAGACAAATAGCATGTCCCCTATAGCCAGTCAAAAAAAGAAACCCAGTCAAAAGGGGAAAGAGGGTGAAAAAGAGACAGCATCTCCATTCCCAACAGGAAGAGAGATAGTGTCCCCTTGAAAACCCTAATTGGAGCCTAGCAATCCCATAGTTGCATGGAAAAGAAAACACTTTCTGATGTGCATATTAAAAGGCTTGCAAAGAACCAGTGCCAAACCTCTTAATTACCCTAAGTTATCCATGATAGATAAAAAACCAGATGAAAATTTCATGGCCTTTATGGAAAGACTGAGAGAGAACTTAGTGAAACACACCTCCCTGTCTCCCAATTCAATAAGGAACAGATTTATTAGGCAGCTCCTGATATCAGAAGGAAGTTGCTGAAGCAGAACTTTGTCCAAAAATCTATTTAATTTTTCTCACTCCCACGTTGAAACTCTGTGGTATGTAAATAACACTCTCCTCTGTGCCCCAACCAAGGAAGTCAGGGAGGCACTGAGGCTGTCCTCAGTTTCTTAGCTGAAAGGGGATATAGCATCTCAAAATCTAAAGCTCAGCTCTGTCAGACTTCAGTAAAGTATGTAGGTCTAGTCTTATCAAAAGGGACCACAGCACCTGGTGAGGAAAAGATTAAGCCCATTTCCTCCTTTCCCTTTTCCAAAACTCATAAACAGCTAAGAGGATTTTGGGGCATTACAGGCTTTTGCAGACTGTGGGTACCTGGTTATGGTAAAATAGCTTGCCCTTTATATCACCTCATAAAAGAAATTCAAGCAGTTAAAACTCACCCTCTGACCTGGGAAATTGAGGCTCAGCCTTTAACCAGCTAAAGTAAGCCTTACTTAAAACATCAGCCCTCAGTCTTCACATAGGGAAGGGATTCAGTCTCTATCTACCAGAAAGGAAGGGAATAGCCCTGGGAGTTTTGACTCAGGCTCGAGGTCCAGCTCAACAGCCATCATTTACCTAAGTCAGTTGGTACCTAAAGGATGGCCAGCCTGCCTCTGAGCAGTGGCAGCAGTGGCTTTGCTGGTGCCAGAGGCCACTAAGTTAACCATGGGAAAATAACTTGTTTACACCCCATACAGCAGGACTGCTGTCCTCTAAGGAAAGTCTCTGGTTAACAATCACCTCCTCAAATATCAAGCTGTGCTTCCAGAGGGATCTACAGTCTATTTAAAATCTGTCCTTGCTTGAACCCAACCACTTTCCTCCCAGAGGAAACTGGAGAACCTGAACATGATTGTGAACAGGTAGTGGTGCTAACTGGTAAAAGTAATGATAAGGATCACTTTATATTCTCTATAAAGTTCTGATCAATGGAAAAGGATTTTCTTAAAGACTGTTCAGTGTAATTGAAAGTGGAATCCAAGCTACAGGTATATTTGTTTAGTTTTTTAAAAATTTTATTTATTTATTTATTTTTTTTTTTGAGACAGAGTCTCACACTGTCACCAGGCTGGAGTGCAGTGGCATGATCTCAGCTCAATGCAACCTCCACCTCCTGGGTTCAAACGATTCTCCTGCCTCAGCCTCCTGAGTAGCTGGGACTGCAGGTGTGCACCACCATGCCCACCTAATTTTTTTTTTTTGTATTTTTAGTAGAGACAGGGTTTCACCATATTGCCCAGAATGGTCTCAATCTCCTGACCTTGTGATCTGCCCGCCTTGGCCTCCCAAAGTGCTGGGATTACAGGCATGAGCCACCACACCTGGCTGCTATACGTATATTTAAAAGGTCTTTATGTTTGTCTCTTCGTAGATCTTGTTATTCTGGAAAAGGTTTTTCTCAGTTGACTGAATTACTTTTCTCCACTCTGTCTTGCCACTCTTGGTGCATGTATCAAAGGCCCTAGGATGACTTCTGGTGACCTGGGGCTCTTTGGGGAAACACAAAGGGGACTACAGATCCCACTTTGAGAAAAATCTCTATTTTCTTCATGGAACCCTGGGAATTAGAGGTTGATAAATTCCTCTTGAAATCTGTTTTTGTCTTTCAGTCATGCCTGTTTGTTAAGCCCCAGAAGCTACATGTTTTCCTAGCCCTGTACTTTAAAGGCTCCACTCTGAGTTGCTGGATCTTCTTCTGTCTGTTTTTGCAGTCATATATGTGATATGTGTGTGATGTCTATAAAAAAAGAGCTCTAATTCATTGGCCTGTAAGTGCTTAGATCAGATATTTTTTAAAGGAAAATGAAGAGCTGTAATGCCTCTTGGTTCGAGTGACTTTGATCTTTAAAGATAAAAACCGTCTTAGGGATTATTGGTAAAATAAAAATGTATTCAGGATGTAAATAGATGGTCTACATTATTCAGGTCATATACTAGGTTTGTTAAATGTTTTAAGGTTGTAAACTTCTCCTTTGGCCTTGAAGCACTGTTCAACTTGCCTGCTTCACAATTGGTAAGGCCTGGAAACATATGGAATTAACCATGCCCCTAACTATGCTGGAAGGAGTCAGACTTTATTTGCACCTAGTACATAAATAAAACAACTTACCAGGTTTACATTAAAGTTAAAAATTGTTAAGAGTTACCATTATGACATGTAATTGAGACTATTGACAATAGATTTCCATGTAAGCTGTGTACAAACAGTAAGGTGTGTTTTTAGTAAAAGATTATAAGAAGACATGGAAATGTACATTTTGCCTGGGGATAAAGGATTGTCTTAAATGAGTTAAAGTAAAGCTGAAGGTTTAAGACAAAGGTCTACCTTATCTTAAATGAGATAAAATAAAGCTGAAGGTTTAAGCAAAATGTACATTTTGCCTAGGGATAAAGGATTGTCTTAAATGAGATGCAGTAAAGCTGAAGGTTTAAGTAAATTGGGGAAAAATTGTAACAATTAACCTTGCAAAGAAAACTGTATGAGCATATTGACTAAATTCAAAAGGGGTATTTTTTTTTGTAAGTTGAGCACTGAAATAAAAGCACAACAAGGTTATCTTAAGACACTAATCTGCTCTTTAGCAAAACTTGTAAAGTGTTATAAAAGGTTTGTGAAAATCTCACCTCATTGTCAAACTTGTTAAGATTGGATAGAATTGTCTAGAAGGTTTCACTAAAAATTGGGGTTAACACTAATAGTAGGCTAATGCAATGGTGAAATTTGGCCTTCTGTCTCTTGAACAGGATTTTCATGTAATAGTAAAGGCTAATAAAAGGTTTTTGCCTTTTCAAATTTTTGAGTCATCATTTTGGCGAAATAAATGACTTATGGTAATCTAAAATTGTATTTCATAATATCAAGTGTTTTAAACCTCTAATATATTCAACAAGCTTCCCCAAATCAAACTTCAAAGTTGTCTTTCCTGACCCCTAGCTTTTGAGTGCTACAGAGAGCCCCTGGAGCACCCAGAAGAGAGGTAAACAGGATTATTTGACATGTTTGGATATGTGGGATTTCCAAAATGATATTTAATCATCCTCAGGTTATATTTTAGGGCAAAATATTAACATATGTTCCGGCCGGGTGCAGTGGCTCATGCCTGTAATCCCAACACTTTGGAAGACTGAGGTGGGTGGATCACTAGGTCAGGAGTTTGAGACCAGCCTGGCCAAGACGGTAAAACCCTGTCTCTACTAAAAATACAAAAATTAGCTGGGCACGGTGGCAGGCACCTGTATTCCCAGCTACTTGGGAGGCTGAGGCAGGAGAGTCACTTGAACCCAGGAGATGGAGATCGCAGTGAGCCAAGATTGTGCCACTGCACTCTAGCCTGGGCAACAGAGCAAGACTTTGTCTCAAATAAAAACAAAAAAGAAAAATATATGTTCCAAAACCATATGCGATATCTAAGGTTATAATGTCTGAACATATGCTATCAATTATAATTAAGATTATTATGTTAAGCTATTGTAAACCACAGAAGTAACCAAATTTCTTTGTCAAACATGTTTCTGACAGTAACCACCCTGGACATTTTGTTGTTTACAGACAATTGTTGTCTTGTTTTAATCCCCTTTAAAGGATGGTTTATAATCAGCTGTAGGACTTTAACAGGTAGTCTCAAATGCAGGTTTGTGATAACAGAAAAATGCACCAGATTCATGAAAAGCTGAGATGTTATGGAGTATCAGGCAGGACAAGAGTTAACTGAATGGATTGAACTAGTAGAAAATTGAACTAATCTTTTTGACTTTTGATTGGAACATTGCTGATCCTTATTTTGTTTTTCAGAGTTGAGGGGACTTTCTTTTGAGCTAGCTACAGCTTTTAACAACTAAGTAAGGTATACTCCTGTGAACAAAATTTGAAACATGCTTGTTTCTCTCTGCCTGGTTCCTCTAGAATTCGGAAACTGGTTATGAGTATTCTTGACTTATAACAATATAGTTGTTTACATCAGTCCAATAAGAATTCATTTTCTTTCGCTACAAGACACAATTGGAAAAACTGGTTGTTTTACCAAGGCTTTAAGGAGACTCTTCAAGGAGTCAAGCTCCATTTGCAGAGCCAATAAAAAAAAGCCCCTTGAGAAAACTGACCTCATACCTTGTCTCTACAGTCCCCGTACCTGGTTCCTAACCTGCAGTGAGTAAAGAACGTCACTTTCTGACAGGCCCAGGAAACACATGCTCTTGGGACCTCAAAAAAAAGAGGAGTTTACCCAACTCACAGGTATTTGAGGACACAAACCCATGGCTCGGTGCAGCTTCAGAAAATCCTATCTGAGATTCCTTGTAGAACAGAGTTCCATTAAAGCCAATCTAAAAGGGTGTATGTAAAAAGAATTATTCTTGCTGCAATTTATGCAAATAATCAGGCCCAATATAAGACTAAAGTCCCTTTTGCAAACAGCTCAGTCCTATTTTGATTTGTTTTTTAAAAAATGAGTAATGGAGAGAGAGAAATTATGTTTCAAAACTTATCATACATTTGTCATTAACATCTAGTCTCATTGGCTGTTTTTATGTTTTTGCCTGCACTTTAAACTAACCCCGCGTATTCCTGTGAACCAACCAGCAATCTCTGGTTGCAGCTCTGAGGAGACAGAAAGGAATGGGCAATGTAAAAATCTGGAACGATGTTCTAGTTCTGGGCAATTATCCTACAAATACTGCGAGGTAATAAGCGTAAATAGAGTGGCCATAACCTAGAGGTTTCTTTGTTTGGAAGGATAAGACAAAGGAAGCTAACCAAAGCCAAGCCCCATTCACCCAACTCTTAACAAGCATAACTATAGCAACAAGTTATCAGGGTATTTCAGCAACCTCAAGATTTTTAAGCTGTCCTTACCCTCCTTTTCTCATTTTAATACATGTCTTCTAATAACCTAAATTGTTTCTTTTCACCGAGAGGCTATCAAGCTCCAAACGACAATGCAAATGAAACCACACATAAACATGCCTTTCTTCTGAGGGCCCTTATACCAGCCCCAGGAGGAATCCTACCTGCTGTTCTCCACACAATGCCCCTCTCCGGTAGGAAGTAGCCAGAAAGATCAACAACCAATCTTCCTAACAGCAGTTAGGGTCTCCACCCCTGAAGGGGCATGGAATGAGGGAGAAGAAAGGAAAAATCAATTAAGCAAACAGTTAAGGCTGGTCCTCAGAGAAACAGTCTGCCTGAAAAATTACAGCTACAGGCAAACATAGAGCAGCCTGAAAACTCAGGCTGCACCTGCACAGATGAGCAGGTGGGTCCAGCATCAAAGCCTTTTGTTCTTTGTGTAATTGGCAGGCCCGTAGGAAAAAGCTTCCTCCCCTTTTCCGATATGTACATGGTGGGCTCCATGGGAACTTACACAGGGAGGAGTGGGGCTTACCTCAAACAAACCCACAGTTACACAAACAAGAATACGGTGCTTTGTGCTTGCCTAGAGACATACTCACAACTACATAGATGAGGGGGAGTTGTGCAGAGAGATTTTCAGATAAGAGAAGTTACTCAAATGGCTACAGAGATGAGAGGAGTTTCTTATAAAACGTTTTGAATTCAACTGTAAAAACAGCAACCCACTAGGGCTCCCACTCTCTGCTGCAGAGAGCTTTCTTCTTTTGCTCATTAAACTTTCACTCCAACCTCACCTTCTGTGTTGATGCTCATTAATTTTCCCAGTCATGAGATAATGAGCTCAGATAACACCTTAGACAATGAGACCAATAACCCTGGCCCTGTTTCAGCAGCACAAAACAGACTAAGACGATTATTATCTGAGTGAAGAACTCTAGTTTTCCCCTGTGTTTCAGTTGATCCCTGTGGAAGAAGGTATTGATTGTACTAACCCAACATACAGAAATGACACCTTGATTTCATCAATATTGCTCAGATAGAGGTAGTGGCCTACCTATCTTTGTTGCTGCTGTGTACTTCACTGTTATCAGCAGCAATCTTCAAGCTCCCCAGACGCTGAGGACTATCATTGGTCACACCCTTGGAGACCAACGACCCAGGGTTTAACCCAAAGGGGCAAGGAAAAATATCTAATGTCTCAACCCCCTACCAGAACACCTGATAAAGTTACACCATTGCTTAAATATTGCAAGACCTCTAACCATTTGTTTGGGTTTTAGTAAATGCATCTGCATGTTAACCTAACAGACTGATACCTTGGACAGAGAAGCTAACTTGTGCTGCCCCAGTGAGAGACCACTATAAATCTCAAGGTACAAACTCCAATCTCTGTGAAGTGAACTAGGAAGCCTTGGAACAAGAGATAGATACCCATAAGGTGGTCCACTGGGGCTCTTCCACTCCCCTTTTCTGTAACCACCTAGAAGTTCAGTACTATGAGTTATCAGACACAAATAGAAACAAAACCATGTCTTTAGGTGGCTAGAAACCCATAACAAAAAAGAAAGAGAGAAAGAAAGAAAGAAAAAGTATTTATATAAGGGGAAGAAATACTACTGATACTCCTAAGATAATGCATTGATGATGATGCTGATGATGAAACAAAGTTTTGTAATTTAACCCAATTGGAAATCCAAAATGTACTAAAATAATTTATATAACAGAGATAAAAGTGCACTGATTGGCTTTCATACCTCTACAACATAATTCCTGAATTAAATTTAGTATTGGCTTAAATATAGCAGTTGACAAAACTTCATGACTTTAATACTGGAGCTCAAATTAGAGTTACACCTGGGGATCCCACTAGATTTAAACAAGATGCCCTAATCATTTTATGAGAGTAGCTAAATATAAAATAGAGAAAAATAGGTATGTTTCACGTTATATCTTTTCCTAAATTTCCCAATCAGAATACCCATTGTTCTAAATTATGTTCCAACACAATGAATAACAAATTAAACTTAAAGCAATTATTTGGCATTTACAAATTGGATTGATAAAACAGGACCCCATGTGCCCCAGGTTAAAATAGTTTATAAAGATAAATATAACTAAAAACAGACTTTTCAAGGATTAAAATCTCTTATATAAAAGAAAATTAGTAAAGGAATGATCATTCCCATTGCTTCTCCATTTTAACAGCCCAATTTTGCCAATTCTTAAACCTGGGAAGAATGAAGATTGCCTCATAGTAGACTGCTACAGCTAAAATGCTATGGTCCCATTTGTTAAGGCTCCCATATTCAATACCCAAAATTATTTTGTTATGAGAATAAAACAGGAATATTTAGAAGAATGCCCCCACAACCTGGGAAGGAGCTAAGTGACCAAATAATAAGTTGGACAAGTCCAGCTTGATGAGTACATGAGGCTTTTAGGACTTACATACAGGACATTCCTGGGCAGCAACAGGAAAACTCCAGAGACCTTCCCTACCAGACATTTCTAAGCTGCTTTTAAGCTAATTTTTTGGCTCATTGCCTACTGCATGCAATGGATTATTTTTTCTTGGTAGGTTACCTGTGCACTCCAGGATGTTTGGGTTCCCAGAAACACCTGTTCCTCAGCTGGAAACCATTGCCTTGGCTCACCACTTGGCCTTCAAGGGCCAAGCAGAAGACCTACACCCTTAAGTAACCTGGTGGGGGGTGCCCATCACCCTATGTATTTACATTTCTGATTCTATTCAGTTGGCAACCAATAAATATTTTCCTATTATGGAAGTGGCTAATATGTATTGTTCAGTATCTATTTCAAAAACTTCTCAGCCTCAGTTTGGCTTCACCCCCAAAGGGATACTATAGGCCCTTCTGGACTACTGTGTGGTACCTCAAAACCTTCCTCATCACACACAATCTTTGCAGGAAAGATCTTAACTAAATCCAGCTTTCTCCGGAAACAGGTATCTTAGTCCATTCAGGCTGCCATAACAAAATAGTAAAGACTGAGTACTTTATAAAGAATAGATATTTACTTCTCACAGTTCCAGTGGCTGGAGAGTCCAAGATTTAGGTGCTGGTATATTTGATATCTGGTGAGGGCCCATTGATGCATACATGGTGCCTTTCTGTTGTGTCCTTATATGATAGAAGGGTGAGCTAGCTCTCTGGAGTCTGTTTATTAGGGCATTAATACTATTCATGAGAGTTCTGCCTAATCACCTCCCAGAGACTCTACCTCCTAATACTACAACATTGGGAATTAGTATTTCAACATATGAATTTTGGAGGAGGGGCCCCATGGCTTTGCTAGGTATAACCCTAGTGGCGACTCTCTGTGTTGGCCACAACCTTACGGTAGCTCGCTGCTTGAGTCTTGAGCCTGAGGGTCTCCCTGGCTTCATTCTTCAAAATCTATGTGGGAGTAGACACACCCCCATGGTTTATGCATTTTGTGCTTCTTTGGAGATGGCACCACATGTACCCTGCCAAGGTTTATCATCTATGCTGTGTGGAGGGGAGACCACCATGGCCTATGCTGCACCTGGGCCCTCTGGAGCCACAGCCGGTGTGGCCCAGGACAACTGTGCTCAAATTCAGGGAGCAGAGCTTTGAAATCATTCTTCCCTCCAGGTCCTTACATAAGCCTGTAATGAGAGAGACAGATTCCATAATCTCCAAAATTCCTTCCTGGTTATTCTGTCATTGTTTTGAGAAACAGCCCTTGTCTTGTGTTAGATTCCCAATCCATAGCAGTCTCCTTATCAGATGGTCACTTGACCATGCCCTTGTTCTCTCCCTAAAAGGAGGATGACTCCTTCTCCTTCTCCTTCTCCTTCTTCTTCTAGACAGGGTCTTTCTCTGTTGCCCAGGCTAGGGTACAATGGTGCAATCATAGCTCACTGCAGTCTGGAACCCCTGGGCTCAACTATTCCTCCTGCCTTAGGCTCCCAAATATCTGGGACTACAGGTGTGTGCTGCCATGCCTGACTAAATTTTTTAATTATTTTAAAATTTTTTGTAGAGAGAGAGTCTTGCTCTGTTGACCAGGCTGATCTTGAACTCCTGGCCTCAAATGATCCTCTCACTTTGGCCTCCAAAAGTGCTGAAATTATAGATGTGAGCCACCACACCTGGCCAGCTTTCTTATTTTTTTCCAATGTGGATAGGCTGAGAATCAAAAATTTTAAGATCTGCTTCCCTTTTGATTAACAATAACATTTTGGGCTATTTCTCTCTTCTTGAATTTTACTATAAGCCTTCAAGAAAAGCCAAGCTCCACCTTCAACACTTGGCTTAGAAATTTCCTGAGTAAAATATCCATTCATTTTCTCAAAAGTTCTACCTTCCATCAAACACTAGAATATGAACACAGTTCATCCAATTTTTTTGTCACTTTATAATGAGAATTGTCTTTCCCCCAATTTCCAATTACATGTTTCTCATTTCTGTCTGAAACCTCCTCAAAATGGCTTTTATCACCCACATTTCTATGAACATTGGGTTTATGGCCATCTTGGCATTCTCAAAGAAGATTTACCCTTTCTCTGCAGCTCTCCTCCTCTCCTTCTGAGCCCTCACTGGAATTAATCATTTAAGGCCACTCGTGGAAACATAGGTGCTTGCTAGCATGCACCTCAAAACTATTCCAGCTCGTAGTCATTACCCAGTTTCAAAGCTGCTACCACATTTCCATTATTTATTACAGCAACACCCTAACTTCTTGGAACCAATATTCTGTCTTAGTCTTTGGGGGATTTTCTAACAAAATACAATAGCCTGAATAGTTTATGAACAAAAGAAATGTATTTTTCACCTTCTGAAGGCTGGGAAGTCCAAAATCAAGGTGCCAGCAAGTTTGTGTCCAGTGAGGGTTAATTTTCCCATCCATGGGTGGTACTATATTATTGAGTCCTCATATGGCAGAAGGGTCAGGCTTGCTCTCTGGGGACTCTTTTATAAGCACATTAATTCCATTTGTGATGGCTCTGCTGTCATCATCTATTAAAGATTCCGCCTCCCAATACCATCCCATTTGGGGTTAGGATTTCAACACACGAATTTTGGAAGGACACAAACACTTAGTCTGTAGCTCCAAGGTACACATTTTACTCTCAGATACAATGGTGGGCTCTTAGAAACAACATTCAATGAAATTATATTTTCCCATTAGGCCCCAGGAAGCTGGATTAATTGAGAAGTCTTGTGGGCTCTTCAATGACTCCTACTTAAGTTAAAAAATAATAAATGAATTCCTAAATGGCCTCTATCTTGCCCCAGACCTTAATCTCTCTTAAGTTAAAGATGCAGAACTGACTTATAGCAACTTTAAAAAATCTTCCAATCACAATTGTCTATATTTAAAGGGAGATTCAAACGGATCCCAGATTGAGGATACCACTTTCTTAGGTACTTTTGCTAATCAGATTGTTTCACAAGTCAGGCACCTGTTCATCTGACATGGAACTCACTTGAACCTAAACTTACTCCCCAAAATCTTCCTCAATATTCATTTTATAAGGGATGGAAAATTTATCTGAGCTCGTCCTCTGATTACACTCAGAAATTAAAATTACTGCCCAAAAGCCAGTCCCAAAAATGGTAGAATGAAAGATAGAAAACTCCACTTAGTAACTTAAACTGACATTCAGATAGTAAAAGAATAAACACTATATTCCAAAATTATTGTAGGAAAACAGCCTGTTGCATGGCAAGAGTAATGCCATCTTGAAGCAAAACTGCCATAAGGACTGATGTTTCACTACAGCATACCAAGGCATTCCAGCAGCAAGGTCAAGAAACAATGCCTGTAGCATAGCTAACCCCTCATAAAGAAACAATGCCTGCAGCATAGCTAATTCCTCATATAGAAACAATGCCTGCAGCATAGCTAACCCCTAAAATAGAAACAATGCCTACAGCATAGCTAATTCCTCATAAAGAAACAATGCCTGCAGCATAGCTAACTCCTTATATAGAAACAATGCCTGCAGCATAGCTAATTCCTCATATAGAAACAATGCCTGCAGCATAGCTAATTCCTTATATAGGAAGAATGCCTGCAGCATAGCTAACTCCTCATATAGAAACAATGCCTGCATTATAGCTAATTCCTCATATAGAAACAATGCCTGCAGCATAGCTAATTCCTCATAAAGAAACAATGCCTGCAGCATAGCTAATTCCTCATATAGAAACAATGCCTGCAGCATAGCTAATTTTTCATAAAGAAACAATGCCTGCAGCGTAGCTAACTCCTCATAAAGAAACAATGCCTGCAGCATAGCTAACTCCTCATACAGAAACAATGCCTGCAGCATAACTAATCCCTCATAAAGAAACAATGCCAGCAGCATAGCTAACCCTTCATAAAGATGCTTATCTAACCTCCCCAGTAATCACCAGTTTCACTAAAGGGTCTCAGACATAACCAGTTGCATATGTTTTACCCAAAGAAGGCTTGCTATATAAAGAATACTTTCTAGAGGGCGAGTGTGAAGATTCACCCTCTCGTGGCCACCTGAAACATAGCTTCTGTTCATATTAAATGTTTCTTTCTAAGAAACTGGATTTGTCAACCTCTTTCTTTGGCCTCAGCTCCCTCAGCCTCTGAGGGTAGGTTTGCATATTCCTGCCCTGGTAATTATATATGCTAGAAAAATAATCATCATTAGATAACAAAAGTGTCAAGTGTTGCTGCACACTATTTTGTTGACAATTGGTTTTATTACTATTGATTTGGGTGCTTTCACTGGTTTGCAATCTGGTACTCCAAACCCTCCAAGTAAGTCATTGTTTCAAACAGACATAGCAAATGCTGTGGTCCACAAGCCATCAAGTATTGCTAATACAGCCCCAAACCTCATCCACTTGCCTATCACCAACAAACCAGCAACTGGGGAAAAGGATTCATACTAAGTGACTAAATTGGAGGACCTGCCTACAATCTAATGATGGATATCCAACCTCAGCCTCAAGATTTTAATTGGCAAAAAAACCTGCCACCTTATTAACAACATACACTCAAATCAAGCTGTGTGATTTAAAACCTATTTGTAGTAAAATGTTTCTTATCACCCATCTGAGAAAAACCTTGGACTATTGGGAGATTCAGATTTAGACGCTACTAATTATAGTGTTAATTGTGCCAATCAAGTTCCAGCACTTTGGTACAGTTACAGCAGCATGTTAGACGCAGACATTACCTTAGCTAGCCGTGCACCCACAAAGCCCCTTGACCTTAAGAATATTTGCAAGTCAAATTCCCAGGCACAACATTGCCTTCAAATTCCACAAGTGGCTCAGCCTTGTTATAATACAATAGAGGAACAAAAACATGATTCACATCAACCCTAGTGGTTATCCAACTTGGGAAGGATACCCCAGTCTCACATCCCAGATGACAGTGGTCTGCCTAGTCCAGGAATTCACTGCTGGAGATGACTTAGCTTCAGAGAACATTGCCCCAAACCAATACTTCACCATTGGAGATGACTTCACTTCCTGCACTGGAGATTACTTTTCCTTGGACACTTAGCTTCCCCAACAATGCCCATGGGCTCCCCTCCTAAGGCACTAACAAATATGCAATGGGATATTTATTGTTTCTTCCTTTGATATTAGGAATTCTAACATGTTTTCTGAGCTCACTTTTTGCTAGACAATGATCCTGGTATATAAGATGGAGCTTGGACTCCTCTTAGGGGCCTGTGGGTTGCCTCAAGCATGAAAATAAAGGAAAATCTTCAGTTCTTTCATGGTAGCCCTGAGACGTATATAAGCGACTTGATAAGCAATAAGGTAATTATAGCTTAAAACAATATCCAAAGAAGTTGGAATCCCCTATGGAAACTAAGGTAACATCTTAACATTTGTTATTGTTTTTCAGAAACCCAAATTTCCACCAAATTGCTCCACTGGCATATAGACCTCAATCAAGGGAGAATTGAGGACTAAACTGTGACTGCCATTCTTTTTTCTAAATTTCTTCCTGAGAGGCCTGAAGGAAGTCATACCCAGGAGTTAGAGCTAACCTTCTGTTCTGCTGACTCCAAGTTTTTAAACAAAGTATCTCTTTCTTAACCAATTGCAAATCAGAACATCTTTGAATCTACCTACGACCTGTAAGCCCCCACTTCAAGATATCTCACCCTTTTAGGCCAAACCAATGTGTAACATCCATATGTTGATTTATGATTTTCACCTTTTACTTCTGCTTTCCTGAAATTTACCCCTACCTTTAAAATCCTTCACTTGCGAGCAATTAGAGAGTTCAGAACTTAAGCAAGACCTGCCTGAGTCTTCTTGCTTGGTTCCTTGTAAATAAACATCCTCCTCTTTTCCTGCTGCAAACCTCAGTGTGGACATTTAGCCTTACTGTCGTGGGCAGTGGATCTCAGTTTGGTTTGGTAATAACCGTGACTGCAAAGGAACAACAGTCCCGAGCGGGCATCTCACTTGTGGCACAGGGGCTGCTGGCTGCAGCCATGCTCAAACCCTGTCCAGAAGCTGCCTGAATGATTGTATTCAGGGATGGATTCTTGCATCTGGCAACTGACCACCATTATGAAAGAAAGGCCTATGGTGCTTTCTTTCTATTTTATTTTATTTTTTTTTGAGACAGAGTCTTGCTCTGTCACCCAGGCTGGAGTGCAGTGGCGTGATCTTGGCTCACTGCAAGCTCTGCCTCCTGGGTCCACGTCATTCTCCTGCCTCAGCCTCCCGAATAGCTGGGACTACAGGCACCCGCCACCAAGCCTGGCTAATTTTTTTTTTTATTATTTTTAGTATAGACGGGGTTTCACCGTGTTAGCCAGGATGGTCTTGATCTCCTGACCTCGTGATCTGCCTGCCTTGGCCTCCCAAATTGCTGGGATTACAGGCATGAGCCACCGTGCCTGGCCTTCAATTTTTAATTTTAATTTTTGTGGGTACATAGTAGGTGTGTATATTTATGAAGTACATGACATGTTTTGATACAGGCATGCAATATGTATTAACCACATCATGTAAAATGGGGTGTCCTTCCCCTCAAGTGTTTATTCTTTGTGTTACTAACAATCCAATTATGCTTTTAGTTATTTTAAAATGTACAATTAAATTATTATTGACTATAGTCACCCTGTTGTGCTATCAAATACTAGGTCTTATTCTTTTTATTTTTTGTACCCATTAACCGTCCCCACCTC
The DNA here is from genome assembly GCF_000001405.40 of Homo sapiens. Classification (NCBI taxonomy): domain Eukaryota; kingdom Metazoa; phylum Chordata; class Mammalia; order Primates; family Hominidae; genus Homo; species Homo sapiens. The sequence goes on along the minus strand of NC_000015.10, from coordinate 23,495,179 downwards.
CCTCCCACCCTACCCCCACTTCCCTTCCCAGCCTCTGGTAACCATCTTTCTACTCTCTATCTCCATGAATTCAATTGTTTTGATTTTTAGATCCCACAAATGAGTGAGAACATGCAAATTTTTGTCTTTCTGTGCCTGCCTTATTTCACTTAATATGATGACCTGCGGTTCCATCCATGTTGTTGCAAATGACAGGATCTAGTTCTTTTTTATGGCTGAATAGTATTCCATTGTATATACGTACCTTATTTTCTTCATCCATTCATTCATCTGTTGACAGACTAGGTTGCTTCCAAACTTTGGCTATTGTGAACAGTGCTGCAACAAACATGGGAGTACAGATACCTCTTGGATATATGGATTTCCATGCTTTTGGGTATATTCCCAACAGTGGGATTGCTGGATCTCATGGTAGCTTTATTTACAGTTTTTTGAGGAACCTCCAAACTGTTCTCCATAGTGGTTGTACTAATTTACATTCCCACCAACAGTGTTTGAAGCTTCCCTTTTCTCCACATATTCGCCAGCATCTGTTGGTGCTTTACTTTTTGCAGTGTCAGAAATGAGGCACTGTTTTTGGTAAGTGGAGTTTGTGAACAACGGCCCCAAGCAATTTTTCCTTTAGATGCTGGGTTCTGCTTCAGCAGGACATCTGCTGTCGCCCAGATGTGCTTTGGAAAGGCACAAGGCTCTGCTGAATGAGAGCATATTTAGTGGGGAATACTCTACAGAGAACTGGAGGGATCAAGACCTTGAGGAATTGCATTTTTATTTTGATTTGCTTTCTTGAAATTCTGTCCAAAGCCCAGCTGAGTCCTTAAGGGTTTGTCACCTAAGGCTTTGTCATCTAAAAAAGAAAGCATGAGCTCTATTCCTCCTTGTAGTCCATTAGGGTGCATTAATACAATGCTGCAGCCAGGGATCAGTGTGCCATAAATGAGACGCCCACTCAGGACTTTTGTATCTTGCAGTCACCAACTGTTATCAAACCAAACTGAGGTCCACTTGCCCCGGGTATTATGTCCAAACATCAACACCAAGGTTTTCATTAGGAGAAAAGAAGATATTTATTTGTAGGGTGCGAGACATTTTAGCTTTGGACCCATAAAAAGGAATAAGATTTTTTTATTGCGGCACTATTTGGCCACAATATTATTTAGACTCCAGAGGAAAACCTGAAAAAGGGATCCTTTAGATTCCTAAATTTAAAAAGATTTTAGAGATCTCTTAAACAATTGATGGGAAAATCAAATTTTAAAAAGGACACATAATAGTGTGATGGTTAGCCTTAGGAATTCTCTTGACTAAATCAAAGAGCAAAAATCTGACCTAAAACAAAGTTAAAATTATTTGCAAGCCTAGAACTGCCCACTTCAAATCATCTCTGTGAACAATAGTGAAGACAGTCCCATCCTATAATCCACCAGCTAAATAAAGTTCTGCCCTTTCACCGTGACAGCCTGAGTTTGATTCCCAGCCAAGGAACAAGTCCTTTTGGTTTGCTATTTGTGAGATTTTTGCCATTTGTTGATGCATTTTTCTTTCATGGACAGCTTTTGATTTCCATCTGTGGGGGTATATGAGGCTTTTGAGCCTTGTGTGCAGATAGTCAACTAAGAACCTGAGACTCTAGAGAATTTGGGAAATAAGAATGTGGATTATACTCCATTTGTAGCTAGCAAAGTTTTCATTTCTTTGAACTGTCAAAAGACAGGGTGGGTTTGGATCTTGTGAATACTGCTTTCCGCCTCTCTGGAGACACCTCATACGTCCTTGGTTAAATCATAATCTTGGTGAAGCTTAACTTAAACGGTACCTTTAAGAAATAAAAAGGATATGGCCGGGTGCAGTGGCTCACGCCTGTAATCCCAGCACTTTGGGAGGCAGAGGCGGGCGGATCACGAGGTCAGGAGATCCAGACCATCCTGGCTAACACGGTGAAACCCCGTCTCTACTAAAAATAAAAAAATAAAAAATAAAAAAAAAATTAGCCAGGCGTGGTGGCGGGCGCCTGTAATCCCAGGTACTGGGGAGGCTGAGGCAGGAGAATGGCGTGAACTCGGGAGGCGGAGCTTGCAGTGAGCTGAGTTTGCTCCACTGCGCTCCAGCCTGGGCGACAGCAAGACTCCCTCTCAAATAAATAAATAAATAAATAAATAAGATAAAAATAAAAAGGATACAAAGTCTTACATATCAGCTGTTTGTCCTGTTAAAATTCTCTAATAAGTTTGAAAGGATTTTTAAAGAGCTGGATAGTCAAAAGTCAACTTAATTGAAACTGCTATTTAGGTTATATGTACGTTGTGTGTGTGTGCGCATACACTTGTGCACATGTGTGTATGCATAAGAGTCTTTAAGTCCTCTGTTCTGTCTTTGTAAGAATTTCTCCATTGGCTAAATTTCTCTCTCCTTGCACCCATGGCAGTCACATATGTGCTCCCTCTGCCTGTTTCTCCTTTTCCTTCTGTCAGCCCCTGTTGCATCTTGCCACCATCGGTGCCACATGAGGGGACAAGAAAATTTTTTTTCTAACAGACTGAAATTCCTTAAGGAAAACAGAAAAAGATGTGGTGGATTCCTCTTTTGGGGAGGAACTTCTGTTTTTCCTCAGGGAATCTCAAGAGGACAGAGTCCTCCCAGATCTAAAATTACTCCACTTTTTCTCTTCGGCTTTTGCAGTACCAGAAATCACTCCGTATTATGAGAAAACTTGCCTTATAAAATCTTATGGTAAGTTCCTGTGATTTTGTGTTGCTTTGGTGTCCATTTTCAGTCTTTCTTTAACAAAGCCTACACTCTTTTTTTTTTCTTCTTTTTTTGAGATGGAGGCTTGCTCTGTCTCCCAGACTGGAGTGCAGTGGCGTGATCTTGGCTCACTGCAACATCCACCTCCCAGGTTCAAGCGATTCTCCTGCCTCAGCCTTCCGAGTAGCTGGGACTACAGGCACATGCAACCATGCCTAGCTAATTTCTGTATTTTTAGTAGAGACAGGGTTTCATCATGTTGGCCAGGCTGGTCTCGAACTCCTGACCTCAGGTGATCTGGCTGCCTCGGCCTTAAACTCTTTCTTAAAGGAGAATAAATTGTCTCTCTCTCTCTGCTTTGAGATATGCATTGCCAGTTTGTTTCCTCTGGGATCTGGTGAGGGCTTGAGCCATGTGGAACAGGTGGATTTTTACTTGTTCCATTTATAGAGATGGAACTGGAATCCAGCTGCCATTTTTGGACTGGTGAGCTTTGCCAGTCTAATAGCTAGAGTTTTAAAATCAAGAGTCTAGGGGCTTTGTTTATGTCTGTTTTGATCTTTATGTATGCAGGTGTGTATGTCTTTGCATGTTGTCTACAATAGCAAATTGGCTTATAAATAAAAGAGTATTCATAAATTAAATACATAAATTTAAATGCTTTTCAGGTTAATGTGATTTTAATAATGATATTCAGTAAATAAAGATAGTTTCAAAATTGTTCTTAAAATAAAAGCATCTTCAGAATTGAATTTGGACATTTTTGCCTAGATGTATTGGTCAGATACTATCTCTGTTAGATGTTTTAAGATCATAGAATGATTGCTTCTGTAGTGCTTTTGATACTTGCTTAAATTTTCTATAAACTTACGCCTTTAGATTTGAGCCTTTAGGCCATGATGAGACCTATCCCCAAGTCTGGTACTTTGTCCTGGGCTACTGACACATAATTAAAACTGCTTGCTTCCTGGGCTTGTCACTGAACATAAGGGTTACTAAGAGTTTACATTGTAAGTAATTTATGTAATTAAGACTACTAGACATAAGAAAAGCAATTTTACATCCAAAGGCTCTAAAGAAAACAGAATGCACTTTTAATTTAAAAAAGATTGTAAGAAGGCAAGAGAATGTGGTTTTTGTTAAAGGAAAATTAAAATGTAAGAGAGGTTGAGGGAGAGAGAGTAGTTTTTCATTTACATGAGAGAGAATTCTGTGTGGTCGTAATAATAAGGGGGAAAATAAAGTAAACCTTTGTCCTAGGATAAAATGGTAAGACATGATACACATAACTGAAGGTTTAAGCAAGTTGTAGAAAGTTTGTGAAAGAGTGATCTTGTGAAAATAATTTTGTGTATGATCATGTGGGCTGAAATTAAAAAGAGGTCATTTAGTTTTTCTAAAAACTAAACCTAAATATGAAAAGCAGACCGATGCACGGCCAGAGCCTGGACCACTGTGTCCGAGTAACAGGGTTTTCTTGGAGCATGGATCTGCTCATTAATAAAAAATATAAGAGTTTAGGCCGGGCGCGGTGGCTCACGCCTGTAATCCCAGCACTTTGGGAGGCTGAGGCGGGCGGATCACGAGGTCAGGAGATGGAGACCATCCTGGCTAACACGGTGAAACCCCGTCTCTACTAAAAATACAAAAAATTAGCTGGACGTGGTGGCAGGTGCCTGCAGTCCCAGGTACTCGGGAGGCTGAGGCAGGAGAATGGCGTGAACCCGGGAGGCGGAGCTTGCAGTGAGCCGAGATCGCGCCACTGCGCTCCAGCCTGGGCGACAGAGCGAGACTCCGCCTCAAAAAAAAAAAAAAAAAAAAGTATAAGACTTTATAAAAGGTTTATGAAAACCTTTTCTTGTGTGATCACAATTGACTGATATTGGATGGACTTGTTTATAAGGTTTTATTAAAATTAGCTTTAGCTTCAATAAAACACTAATGCAAAGGCAGAATTTGATTTTCTCATTTTAACAAGATTAGGCTGTTGGTTTTCTCAAAGGTGAAAACTGCTGGAGTCTTCCATGGAAAAGCCCACGGAAGCCTCTTAAAGTGCTTACTGCAGGGTCCTCAATGGTGAGAGATGAAGCCTTTGCTGTGGCTGTTGAGGTCCTCAGTGGTAAAGACTGCTGCGGTCCTCTGTAGAGCAGGCTGGGGGCCATGGTGGCTTCACCGTGTGGCTGATGCTGATAGCCTCACTTTTCTCTTTGTCCCTAGCCATCTGCAGACATCTTGGCTATGCCTGTCTTCCCCAGCAATCTTGGCAGGGGAAGCCCTTCAAGTGGTACCCCCAAAAGCTGGGAAGCTGGTCACTCACCCTGCTCTCCTTCTCTGCTGTGAGGGGAACTCATGGGCCAAGGAAATTGCTCTCAGTGCTGAGCTATGCAGGCCGGGGCATCGGCTGATGCAGGCAAAATGAAACTCCACTTCCAACATTTTTCTGTGCAGTTTTCTCAATTTTTTTTCTCCACTGTGTTGGTAAAGCTTTTTAACTGGACTCTTGAGCTCTCCCAGAGCAATGTTGCTCATGGTTAGCTAATCGTTGTTTGTCTATTTTGTGGGGAGTAAAGGCTGTGTCTCCTACTCTGCCATCTTGCTAATGTCACTCCCTTGTTGCATGCACTTAAAAGAAACAAATGTATTGATGTATGATTTGTATACCACCAAATCCACACAGTTCAAATGTACATTACTATGGATTTTAGTAAATTCGTACAGTTTTTCAACCATTACCATAAATCAGTTCTAGAACATTTGCATCACCCCAAAACATTTCTCCGTGGCTGTTTATGGTCAATCCCCACTCTCATACTCAGACTCGGGAATGTATAGGTTTTTATTCTACAGATTTGCCCTTCTAAAATTTAATGTAAATTGAATCTTACAATGAGATGTCTGTTTTTTTTTTTTCAGTTAGCACAATTTTTTTACATCTAAGTAGTATATTATATTGTATAAACATGCTGCAAAGTTTATTAATCAGTGGAAAAACCTTTGAATTGTGTCTGGCTACTATGAACAATGCTTATGAACACTCATGCTTGAGTCTTTCTGAGGACACATATATTCACTTTTCTTGATATGAAATTGCTGGGTTGTATAACAAGCATGTGCTTAACTTTCTGAGAAACTTCCAAATTACTTTCCATAGCAGGGGTACCATTTTACATCCTTACCAGTAATGTATAAAGATTTCAGTTTTACACAGCCACACCAAGGCAGTACTGACAGTGCTTTGGACTATATTTACTCTAGAGTGTGTGTACACTGATTTACAGTGTAAATCAGCCAATAATGATTGGCAACTTTTTCTGTGCTAATAATCAATATATTTGTTATTTTTGATGACATATATTTAGTTTGTCCATTTTTTTCAAAACTTTTTGTTTTTAAAGAGACAGGGTTTCGTTCTGTCACTGAGACTGGAGCGCAGTAGCACCCTCATAGCTCACTGCAGCCTCAAACTCCTGCGCTCAAGCGATCCTCCCATCTCAACCTCCCGGTGGCTAGGATTATAACTGCCAGCCAATTTCTTACTTTGCTATAATATATTGTGTACTTTATAAATTCTGGATACAATTACTTTGACAGATATATTATTTACAAGTATTTTCTCACATTCCGTGCATGTTTTTTTTTATTTTTAATGGTTTGTTGAAGAATAAAATGCTACATTTTGATGCTCAATTCTCTCTCTCTGTTTTTAATTTTAAGGATTGTAAATCATAACTAAGAGGTTTTTGCCTAATCCAAGTCACAAAGATTTTCTACTAAGTTTTTATTTAGAAGTTTTATAATTTTAGGTCTTATATTGAAGTTAATGATCCATGCTTTTCCTAACACTCAATTCTATTGCATTCACTATATGTCTATCTTTATGCCGGGACCACTTCGTCTAGATTGCTATTGCTTTGTAGTAAGTTTTGAAATCAGGTAGTAGAATTATTTTTAAAATAGTTTTAGCTATTCTAGGTTCTTTAAATTTCCATATAAACTGTAAAATTAGATCATCAGTTTCTAGACAAAAACTACTTAAATTTTGATAGTGATTGCATTACCTCTATAGATCAACTGGGGAATTGCCATTTTAATAATATCGAGTCATGCAATTCACATTCATGCATTTATCTCCGTTTATTTAGATCTTTAATTTTGCTGTGCAAGTTTCGTTGCTTTCAACACACAAGTCCCACACTTCTTTTTTTTTGAAAAATGTCCTCTTAAGTATTTGATTTTTACTTTATTATGAAAAAAAATGTTTTTTAATTTCAAATTATTTTTATTTTTACATATTTAGAGAGTACAAGTGCAAATTTCTTACATGCATATATTGAGTAGTGGTGAAGTCTGGGCTTTTAGTGCATCCATTATGTGAATAGTGAACATCATACCCAATAGGTTATTTTTCAGCCCTCACCCCTCTTCCATGCTTCCGCCTTTTGTAGTCTCCCATGTCTATTATTTCACTCTGTATGTCCATGTGTACTCAATGTTTAGTTCCAGCTAATAAGTGAAAACACGCAGTATTGGGCTTTCTGCTTCTAAGTCATTTCACTTAGGATCATGGCCTCCCATTCCATTCATGTTGCTGCAAATGAATGATTTTATTTTGTATGGCTGAATATTATTCCATGCTCTGTGTGTGTGTGTTTGTATTTAATATATATATATATATATATATATATATATATATATATATATATCTCCAACCCTTCATTGATGAACACTTAGGTTGGTTCCATGACTTTGCTATTGTGAATAGTGCTGTGATAAACATACAAATGCAGGTATCTTTTTGATACAATGATATCTTTCCCTTTGGGTAGATACCCAGTAGTGGGATTGTTGGATTAAATGGCAGTCTTGTTTTTGGTTCTTTAAGATGTCTCTATACTGTTATGAAGGTTGCATTCATTTACATTTCCATCAGCAGTGGATAAGCATTCTCTTTTCTCTGCATCCTCACAATCTGTTGGGTTTTTTTTATGCTTTAATAATAGCCATTCTGACTGGTGTAAGATGGTGTCCCATTGTGGTTTTAATTTGCATTTCCATTATGATTAATGATGTTGAATATTTTTTCATTTTTTTGGCTACATGTATATTGACATGTGCATTACAGCTATATATATTTTAATCCTGCCTCCCCCCAAATAAACCATTGATAAGAACAAACTTTTGGTTTCACTGATTTTTTTTTTGATATTTTTAACTGTTTTTCTGTTTTCTATTTTGACGATTTCTGTTCTGATATTTATTTTTTCCTTTATTTTACTTACTTCAAGTTAATTTTCTACTCATTCTGGGGCTTCACAATGTGGCATCTTATATTATTGATTTTTAGATGTTTTACTTGTTCTCATATAAGCATTTAAAGCTACAAATTTCCCTCTGAGAACTACTTAGGTGTGTCTCATACAGTTTGTAATATTTTGTTTTTATCTTTATTACAGTGAAAATATTTTCTAATTTACTTGCAATTTTTGATTAATTAAAATCTATGTAATTAAATTATTAAATGATTTCCAAAATAAATTTAGTTATTTTTAATATAATTATGTTGTGATCAGAGAACATACTTTGTACAATTGCTCCTTTCAAATATGGTGAGACTTGTTTTATGACCTAGGATATGATTTATCCAGAGAATGTGTCATGTTATCTTAGGAAGAATGGGTATTTCGGCTGTTTGGGGATGTTGTATGCTACAAATGTCAAATTGAGTTGGGTTATTGTGTTGTTCACATATTCTATATCCTTACTAATTTTATTTCTATTCTTCAATCAACTCCTAGAGGATATATATTAAAATATCTAACTGTGATTGTTAAACTCTTTATTGCTTCTTTCAATTCTGTCAGTTGTGCTTCATGTATTTTGGGACTCTCTTGTTCAAGCATGTATGATGTTGTCATTGTTATATCTATGTGTGACCATTTATCATTAAGAAATATCTGATGAGTTCATGTCCTTTGTAGGGACATGGATGAAGCTGGAAGCCATCATTCTCAGCAAACTATCGCAAGGACAAAAAACCAAACACCGCATGTTCTCACTCATAAGTGGGAATTGAACAATGAGAACACATGGACACAGGAAGGGAAACATCACACACCGGGGACTGTCGTGGGGTTGGGGGAGGGGGGGAGGGATAGCATTAGGAGATATACCTAATGTAAATGACGAGTTAATGGGTGCAGCACACCAGCATGGCACATGTATACATATGTAACTAACCTGCACATTGTGCACATATACCCTAAAACTTAAAGTATAATAAAAAATAAATAAAAAATTTAAAAAAACAGGTGAAATTAAAAAGAAATGTCTTTGTCTGTAGTAGTATTTACTGTCTTAAACTGTATTTTGTCTGATATTCATATAGGTGCTTCACCTCTCCCATCATTACTGTTTGCATGGTCCACATTCTCTATCGTTTTACTTTCTATCTATTTGCGACATTTAATCTGAAGGATGTCTTGTGCAGACAGCATATTCTTCAGCTTTGCTTTTTAAAAAATCTAGTCTGAACATTTATGATTTTTGATATAATACAATTATTGATATTGGATTTATATCTACCATATTGCTGCTTTCTGTAATTTTCATGTATTTTTGTTCTTTTCTCCCTTTTACTAACAGATATTTGTAGCGTATTATTTTAGTTCAATTGTTGATTTCTAATTCTATTTTTCAACATATTTTCCTAGAATTTGTTCTCGGAATATACCTACATCTATACTTATCCCAAACTTCTTTAGGTTTATAATGATATCTGCCTGATGAAACACAGCAACTTTGCCACAATGTCACTCCATTTTCTCTCTTCTTTGTGCAGTTATTGTAATACACATTACAGCAATATATGTTTTAACTTCTCTCTCCACAGAAAACATTGAGGAGTATCTTCATGACATTGGGATTTGTCAAACATTTATTTAAAAGTAGCAAAAACATTATCAAGATAAAATATTGCTAAATTAGATTTTATTAAAATTAATAACTACTCTTCATCAAAAGAAAGTAAAAAATCAAGACACATTGTGACACAGAATAATTATAATACATATATCCACAAATGTGCATAATATTTGTAAAATTCCTAAAATCAATAAGAAAAATGTAGACTTTCCAGTAGACACATCACAAAAGTACATATTGAAATGTCAATAAACATATGAAAATGCACTCAATGTCAGTAATGATCAGGTTAATGCAAAATTATTCCAGCATGGGACCAAATATTCAATAAAATAGTTTAAATCCATGTGAGAATTAATTTCATGTGTCAGCTAGACTGAATCATGAGTTGTGATTTTTGGTTAAACATTATTCTGGGTGCGTCTGTGAGCATGTTTGTGGATGAGCTAAACATTTGAATTGGTGACTAAGAAGATTGTGCTTTCCAGTGTGGGTGGGCCTGATACAATCCAAGAAGTCCTGAACAGAAACAAGAAGATGATCAAGAGCAAATTCACTCTCTCCCAGCAGGTCTTTAAGCTGGGACATGGGTCTTGTTCTGCCTTCAGACGCAGGTTGGAATTTATACCATCAGGTCTCCCAGTACACAGGACTGCAATCTTGTATATCTATCTATCTGTCTAATCTATCTATCTATCTATCTATCTATCTATCTATCTATCTATCTATCTATCTATCCATACATCCAATCTATCTCCTATTGGCTCTGTTTCTGTGGAGAACACTGATTTTTGTAACAAGAGTGGTTCTGGAGGAACAGAATTTTAAGAATGAGTTTTCTAAATTGATTTTGGGGTTTCTGGAATTGACCCTCTAATCTGATTAAAGACACCAATCACTCTATTTATAGTAGTAAAGAAAACACAGATAGTCTATGGCATGATCTGGCAATAGAGATATACAAATATCTTCATTGGATACTACTAATCAAACACTTAGAAGAAGCAAGAAGCTGTATCAATGCGCATATAATTCTGAACACTTTTGGAGAAACAACAAATATGCAGCAATGTGCCACATAATGAGGTTTTGATCAACAGCAGACCACATATATAAGAGTAGCCCCATAAGATTACAATGGAGCTAAAAAACTTCTGTTGCCTAGTGATACACTGTCATAAGGTCATAGTGCAATGCATTCCTTTTTCTATATTTAGACATTTTTAGATACACAAATACTTAACATTGTGTTACAATTGCCTACAGTATTCAATATAGTAACATGCTTTGCAGGTTGTAGCCTAGGGGCAATAAGCTATACTATGCAGCCTAGGTTTGTAGTAGGCTATGCCATCTAGGTTTGTGTGAGTACACTCTATGATGTCACACAAGAACAAAATCACCTAAGAACACATTTGAAAGAATGTATCTCCATTGTTAAGTGACACATGATTAATGAGGTTGGCTGGTTGTTTCTAAAGTTACCGGACAAAGTGCTGAAAGAGTGACATCAGGGATTAGAATTCCTAGCTCAAGTGCAGCGTAAACAACTAGAAAAATTTATCTGTGCTCTTAAAAAGACTCTCATCTGCAGTAGCTACAGGGCTGAACTTGCTAAAAATCACATACACAAATCCTGTGACTGTTTGCCTTACAGAAAGCCAATCACTGAGGTTTATAAGACTGTGATTGTTTTTCCTGTAGGGATCCCAGAGGGACAGGTTTTAACCAAGTGTGATGAATCCATGGTTTAATGCTGGCTAACTTGACAGATGAGGGGGTGATCAGCAGCATCTCAAAAGGACTGGGCCATTGTGGCTGCAGCTGGCCTTCACCCAGGTGGGATTTTCAGGTCTTCAGCAGGACTTGGTTCCTGGTGTTAAAGAGTGAAGAGGCACATCTTTAGGAAACTGGAGCCTTTCAGAAGCAAATTCAGGAAGACTAGTCAGTATATTTTTAACTGTTTTATATATGATAAAAATCCACAAGTCTCGGGGAGTTCAGAGAAGTAGTCTCTCATAAAATGTTTTGAAGGGGAAGAGGCAACTCACTTTAGGGGGACTATTGTATCTTCAGCAAAGCAAGAGAAAAGACCTATTCCTAGGTAAGGTTGTGTCTTGACAACTGTGGTCCCTTTGGCACAAGTAGGTCCATTCAGTCAGTGGGGCACTTAGAACTTTATTTTAGTCTGACCCCTCATGGTCAAGACATGCAAGAGAGAGCATCATGGCAAAGCTTTTATTTTGTACCATATTATTGCCAAGTTGCTGTGGCTATTGGCCTGAGTCCAACTTGTCTCTCAATGAGACTACCTATGGCCAAGAGACTTAGAGTGAAAAGACTTATATCCAAGTAAACATGTTAGGCCAGACAGGAATGAAGGTGGGTAGGCACCCATTAATTCTTAAAACCCTTTTAAACAACTTAATAGCCGAAACCCAAAAGTCAAAAAGTAAGGTTAATATTCCTGTCATCAGGCTAATCCCCCATGGCTTGCATAGGAAGTCTATCAGCTGCGTCGTCTGGGTGCTCCACTTGGCATTGACAGGTGGAGTTGTGCAATTCCTCTTCTCAGGATCAACAGATCTTACAGTGACTTTCATCTAGTCCACCAGGCTGGCTTTCTCTCAGAAATAACCTCCTGTGTGTCTGGAATGAATATATATATGAATGTATATATACACACATCTCCATCTGCAACATATATATACACATTATATATATATACACACACACATATATAGACACATGCACACATACACACGCATACATATACATATATCTCCATCTGCAACAATTCAGTAGTCAGGTGCGGGTCATGCATCAACCAAAACATGCTCTTCCATTCTGCAATGTTTAAAACCAAAGACATTGCTCCAATATTACAATCAATTTTAGTAAAGTTTCCTCAGGAAGCTGATGATACCAATGTATAAAATGGAACATTTTTTAAAAAACATTATACCCTCCAGTTTCAGTAGTTACTTGTTTTTGCCCTTCCCTGACATTGACTACCTTGTTAGAAACCACAGGTCTCAGAGGTACATTCTGGTTTCCTGGCATGATTTCCCCCTTTTGTGGGTAGCCTTGAAACTAGTGATCTCAGTTCAGACAGACCCATGTCTGAATTTGGTCTGGCTTCAGGGTCCAACTCAGCACTCTTACTTTAGCTCTTACGGATAACAATAACCAAGAGACTGAATATTTCACTTTTTCCTTATTTGTTTACATTTTTATGCATCCAGTGAACCAACTCCCTAGGAGTTGAATTTATTTCTAAATTGTGTTGGTAACTTTTATTGTTAATAATTGCATGCAGCACAGCTGCAACTCTACATCATGGGTGACTAGGTTGCCAATCAGGAATCAAAGATGAATCTAGGCGGGGCACGGTGGCTCACGCCTGTAATCCCAGCACTTTGGGAGGCCAAGGCAGGCGGATCACCAGGTCAGGAGATCGAGACCATCCTGGCTAACATGGTGAAACCCCGTCTCTACTAAAAATACAAAAAATTAGCCAGGCGTGGTGGTGGGCACCTGTAGTCCCAGCTACTCAGGAGGCTGAGGCAGGAGAATGGCGTGAACCCAGGAGGCGGAGATTGCAGTGAGCTGAGATCGTACCATTGCACTGCAGCCTGGGCGACAGAGTGAGACTCCATCTCAAAAAAAAAAAAAAAAGAAAAGAAAAGAAAACCATTTCAACAAAGTACCAGGCCAATCTTTCCACGCAGATTTATCAGGTCTATAAAGTCAATTTCCACTTCTCAAATTGATCTTCTCTTACCAAAATATATGTCATTTCAGTCAAAGCCTTGGTAGAATAACCAATGTCTTCAATTGCGTCCTGTTATAAAAGAAAACAGATTTTAATTAATTTATAAAATAACTATATTTCCATGAATTAAAAATATTCACAAATGGTTTTCAAAATCTGGAGAAATCAGGTAGAGAGAGATGCTTCAAATTTTATTTACAAGAGTATATTCTACTAAATTGTTACAGGTAATACGTAGTTCAAAAAAAAGCATTTTTAACTCTTAAAACAAAAAGAATCAGCAAATTTTAAAAAATCCATAAAATTATTTTCATCCTGTATTAGTTTAGAGCATGCAATTAACTTGGGTTTTTGTCTGACTGGATTAGCTCCTTTTGAACCTATCCGCCTTTTAATTAGAGTCCTGGAAGTTTTCTTTTTTCTACTCCAAAGTCTTCAAAGTAATCAGAAACCTGCATTCAAGAGTCTTTTTCAGCCGGGCGCGGTGGCTCAAGCCTGTAATCCCAGCACTTTGGGAGGCTGAGGCGGGCAGATCACAAGGTCAGGAGTTTGAGACCAGCCTGGCCAATATGGTGAAAGCCCGTCTCTACTAAAAATACACAAAAATTACCCTGGCGTGGTGGCACATGGCTGTAATCCCAGCTACTCGGGAGGCTGAGACAGAAGAATTGCTTGAACCTGAGAGGCGGAGGTTGCAGTGAGCTGAGATCACGCCACCGCACTCCAGCCTGGGTGACAGAGCAAGACTCTATCTCAAAAAAAAAAAAAAGAATCTTTTTCATAAACTTCCCTAAAACAGTTAGTTTTGGACTGTAGCTGACTGTGAACTTCTTCTTAGATCAGAGCAGAACTAAATGAAATTGAAATAACAACAACAAACATATACAAAAGATAAATCCAAATAACCTCAATAAGAAACAAAACGGGAGACATTACAAGTGACACCACTGAAATACAAATGATCATTCAAGGCTACTATGAACACCTTTATGCACATAAACTATAAAACCTAGAAGAGATGGATAAATTCCTGGAAAAATACAACCACAACCCTCCTAGCTTAAATCAGGAAGAATTAGATACCCTGAACAGACCAATAACAAGCAGTGAGATTGAAATGGTAATTTAAAAATTACCAACAAAAAATTGTCCAGGACCAAGCAGATTCACAGCAGGATTCCACCAGACATTCAAAGAATAATTGGTATCAATCCTTTTGACACTATTCCACAAGACAGAGAAAAAGGGAACCCTCCCTAGTTCATTCTATGAAGCCAGCATCACCCTAATACCAAAACCAGGAGAGGATATAACCAAAAAAGAAAACTACAAACCACACCCAGATAACTGGTAGCTATAGTTATGCTTGCTAGGATTGGGATGCATGGTGCTTGCCTTTGGTTAGCTCCCTTGGTCTTACTTTCCCAAAAAAGAAACCTCTGGGTGATGGGCACCCTATTTATTCCCAGGATTTGCAGGATAATTGCTCAGAACTCTATTATTGATCCAGATTTTTACATTACCCATCTCTCTTGTTCTTTCTGAGCTGCAGCTGGAGATTTCTGGTTGGTTAACAGGAACAAGTAGAGTTAGTCTAAAACGTAGGCAAAACTTAATAACAACTAATGATTTTAGAATTTAATGACAAATGTATAAGTTTTGAATCATAATTTCTCTCTCCAGTCCTCATTTTTGTTAAAAAACAAATGATCACAGGACTGAGTGGTTTGCAAAATAGACTTTGGTCTTATACTTGGCCTGATTATTTGCATAAAGTGCAACAAGAATAACTATTTCTACATAGGCCTTTTAGACCATCTTTGAAGGAACTCTGTTGCACAAGGAGTCTCAGATAAAAGGTCTTTTAAAGCCAAGCCCAGCCATGGGTTTGTATCCTCAAATACCTGTTAGTTGGGTGATCCTCTCCTCTTAGGGTCCCAAGATAAACTTGGTGCTCCTGGACCTGTTAGAAAGTGACATTCTTTACTGACCACAGGTCAGGAACCCTGTACAGGGACTGTGTAGGCAAGGGTATCAGGCCAGTGTCCCCAAGAGGTTTTATTGGCTCTGCAAGTTGAGATTGACTCCTTAAAGGGAAGCATACCTTTCCAGTCAAAGCTTTGGCAAAATAACCAGTTTCTCCAATTGTGTCATGTTGCAAAAGAAAAATGGATTCTTATTGCACTGAGGCAAACAACTATATTGCCATAAGTTAAGAATACTCCCAGATAGTTTCCAATCTCTGGAGGAACCAGCCAGAGAGAAACAAACATGCTCCAAATTTTGTTCAGAGGAGTCTACTTTACACAATTATTAAAAGCCACAAATAGTTCAAAATAAGTTTCCTTGACCATTAAAAACAATCCTTTAACCCTAGGCAAAAATTTACATTTTCATGCCTTTTTATAACCTTTTACTAAAAACACATTTTACTGTTCTCACACACCTCACATGTAAATCTATTTCCAGTAGTTTCAATTATATGTTATAATGGTAACTCCTAGCAATTTTAACTTAAACGTAAAACCTGGTAAGTTGTTTTAATTTTGTGCTTGGTGCAGCCAAGGTTTTACTCCTTCCAGCATAATTGAAAGTGCGGTTAGTTCTATATGTCCCCAGGACTTACCAGTTGTACAGCAGGGAAGTCAAATAGTTCTCAAAACCCAAAAAGCAGTTTATAACCTTAAAACACTTAGCAAACCTTGCATCTGACCTGCATAATTTAGTCCACCTATTTATATTTTAAAGACACCTGCATTTTACCAATAATCTTTAAGGCTCTTTTTATCACTCAAAGATTAAAGTCACATGGAAAGCTACCATAGCTTTTATCTTCCCTTTAAAAAAAAAAATTTGACCCAGTGCTTGTCTTCCTTTTGGCCAAATTAATTAGCGATTTTTTATAGACATTACATACAACACACATATACAATTACACAGACAGACAGGAGAAAACCCAGTCCCCACAAGATCCTTTCACACAACCAAAACTTTACAGAGAAAATAAACAGGGATCCTTATCATTCCTACCCTAGTAAAATGTCTTCCAAAAGAGAGAGAGAGAGAGAAAAAAAAGAAACTCCTTTAAAAGTTAACTGCTGACAGGGTGGAGAAGAAAAAAGTATTCCCGGCCGGGCGCGGTGGCTCACGCCTGTAATCCCAGCACTTTGGGAGGTGGAGGCGGGCAGATCACGAGGTCAGGAGAACGAGACCATCCTTGCTAATATGGTGAAACCCCATCTCTACTAAAAATACAAAAACATTAGCCAGGTGTGGTGGCAGGCACCTGTAGTCCCAGCTACTCCAGAGGCTGAGGCAGGAGAATGGTGTGAACCCGGGAGGCGGAGCTTGCAGTGAGCCCAGATGGCACCACTGCACTCCAGCCTGGGCAACAGAGCAAGACTCCGTCTCAAAAAAATATATAAATAAATAAAAATAAAAATAAAAAAGAAAGAAAAAAGGATTCCTGGGGGAAGAACCTCTTATTCTCATGTAACTGGTTCCTCCATCAGGGAGAAAAGCTTAATTGCTGTGAAAAAGAGCTGGCCTCCCTGGCCAGGGGATGTGGCAGGGAACGCCAGCCAGCCTCGTGGGGCGCCTTGGGGCCCAGACAGCCACTGTGGCTGATTCCCGCCTTGCAGGTCCATGTTTGGACACCATGCAGACATGTGGCAGATAAGGCCATGCACCCCAGCTGATAGGAAAGCGGGAGCATAGAGCTGCCCCGCCTATCTCACCAGCACACCTGTGGATGTTGGGGTGGATGTGAACCCCTTCCAGTATTGTAAAAGAAAAAAGAGGTGCCATTACTAAAAAAGAGAAGAAGAATGCCACAGGACCAAAAGGCTCGGAAGCAATAGTGAGAAGTTTTGAATACCCACTTCCCTCACCCCTTCTCAAGCCCCATGTTCTGGGCAACAAAGCTGTTGCAGGACTTTTTCTTTTGTTCAGCTAAGAGCCGGGTTTTGGTCACACAGCCATGAGAGATTAGGCTTGCAGACACTTTGAAGGGTGAGAAAAAAATGGAATTTATTGGGAGAAAAGCGGAAACAGGGACCCTCCACAAAGCCAGAGTCCTGCTAGTTTGCTTCCTGCCTTGCAGATGAATCTCAGGTTCCACCCAGAGGCGGAGGGGCCAGGCTCCCCCCGACTATGAAGGGCACAAACTTCTGTGGCTCCACCCCAGTGTGGAGTCCTCCCAGTGCGCAGTCCACCCAGTGCACCACCTGGCTGGAATTTTTCCGGGGACCCCTTTACACTTGGCTGTCTCAAAACCTGATAAAAAACTTAGACATATCAAGAAAAGCCAAGAGTACAGAATCAAGTTATCCTAGAGGAAAACATTGCTTTTCTAGATAAACATTCGAGGTAAACATTTCAGCATCAGGCCACAACAGCAGCTAGAACCAAAGGAAAAACATTACAGAAGCCTATGAAACCTTTGTAAGAGAGAATTATTGGCCGGGCCCAGTGGCTCACGCCAGTGATCCCAACACTTTGGGAGGCCGAGGCGGGTGGATCACGAGGTCAGGAGATTGAGACCATCCTGGCTAACACGGAGAAACCCCATCTCTACTAAAAATACAAAAAATTAGCCAGGCGTGGTGGCGGGCGCCTGTAGTCCCAGCTACTCAGGAGGCTGAGGCAGGAGAATGGCGTGAACCCGGGAGGTGGAGCTTGCAGTGAGCCGAGATCGCACCACTGCAGTCCAGCCTGGGTGACGGAGCGAGACTCCGTCTCAAAAAAACAAAGAGAATTATTATTATCTGAGGCCTCTTTAAGTGGAGAATAAAAGCTGAAAGCAGCAAGACACAGCAAAGTTGCACTTCTGATATAGGAATTTGAGAAGTTTTCAAAAAGTAGCAAGAGTATAGAATCAAAATAAAAACTTCCTGTAATTTTATCAAGAACAAATCAATATTTTAAGGAAGCCTTGCTCTAGCAAAAAGGGCCGATGTTAATCTTTTTACATCTCTCTCCCCTATTTACAGCTTCCTTTTTACCTTGGTTCATAAATAGTCCTCTCAAGTCTATAGTTTGAATAACTTTTGAATTAGACAAAATTATTTTTTTCAATACAAACATATCTTTTTAGCATATTTTATATACAGGATTGTATAATAACTAGAATTCTTATTCTTGGTAACCTTAAATTTTACTGCAATATTTAGGAAGCAAAAAATCCTGAACTGTCTATCAGATATTAGCATTTTGCAGGTTAGACGATTTAACAATTTTTTTTTTTTAAAATGTTTCCCCATATCATAATTTTCTTAATTTGAAATGACCCAGATATGTTTGGATTTGCATCCAAAACAATTTCAATACTTTAAATTACACAAAAAGGTCACCTACAGTAATTATCTCATCTATATTTTATTTATTTTTAGCAGTTTATCTAGATTATTTATGAGAACTGAGATATCAGAAAAATGTAGTTATTTTCTTCTTCACCATCCTTATGACCTGCACATATTAAATCTTTACCTAAGTAAGAGGCTTAAAATTAACTAATGGACATCATTGCTAATAACTCAGAAGATTCAGTGGCTTTTATTAAACCAGCCTCATTAAATTAGACTTATTTCTCAAAAAAATCTCGCAAACACAGATCATTTTCCTCTTGGCTGGGTTTACAATCTTATAAACTTTTGTGCCAAACCCTGACACCTTAAAATACCTAGCAGAGACAAATATAAAATCCAGGCAAAAATGTATGCCAACAATTTCAAAAGCATTTTTATTTTACCAAGAATCTTAAAGCCATCTTGTTTAGTAAAGATTTACCGATGTCAAATGAACTTTTTAAATGCTTGGACTTATTTACTTAACTTATGAGTGATCTTTTACTTATAAGTCAATTGGGTACCTTATAAAAACAACACATAATATCCAGAAACATATACAGACATACAAAGATTCAATACCTTTGACCTCAGAATTCTAGCTGTAAGGTAGCATTACAAACTCACCAGTTTATGAATATGTTCACATAACTAAACTCTCCCCAGTAGGCAATCTTGTGAAGGCTGGGAAACAAAATTTTGGGTAAAGCAGTTTCCATGGTAGTTTGATTTTTTAAGGCCAAACCTCCTCAGACTCCAAACAACACTGGGTCAAACACACCAAAGAAGGACATCACATAATCACCAGGCCTGACCCTGTTGAGAACAACAGCATCAAAGCCTGCATATGCAGAGCTCCATCTCACTTTCCTGTTCAGCAGCAAAATGAACCCAACTGTAATACAGCACGATGTTTCAAAGACCCATGGAGAGTCCAAAACTTTCCAGACTGCAAAGAACACTGCAGCCAAACAGCATTACAAAAGAATATCACTTTCCTTTGTTCCATTGGCTCCTAATTATATTCAGACTACTTTTGAAGAGTGCACCCAAGCAGGCTGCATTCTGGGATTGAATTCTGATTTCCCATGACTATATTCTCACACACACACAGAACACACACACACACAAACACACACACACACACGCATGCATGCAAACAACCATCAAAATAGAGTATCTAACTGCAGTAGGGACTAACAGTCTCCAAGAATGTGGTTTTCTAATTTATGCAAGCAGAAATCCGGCAAGTGTGTAGGGGAATAGATATTAAGGGTGTGGTCCAATGAGGCAAGAAATAAAAAGTTGAATCTGTATTAATTTATTAATACAGGCTCATTAAGCAGAAATTCTGCACTTAACATTGCAGCTCAGGGAATTAAAAAGAGCTCTAACTGGTGGGTTGGTTGGCTAAAACATGGATCAAAGATGGACCTCTGTGAGCAAGCTGGAAATGCTGGATCCCCCTTGGTTTAACACAGAGATTGGAATGTTAGAATAAATTGGTCCTATAAGACCTACTCATCCACAGGGGGAGGGTCCAAAAACCATACCTATCACCAATCATGTGAGACATAAATTTGTGAGAGGAGCCCAGCATCCTTCAAAAGCTCTGTGATCAGTCCTCTGTAAGCCAGACCTTACAGTGGAAACTACAGCCACTAAATCATGAAAACTAATACAATGAGAATATTAGGTCCAAGGATACTAGGGGCCAACTGGCAGGAATCAATCACAAACCATAAGGTAAGCATGGTTACTGTGAAGGACAGCAGATTCAAAGCAGCAGTTATAAAAGTCTGACTCATGCATACCTATGGCATTGGCTAGTTGATCATAGTGTTCTTAGAGATGAGATAGATAGAAAGTCTATTAAATTCTTATTTGATATATATAAGCAGAAAAAATTATAGGTTAAGTGAACAAAAGTCTAATTTTAATAATAAAAACAGTAATGGCATCTCCGTCAATTCCAAGATTTGAGTCATGTTACAGACCCAGAACCCCTTGAATTAAAGAGCGCTATTTCCCCTTGAGGATGATATACTACCAACAATTTATACTGTTCATATTTATCCCAGCCTTCCTCAAAGAAAGCCGTAGCTTTTTACTAAGATTATTGTGCATTAGGAAAGTAAAATAATTAGACCTTTTTGGTGACTACTTGACACTATCTCCTAACTGACACTAATTCAGGAGACTCAAACCATCACTGTATACAGTTTCATATACTCTAGAGTAAGGATGTATATATGAAAGTCAGGTGATCAATGGAGTTTTAGCTCAGGTCTGTCTCATAGTAGGTCTCTGAACCAGTCCTGCGTGTTTTCTTTGTTTAATTTTAGAATGCATGATGGAAACAGACATACTGAGCAGTTGGCATAATCCCCACATTGGTTTCCTAATGTGTAGAGAGATGGTCATTATTATGATAAGAAAGGCAAGTAGGCAAGTAGAAGCCTCTAGAACCGGTGCTATGTATGAAAATAGTAAACCAAAAGCAACTGCACATTTCTGTAATGATTGCAGAAATTATTTTCACCATCAGGGACTTGAAGCATGCACAGGTGGTGATTCTCACCATATCCCTATTTAGTTCTCTCATTTGGCCTGTGCTGAGGACACATGGATCTCGGAATGTGGCCACAGATTATTGAAAGCTTAACCAGGTGTTGACTCCAGATGCAGCTGCTGTACCAGATGTAATTCCATTGACTGAGCAAATTATTACATGACCTGGTGAGTTGTGAGTTGTATGCAGCTATTAATCTAGCAAATGCCTTTTTCTCCTTCCCTGTCATTCAGATTCACTAGAAGTTTGCTTTCAGCTGGGCAAGGCAAGGAATACATCTTCACTGCCCCACTTCAGGGATACAGTAAGTCTTCACTTAATGCCATTGATAGTTTATTGGAAAGTGAAACTTTAAGCAAAACGATGTATAACAAAACCATTTTTTCTCATCAATGTTGTAACAAAAGCCGTTGAACAAAACAATGTTATTTGGGGACCTGCTGTGTGTTGTTTTGCTTAAAGTCACATTTTTCCAAGAACTTATCAGAATGACTTTAAGTGATAATTTACTGAAAATAAACTCTCCGGCTCTATGTCAAAATGTACTTCACAAGAATCTTGACAGTCTTTCCTTTCCATATGATATCACACAGGCCTATCACATTGACGATATTAGGCTGACTGGACCTAGTGAGCAAGAAGTAGTAAATACTCTAGACTTATTGGCAAAATATTTTCTTGTCAGAGGATGGGAAATAAATGCACCTAAAATTCAGGGATCTTCTACCTAAGTGAGATTACCAGGGCACCAGTGGTGTGGAGCATGATCATTTATCTTTCTAAGATGAATTAATAAGTTGTTACATCTGGCCTTTCCTACGACAAACAAAAAAAAAGAAAAAGAGGCACAATGTCTAGAGGGACTGTTTGGATAATGAGGCAACACATACATCAAGTGCGTATGCCACCCAACCCCATTAACCGAGTGACTCATAAAGCTATGAGTTTTGAGTGGGCTCCAGAACAAAAGAAGGTTCTGTAACTGGTCCAGGCTGCTGTACAAGCTTCTCTGACAACTGGGCCACATGATTCAGCAGATTCACTGGTGTCTGAAGTGCCAGTGCAGATAGAAATGTTGTTGGGTGTCTTTGGCTGGTCTCCTTAGGTGAATCACAGCACAGGCTCTTAGGATTTTGGTGCAAAGTTCTATCATTCTCCTCAGATAACTGTTCTTTTTTTGAGAAACAGTTATTGGTCTGCAGTTGGGTGTTAGCAGAACACTTACCATGCAACCTCAGCTACCCATGGTGAACTATGTGTCATCTGACCCACCTGGCCAGAAATTTCAGGTAGACAGCAGCAACATTATGAAATGCAAGGGGTTTATATATGATTGAGCCAGAACAGGCCCCAAGGCACAAATAAGTTAAATGAAAAAGTGGTCAAAATGCCATGGTCTCCACTCCTACTAAACGGCCTTCTCTTTCCCCACTGAATGCATGGTCTTAAGGGAACTTCCTATGACCAGTCAACAGAGAAATTAAAAGCTAGGATCTGTCTACAGATGGTTTTGCATACTATGCAGGCACTACACAATGGTGGGCATTTGCAACACTACAGCCTCTGTTTGGGACATCTCTGGAGGACAATGGTGAAGAGAAATCTGCCTAGTCAGCAGACCTTTAGACAGTGCACCTAGTTGTGCACTTTCTTGGAAGGAAAAATGGCCAGACATGAAATTATATACTGATTCATGGGCTGCTGCCAATGGTTTGGCAGGATATTCAGGGACTTGGAAGGAAAATTGTTGAAAAATTGGTGACAAAGATGTTTGAGAAAGAGGTCTGATAATATACTTCTCTGAGTGAGCAAAAACCACGAAGATATTTATTGCCCATGTGAATACTCACTAAACGGTGACCTTAAGAGGAGACGATTTTAATAATCAAATGGATAGAAGATTCGTTCTTTGGATATTAGTCAGCCTATTTCCCAGTAACATGTCATCATCCATTGGGTTCATGAACAAAGTGTTTATGGTGACAGGGAAGGGGGTTAAGTATAGGCTTAGCAACATGGACTTCCAGTCACCAAGACTGACGTGACTATGGCCACTGCGGAGAGCCCAATCTACCAGCAGCACTGTACCCCCATTATGGCACCATTTCCCAGGTAATCAGCTGGCTACCTTGTGACATATTAAAGAAACTGGACCACTTCCATCAAGGAAGAGCCAGTGTTTATTTTCTTATTGGAATAAACACTCTGGAAATAAAATTGCATTTCCTTCATGTACTGCTTCTGCCAAAACTATCACTTGTGGACTTACAGAATGTCTTATCCACAATCATGGTAATTCTACACAGCATTGTTAATCATGGAACTCACTTCACCAAAAAGACGTGTGGTAATGGGCCCATACTCATGGAATTCAGTGGTTTTACCATGTTCCCCACCACCTTGAAGCAACTGGCTTCATGGAACAGTGAAATGGCCTTTACAAAAGTTGACTGAGTCACAACAGTAGCTAACAGGCAATACTTTGTAGGGCTGGGGCAAGGTTCTCCAACAGACTGTATATATTTTAAATTAGGGTCTAATATATGGTACAGTTTCTCTGATATCTAGGATCCATGGATCCATGAATTAAGGGGTGGAAATGGGAAAAGCACTGATAGGGACAGGAGGCAAGGAAATTCTGGGCAGAAGAGGGTGGGTCCCCAGCGAGGGCCTGACCCTCAAGCTGAAAGCCCTGATACCATGGTCCAAAGTGAGAATTTATATCCCTGTGTTCCCACTAGAATGTTGCCTTTTCCAAAACCACCCATGACCCACACTGCTCCCCATTCTGTGCCTATAAAAAACACAAAACTCAGCCAGAGAGGGCAGTGAACAGCAGGAGACTATGGTTGACCATTGGAGAGAAGCGGCTTGACTTCAGAGGGACGGTTGATGGTGTAGCTTCGGATAGGAGTCTGGCCGGGGATGGCTAGACTTCAGGGTATGATTACCTTCCCACTCCCTCCCCCTTTCAGCTCCCCTTCCCACTCAAAGCCACTTTCATTGACAATAAAATCCCCTACATTTACCATCTTCAATTCATTTGTGGAACTTCATTCCTCCTGGACTCCAGACAAGAACTTGGGTGCCGTGAGTGCAGGTGCAAAAGACTGTCACACTAACCCTCCGCTGAGCTGTTAACACTTAAGCCGTCTGCAGATGGCTGAGCGAAAAGAGCACCATAACACTTCTTCTGGGGCTTCAGGGGTCGTGGGCACACCCCCTAGATGCTGCTGCAGGGCCTGTATGGAGTTTGCTCCTGCCTGCACCCAAAAGTGCTTGCCCTGGCTCCTGTACCCACTCACATGTGTGCTCCCTCCCATGAGGGGTGGAATGGGAATGCAGCAGGGAAATATCCTGCTTCAGCACAACATACTATTATTCCTAGCGAACCACTAATTTTTTTCTTACTGTTCTTATGACGTTTTGCTTGTGTGGCCTAGAGTTTTTATTTCCAAAGGAATGCTTCCACCAGAAGACACAACCATAATTCAATCAGACTAGAATTTGAGATTGCCACTCCATCACTTCGGACTTCTCATGTCTGAATCAACAGGCAAAGAAGAGAGTTATGGTGCCACCTGGAGTGACTGATAGATTTCCAATGGGAAATTGACCTGCTCCTCCACAATGGAAGTATGGAAGAATATATTTGGAATATAGGGGATTTGTTAGACATTTCTTAGTAACGTGATATCCTTCAATTAAAGTGATTAGAAAACTACAGCGTCCTAGCCTAGGCAGGACTACTGATTGTCAAGATCCTTTAGGAATGAAATGTTGGGTAACCTATGAAGTAAACAACCACAACCAGCTGAGGTGCTTGCTGAAGGCAAGGGGAGTACAGAATAGGCAGCAGAAGAAAATAGTTACAAATACCAACAACATCCTTGCCACAATTTATAGAAAGAAGAATTTTTTGTAATGATCATGAGCATCTCCTTATTTTGTTAAAATGTGCTTTTGGGTATGTAACAAATATATTTTTTTTCTCTTATTTTCTTATCTATCAAATGTGTATTAGCTTTATATCATAGTATTTTAATGTCATAATATTTAAGTTATGGGATATCAAGGGGAGAAGGAGTACTCAAAGACTTTAATCTTTCTTCTGAAAAGGGTATTAATTAGTGCATTTTTGGTTGTATGCATGATCGTTGTATCATGTTAGGTCAAATTATGACTTTGTTATTATCTTCATTTGGAAATTAAGTATGGTTTAATGACATGCATATGAGTAAACAATTGACAAGCAGTAGCTTTGTGATGGTTAATTTTATGTGTCAACTTGACTGGGACACAGAATGCCCAGACATTTAGTTCGGCATTATTCTATGTGTGTGTGAGGTGTTTCTGGATGATAATAACACTGGAATCGGTGGACTGAGTAAAGAAGATTGCCCTCCGCAGTGTAGGTGGACCTTAGCTAATCCACTGAAGGCATGAATTGAACAAAAGGCTGAGAAGAGAGAATTTTCTCTCTCCCTGACTGTCTCCAAGCTGGGACATCAGTCTTCTGCCTTCAGACTCAGACTGGAACTTACACCATCAGCTCTCCTGGCTTTCCTGCCTGCAGACTCAGACTCATGCTGCACTACTGACTCTCTAGGCTCCTAGTTTTTTGGACTGCAGATTTTGAGACTTCTCTGCTTCCACCATCGTGAAAGCTAATTTTCTATTATATATATCTATAAATACATAGATATATATATTTCATTATTAGTTGTGTTTCTCTGGAGGATTCTATCCATATAATGAGAAAGCCAAAACTATTAATTGTTGGAGGGGATATGGTGTAACCAACATAATTGTACATTTCCGGTATAATTACTTTGGAAAAATGTTTGTTTTAATACAGAATTTTTTTTTTTTTTTTTTTGAGAAGGAGTCTGCTCTGTTACTCAGGCTGGAGTGCAGTGGCGCAATCTCGGCTCACTGCAAGCTCCGCCTCCTGGGTTCACGCCATTCTCCTGCCTCAGCCTCCCGAGTAGCTGGGACTACAGGTGCCCGCTACCACGCCCGGCTAATTTTTTTTTTTTTTTTTGTATTTTTAGTAGAGACGGGGTTTCACGGTGTTAGCCAGGATGGTCTCGATCTCCTGACCTCGTGATCTGCCCGCCTCGGCCTCCCAAAGTGCTGGGATTACAGGTGTGAGCCACTGTACCCAGCCTCAGAATTTTTTAAACTTATGACACAGCACTTCCTCTAGGCATGTAATCAAAATAATGGAATGATTCTGCTAGACACCACCTCCACCATGTACTAGGATATTCATAAAGCACTATTTTAATGGTCCCAAACTGGAGAAAAACTAAATGTTCATCAACATTTAGTAGAATGTTTAGAATTTTTTATGTATACATAAATGTCAAGCATACAACAATGAGAATGAATAAACTACATCTCCATGAAAAAACATAACTGTGTATCTCACAGATTTAAGGATAAGTAAAAGAAGCTGGATACAGAAACAAACCCACATAATTTATGACTGCATAGTTATACAGTTAAAAATAGTCAGCGGGGCACGGTGGCTCAGGCCTGTAATCCCAGCACTCTGGGGGCGCCGAGGCGGGTGGATCACGAAGTCAGGAGATCGAGACTATCCTGGCCAACATGGTGAAACTCTGTCTCTACTAAAATACAAAAAATTAGCTGGGCGTGGTGGCACGTGCCTGCAGTCCCAGCTACTCGGGAGGCTGAGGCAGGGGAATCGCTTGAACCCTGGAAGAGGAAATTGCAGTGAGCTGAGATCTCGCCACTGCACTCCAGCCTGGCAACACAGTAAGACTCCATCTCAAAAAAAAAAAAAGTCCAGATCAATCTATACTGTTAGAAACCAACATAAAAATAGGTAACAATTTTAGTGATTGGAAGGGGACTTCTTTGGGCTGTTAATTATGATAATTATGTTAATTATAATTCATTAAATGATATGATTGCATTTGTGTATTCAATTTGTGAGTATTTATAAAGCTGTGTACTTATTATTTGAGAATAAATGTTTGTATATATGTTACACTTCAACAGAAAATGTGTATTAAACATTTGTGAGGGGAATAATGGGTAACTGGGTGATGTGTTTCTGCAATAAAAAAAAGTAGGTGAAATTATTCTTTTTTTTATACAAAATTGCTTTCTACTTTCTTAAGGAAACCATATAGACTAAACACAATGTTTGAACTTAATATATGTATGGCAAACTAGAGACAGACAGTTACCGAGAGAGAGAAAGACAGGGATAAAGAACACACACGCACACACACATTTGAGCCATGATACCTCCTTCAGATGCCGAGTAAGAAAGATATTGGTAGATAGAAGCTGGAAATTGTGTTGCATGGAAGCATGCACTGGAAAGGCCACAGAGTAAGAATCAACAGAATTAATCCATATTGTGCCTCCTGGGAGATTTTTGTTAAAATAAGAGGTTAAAATACTTGTAAAATATGTCCTAGTGCATTTTCTGTCCCCTTTCCTCATCAAAATATTTGTGGCTATTATTTTTCAAAAGGGAGAAAAATCATTCACCAATAACCAAACTGTCTAATTGATCTTCATTGAATATCCAGTGTGTAATAACTTGGGTTAACTTAGTAGTATTTTGAACCACTAGGTGTCCCTGTAAGCAAATGATTGAATAATTTCTAAAACTCAGCAAGCCTTGGAAAGTTTGACCAACATCATCAGTGAACTTGAGCTAACTGATGTATGTAAAACACCAGGCCGACCTATTCCTGTCTGATTAATAAATTGGCCTGAGCGCGGTGGCTCACGCCTGCGATCCCAGCACCCCGGGAGGCCGAAGAGAGCGGATAACCTGAGGTCAGGATATTGAGACCAGCCTTACCAACATGGAGAAAACCCATCTCCAACAACAAAAACAACAAAAATATATATATATAATGAGCCTAGCATGGTGGTTCAGGCCTGCAATCCCAGCCACCCAAACCCGGGAGGCGGAGGCTGCGGGGAACAGAGACCGCGCCACTGCATTCCAGCCTGGGCAACAAGAGCAAAACTCCCTCTCAAAAAAAAAAAAAAAAAAAAAGGGACCGGGTTACACCATGTTGCCCAGGCCCGTCTGGAAGTCCTAGGCTCAAGCCATCTGCCGCGCTTGGCCGTCATAAGTCCTGTGATTAACAGCGTGAACCACCACGCCAGGCCGATCACGCCTGTAATCCCAGCACTTTGAGAGGCCGAGGCAGGGAATAGCCTGAAGTCGGGAATTTGAGACCAACCAGCCTGACCAACATGGGGAAACCCCGTCTGTACCAAAATAAATAAATAAATAAATAAATAAATAACAAAATGAGCCCTGCATGGTGGCTCAGGCCTGCAATCCCAGGCACTCGGGAGGCTGAGGCAGGAGAACCAGCCAAACCCAGAGGCAGAGGCCGCGGGGAGCCGAGACCTCGCCACTGCCCTCCAGCAGGGCAACAAGAGTGAAACTCCACCTCAAAAAAAAAAAAAAAGTGACTGGTTTTCACCATGTTGCCCAAGCCGGTCTGGAACTCCTAGGCTTAAGTGATAATCCGCGCTCGGCTGTCCAAAGTCCTGGGATCACAAGCGTGAGCCACCACGCCAGGCCGATCTATTCCTTTCTGATTAGTAAACTGGGCAGGGCAGGTGATCTATCCTGGAGAATGTTCTCTGTGAGCTTAATATTGTGTATGCTGTTGCTATTGGATGGAATGTTCTGTATATGTGTGTTAGGTCCATTTGATCTAATGCGTCGTTCAAGTCTCATGTTTTCTTATTAATTTTCTGCCTGAATAATCAGTCCATTGTTGAAAGTGATATATTCAAGTCCCTTACTATGATTGTATGGTAATCTCTCTCTCTCTCAAGAGCATTTCATATTTGTTTTATATTTTAAGTGCTCCAACGTTGAGCATATGTGTAATTGCTATTGTTATATCCTCTTCATAAATTGACCCTTTATCATCATATCATGTTCTTATGTGTCTCCTATTTCAGTTTTTGAGCTTTTCTCTTTGTTTTCATTTGCATGGAATATCTTTTTCCATCCCTTCATTTTCAGTTTGTGTGTGTCCTAAAATACAAGATGAGCCTCTTACGGGCAGCGAATAGTTGGGGCTTGTTTCTTTATCCTTTCAGTTACTCTCTTTTTTGTAGGATTTAATGCATTTATATTCAAGGTAATTATTGATAGGCAAGGGCTTACTACTACCATTTTGTTAATTGTTTTCTGGTTGTTTTGTAGATACTTTGTTTCTTTCTGCCTCTTATGCTGTCTTCCATTATATGTTGGCCAACATGGAATAACAGAAATTTCAAAGAGCAATAGAGTTCCAAGTCAGTAAGTTAGACATGATTTAGTGATAGAATCTGTCTGTCAAAACCACAGTAAGCCTTGGACCAAAGAGATTAGTGAGAAAGCCCTTCTCAGTAAGAATTTAAATCTAAATCTAATAAGAAGCAAAATGTAGAAACAGATGTCTAAAAAAATAAAGCTACTATAATTAAAATTGTTTGACATGGGAACATAATCAACAAATAGAAAATTACTACCTAGTAGCATACAGAAGTAAAATCAGATATGTAAATATAGTGGTATTTCAATTTAGTTAGGAAAGTATATGCTACTACCCAGCATATACAAAAACATATTCCAAATGGATAAGAGGTCCAAGCATTACATAAGACAATTAGAAAAATAATGTTTATATTCTTTGAGTAAAGCCTCTGAAAATAAATCAAGTAATGCAGCATTTGCAAAGATAAAATAAGAGTAATTATAAAGTCTAATGATAAAATATAAACTTGGAAGAAGCATTTGAAGAGTATAAACAGACCAAATGGTTATTTGTCTACTAAATTAGGAAGTCCTATATATAAATATGAATATAACAACCAAATAGACAAATGTAAACTTAATAAAGATCTGCAATTAATAGAAACATAAAAGGTATATAAATACACTATATTTATATAAAATATAATTATAAAAGGTTATAAAAGGTAATTAAATACACTAAAAAAGTTTGAAAACATGAATCATAAAATTGTCAACTTTGAAAGATTAGTTCCATCCATTGTTGACAATGACATAAGAAAAAGTATTCACATACATTTTATTCTGGACCAAAAGTTAACCTGGTACTGTTTAGACATAAAGCAAAGTTCACATATTTGTATCACAGCCCCAAATCTATGAGGTAAGTATAAGAGAAAAAATTCTTACAGAATTGTGTAGCTTCATTTCAAAAAAAATGGCTACATAAATTCTAGCAGAAAAAGATAAATGAGCAAAGTTGTTTATGAGAGTGTACAATAGCAAAAAAAAAAGGTATTACCTAACCATCATATAGAGCTGGTTGAATAATTTATAATAAACATCTCCATGAGGAAATTCAATGTTACTACTTTACTAAATAAAGATGTTTATGTACTATAGAAGTGAACTAACAGTATGTATTTTCAAATGTGATTTAAAAACTGTATATTATCCTATTTTATTATATATTGGTCTATCTATATCATTTTTCCATGAGTATAAAAAAATAGAAAAAGGTACATACCAAATTGAAGGGCTGGAATGGAAAGAACATTTTTACTTTATATATTTCAAAATGAAAATAGTAATATTTAGAGAATTTTTAATTTCCTTTTTATCTTTTTTTTGAAATTTCAAAAACTTGAGTGTAATCAAGTAACTGAAATACGGTGAGATATATACAACATTAGAAGAGTATACGTGATAGCACATAAACAGTAATAATTATTTGGGAGATTTTAAAAGTTTTGAAAATAAGGTGCCTTATCCATTGTTTTGAAGGGTAAAAATATAACTTTCCAAGTGATTATAGTTTCTGAAAGCATATGAGACACAAAAAATTATAAGCACAAAGATGTAAAACATTTAAGGAACCACAAGTTCTTTGGAACTCTTGGACTAAAAACACAGCTGTGAGATAAATCTCAAAAGAATGTTAAGAAACAAGTCATGAAAAGCCTTTCATATCCTGCTAAAAAAATTTTATTCTATACTAGGGGTTGGGAATTTTCTTCTTACAGGGTCAGATAGTAAATATTTTAATTTAGCCTCTGTCAGAACTACTCAACTCTGTGTTGTAGTCAAAGCAGTGTGACAGTGTGTAAATGGACAAGTACGGGTGTATTCCAATAAAACTTTATTTACAGAAAAGAGTACTCCAGTTCACAGAATGCAGTTTGCCATATATCTAGGGCCATGTGGAATCCATAAAATATGTTGTTAGAGATATGACCTAATTTTAAAAAGCATGAAATTACCTAAGAAGAATGTGGGGAAAAGGAGGTCTCAGGATCAAGTCCCAGGTTTTACCAAGATTTGGAAATTGTATGATGAGAAGTAACCAAGGATTCTCAGAAAGATCAGCCCATGAAACACAGTGAAAAACACAGAGTGTGGATGGATGGCAGAAGCCAAGAAAAGCAAAACAAAGATCAGAATGTTCAGTATTGTAGAGTGCTGCTGAGTCAAATAAGATGCAGGAGGACATTTTCTCATGGATGTACAGGATGGAAATTGTTGTGAGGAAACTCTGAAGGGGTCATGATTGAGAATAGGTTAAAGAGAAACTGGAAGATAAGAAAGAGGATATCATTTAGCAAAATCTTAAAAACAAGCCTTGCTATGAAGACTAGGGAGGTAAAACAATAGCCAGGATGTATGGAGGAAACATTGTATTAAAAAAGAATGTATGTTTGGTTAGTTGCCTTTAAGCTAGGCGGTATTTTAGTCAATGTTTACATGCATGCCTATTAGAACAAACTGGGAGAAAGAAATGAATTGTGCAGAAGAAAGGAAGCAAAATTACATGACATTAAGCAATAAGAGACTCAATTTTAGGAAAGAAAAAATAGCTCCAGTATTTGTAGAAATAAAGTTTTGGTGGGAGGACACAAAGAGCAAAATTTATACTTCAAAAACTGTACTTCTGTTTTTGCAGTGCTTCATGTCTTTTTTTATTTAACAAAACAATAAAATTGCGTTTTTCTTTCTATGTTTAAAAATAGATGTCTGGTCGCTGATGATTTCAATTGCACTATCATTAGTAAGAATGAAATAATTTGTGCCTTCATTTCTTAAAACTAAAGTGGGCTGGGTGCAGTGGCTCACGCCTGTAATCCCAGCACTTTGGGAGGCCGAGT
The DNA here is from genome assembly GCF_000001405.40 of Homo sapiens. Classification (NCBI taxonomy): domain Eukaryota; kingdom Metazoa; phylum Chordata; class Mammalia; order Primates; family Hominidae; genus Homo; species Homo sapiens. Next base: position 23,462,661 of record NC_000015.10, on the reverse strand, counting down.
CGGGCGGATCACGAGGTCAGGAGATGGAGACCATCCTGGCTAACCTGGTGAAACCCCATCTCTACTAACAAACAAACAAACAAAAATTAGCCAGGTGTGGTGGTGGGCGCCTGTAGTCCCAGCTACTCGGGAGGCTGAGGCAAGAGAATGGTGTGAACCCAGGAGGCGGAGCTTGCAGTGAGCCGAGATTGTGCCACTGCACTCCAGCCTGGGCGACAGTGCGAGACTCCATCTCAAAATAAATGAAATAAAATAAAATAAAATAGCAAAACAGCTCCAAATAGTGTAAATATGCAAAAGGTTAGGCTCTCATTTTTTTCTTACACTTAGTGTGGGTATATTCACAGCACTTGAAGAATCTATTTTGCTTTGTTTGATTAGAAGGAAAAAAAATCACATTTCAATAACTCAAGATTAAAAACTATGACCAAATATTACTTAGCATATTTTCTACTTCAAATAGTTATTTGATGTCCGGGTGCGGTGGCTCACGCCTGTAATCCCAGCACTTTGGGAGGCCGAGGCGGGTGGATCATGAGGTCAAGAGATCGAGACCATCCTGGCTAACATGGTGAAACCCCGTCTCTACTAAAAAAATACAAAAAATTAGCCAGGCGTGGTGGCGGGCGCCTGTAGTCCCAGCTACTTGGGAGGCTGAGGCGGGAGAATGGCGTGAACCTGGGAGGCGGAGCTTGCAGTGAGCTGAGATCGCACCACTGCACTCCAGCCTGGGCAACAGAGTGAGACTCCGTCTCAAAAAAAAAGAAAAAAAAAGAAAACTTGATTCCATATTTTCAAAACCATGAAGGAAAAGGAAACACATGGGAATGTGTTTTTTTTTTAATAGAAGAAAACAATATAAATCAATTCACCTCAGGAAATATTGACTAAAATATTGCTTTTAGTTGGTACAGATTCATATTGAACTAGGTAAATGTCTTAATAAATATTACATCTCTTCCTTGTCAATGGAAAACCAATAGGTTCATGTTAGATACATGTTACATTTTGGAAGTGCAGTGTGAAACAATAGCTTAAAATTATGAATAAAAAAGAAAAGAGTACAAAAATGCTGTAAAGTAAATGACAGAACTCATTTCCTCCATAGTTGCAGAAAGAACCAAATATTGCTGACTCTGGATGACCTCTGACAATATTCTGGGTTTGAAAATATTTCAAAACACAAATTCCTTTGAGGAATTTGGCTATATAATTTAACCTATTTGATTCTCATTTTGTTGTTGTTGTTATATGAAAGTACATCTATCCTAGAGCAATCTTATAAATATTTGAGATCATAGAGAACATTGTATGTACAATAAGTTCTAGAGTCCCATATTCATGGACATTCAACATTCACTAAAGAACACCACCGTCTTAGAGTGTCTTCCACGTGTCAATAATTATAGTACAAAAAGTTATATATTTATATCTCTACCTATATTAAAAATTGACAAGTCCTACAAATAAAGCCTTTACAGGAATATATGAAGAATTATAGGTATGGAAACGGAAATATTTTAGCAAAAGTAAAATATAGTTTAGTAACATCAATGTTGTTGGACCCAGTTTAGAGAATCATTAATTTAGAATATAAAGCCCTAATTATTTTCATTCTAAATTATTTTGAAGTGACCCAATAAAGGTAAGCAAAGAAATTTATTTAGAGTCATTCTCTTCCTTCTAAACACTTTGTACGCATTTTTTAATGTTAGCAAGTCTGAAAATCCTTGGAATAGGACTGGAGACAACATAAAGAGATAAAAAATAGATAAGGAAAATAATGACAAAACTGAAAGAAATGAAATCTTGTGAGTGTTCCAAATACTTGGAAGCCAAGAGTCCCAGCTGTGTTACTGAAAAAATTTATCTCTATGCTAATATTCAGAAATCTACTAACAGATCTAATGAAGAAATCCAGACTAGCAGTGATCGCATAAAGGAAACATCTGCCTGAGCAACTTTTATTCCTTAATATAAAGGCTAGATATCCTAAGTTCACATATTCTTATTAAACTTTCAAGTTTATATTTTTAAGTACTAAAACATATATGCCATTAAAATGATACTCTTTTATTTTTCAAGTCTGTGTGTCTAGATACATTAATTTGGAAGAGACAAAGTTATCCCCATCTAGAACCTGAAGGAATCTATATTTTTAGCTTAGATGTTCTTCCATGCAAATTTACTGACTCAAAGATGTCTTCTGAATTAAGAAGAATCACGTTGTTGTTTTATGTTAAGACAGAAAGCATGTTTAGCTCTTTCATGCCCCATTCTAATTAAGTATAGAATTTTACGTGGTCTGCCTTCGGAGTTGTTTCACTGATATGTTCTTTTCCTTAGTAAGTGCCCTGGTATATAATAATACAGTCATCCCTCACATCCCTGGGAGGTTGATTGCAAGACTCCCAAGAATATCAAAATCCATGGATGCTCAAGTCTTTTATATAAAACAGTGTAGTATTTGCATACAGCTTATGCATCTCCTCCTGTATACTTTAAATCATCTGTAAATTATTTATAATAGCTAATGTTATATAAAAAGTGGTTATACTGTATTTTGATTTGTAATTTTACTGTTGTACTATTATTATTTTTTATTTTTATTTTTGTCTGATTTCCCCATGCTGTTCTCATGATACTGAGTGAGTTCTCACAGAGCTCATGGTTTTATAAGGGACTTTTTTCCCTTCTTCACTCTGAACTTCTCTCTCCTGCCACCATATGAAGAAGGATGTGTTTGCCTCCCCTTCTGCCATGATTGTAAGTTTCCAGAGGCCTCTCCAGCCATGTGGAACTGTGAGTCAATTAAACCTCTTTCTTTACAAATTACCCAGTCTTGGATATGTCCTTATAGCAGCATGAGAATGGGCTAATACACATGGTTTTTTATTCATGGTTCTGAATCCACAACAACCTATGCCTCATGACTTCTACAGCACGCATGAAGACATTAGCTTTGCAATGTCATGGCTGCATCCATCCAGAATGGTATCTTAGCTCTGATGCATTTGATCTCCACTACACACAGGTGACTACTCTTTCCTTATCTGTGTGACTAACTGCTAATTTATTTTCATTCTGTCTCTCTAGTGGGTCTCATATCTATTTTTTTATCTCCTGTTATTTCTACCTGCACACCATTTAAAAAAGTCCCAGACAGATCTCTCACCAGCCATTTCTAGTGCTCCTCACTCATGCCAGTTTATAAGATCTCATATTTGTGTGAGGTCCAAACCCTTCAGAGACTTCTCATCACCCATTAATATCTTTCCCAGTCCACAGTTGTCCAGTCTGGTTAAAACCCTCAATATTATCTATGCTAATTCCTGCATTTCAGTCCACACAAATAACTATAAGACATTTGTACCTGATTTTTCCTATTACCTTACTCATATTTTATCCTTTATGGAGAAATTCTCACTTTTTCAGAATCTGACAAAATACTCCCCATCTTCACAGGCCCAATTAAAATATCACAATAGGTTCCTTGGATGGAAATAAATCACTTTGCACTCTAAACTTCCATAGCATTCCACTTTCTGTCATTCTCCTTGTCACACTGCACTTCTACTTTGATTGTCTATGTCTGTATGTTTATACCCATTCTACGTGTTAGACCCTTAAGCTAAAGGAATGTGTCTTATGCATTGTTGAATCACTCAGGTAGCACTAACTCTTTATGGACTGAAAGAACGAGGCTCAGAGAAAATGACATTTGTAATTGTTTTTAGGAGTGTTAACTCAGCAACCTATAAACAGCAATGTTCCTTTACAACATTTTGATTGCTGTTTTTAACTGTGCATTACCAAACCCTGCTTTCCTTTTTTAAAAATATCTGAGGTAGATTATGTAACTTTCTGGTAATTTTCAGCAGTTAAAATATAATCCCAAGTAACTGTTTTAATAGAATTATAATTTTTATCTAAGAAATGGTAAAAGTATAAGCCTAGATATGTAACTACAAGTCTAGAGATGTATTTTTACTCTATTACATTCTTACTCCAAGAATGAAGTCATCATTTTGCAGTTTCAACTAAGGTAGTTTTAAGTGAAAAAGCACAAAAAATAAAAAAGTAGTTTTTTTCTAGTTTCATATTAATGCTGCAAAATCCGTCTTCAACACAGTAGCTACATAATAAATTTCATTGCAATCGAGCTTCTTTCTCATATGTGTTTGCATTTATTACTTTCAGTTAATAAATGAGTTATCTATAGTTTACCTAAACATCAGTTAACCAAAGATATCCATTGTTTATCCAAACATCAATCTCTTTGCTTTACAAATAAAAACTAACATAATCTTCAAAAGCGTAAGTCAGTTTTATTCTCTTAAAAAAGTACATGGTTGTTTCGAGGGGAGGAAATAATTTTTAAAACGATGTCTATAACATTTCACATTTAACATCATTTTAACAATTCTAATTCTAGAATTATTGTGTCTAATTCTAACACTGTGTCTAGCTTTACTTGGGTAAACAGAAATGTAGTAGGGAAGAGACAGCATGTTTAGCTTGCAATATCTAAGTAATTACTCATGTGGATATCTGGGAAGATAGCTCTCCATAGACCCGCTGTCACTGACATGTAATGCTTCTCCTGACGTCTTCGGTAAAATCCAACAGATTGCAAAGAACCTGGAATGCCTTGAAGAAATAGAGCTTTTTCGATGATGCCAGATTCAATAGACCTCTAATCCTTAGTAAAACAGTACAAAACAGTAGAATAACTTGATGTTTTCTAATATCAACTGAGGTTTTATTTGGGAGATTAACCAGAGGTTTGCACAAAAATGAAAGTGAAGACCATTACTCTTTAAAGAAACTAAGACTCTAGGTTTGGATCTCATTTGTGGAGCCCCACATTCCAAGTCATCTAATGTTCCTGTCTAGTTAGCTTGTAAAAGTCTACAAGGGAGGAAAACCCTTTTTTTCCTTAGTATAAGTATATTATATGTTGATAGAAAGTTAAATGACAGTTTAATAAATGTACATCTAAATGAAATTTTAAGAAAAAGTACATGCCTTGCTGTCACAGAGGCCAGTCATGTGTCATTAATGCTTTCTCAGTTTTGAGTGCTACCTCAATTCAATGTTGCTTAATGTTTCAAGTTACTCAAGCTCTATCCTTTCTCAGATAGTTTATCTCTTCAGATGAGACATAACATTAAAGAATCTAACCACACTTAAAAGATTATTTTACCTTTTGACTGCATAAACTCCATTTGAGATAATTACATTAGTGTTTGATATTCTCTCTGCTTCTAACTACATTTATCCTTGCTCTGTGTTATTGGATAACACTGTGCTATAGATGGGAACCAGCTTCCTCTGCATCACACGTGATTTAAAAATGAGACAGAATAAATATACCCATCTGGGGCTATTAGGAATGGTCACTTAAAAGGGTATGGGTAAACACATTTTCCTATGTTCTTTTACCAGAACTTCCTAAAAATCTGGCTTTATTCTTCCCATCCCACCAACACAGTTTAAAAGGAAACAGACGTTGTCATTCAGGTTCTTGTATGTGCTAGACACTGTGCTATGACATTACACACATTACTTCTTTCTAATTCCTTCCAAAAAAGCTGATTTTATAACTGAGGCTCAAAGAAGTTAGCTCTTTCCTATGAACATGCAGGGAGGAAGTCGGTGGGGTGGGATTCTAAAGACCACTCTTTTCCATACCTCAGGCTGCAGCCCAAGGATAATCCAAAGATACTGAGAGTGAAGACAGCTCCCACAAACCCCAGCATCTTCTCAGATATACGCAGTGGTGTGCTGGTGAATAGGCCCAGAGAAGCTTTCATTTGTAGCATTTAGAGATTTACATAGGAGCTACCTTCCACTGGTACTTTTTCCCACTGCAAAACTCAGCCTAACACATTAACGGTGCCATCTCCAATAATTTCATGAACTCTAACAGTTGTGTTTTAAACACCCACTCTTTGATATACCACATCCTATACGTCCAGCCTGTTGACTGCAGTATTCTCAATTCATCAATCATCAATCCCACCCTTAACTGCTTCCCCAGCTTCACTTCCCTATATATCAAGGTTTTCTGGGGCTTTATATGGGATTGCAATTTAATTGATACTTTGTGGCAGCTGTATTTAAGCATATAATGCGGTGAAGAGCAAGGAAAATTAGGGACCAGGGACTATGTAGAATCCTAAACCCAGGTTTTAAACTTTGAAGGCATTCCTGTATTATCTGGATTTAAATTATTTTAACTTGAATTTCTGATCCAATGCCCATTTTTTCGAACAGATTTCTTTCATTTTCTTACATGCTGTAAAAACATCCTTTTTTTCTTCAATGAAAATGACCTGCCATATGCCATATGCCATTAAGCTTCTCAGGCTTTATTTTTATTAGTTCACATTACATCCTCACTTAGCGGGATCTGGAAAAGCCTGAAAATCTAATTACATCAGTTAGCCAAAACTAGTTTTTAAATGCATCATTTTGATAGATTTTACATATTCCAGCTATAGTTATTTTTTATAAACAGGGAGAAATTATGGTTTTCATGTATCAAAAGTAATAATTTTAAAGCAGAGAAAACCACAACAGTGGGGGTCAAGCCAGCTATTCCTCATGAGCCTCTCCATAGGATGGCCTGCAACTTTGAGGACTTACTCTTTGCCAGAGTGTTTTTAAACCCACAGCTTCACCATAGACATAAAGAAAGGTAAGGCCTACATGAACTCTGCTCAGCTCAAACACATGGTGAAAAGAGCACTGAATGCTTGAGGACCTTTTTTGCTTGTTTGTTTTTTTGAGACGGAGTCCCGCTCTGTCCCCCAGGCTGGAGTTCAGTGGCGCGATCTCGGCTCACTGCAGGCTCCGCCTCCCGGGTTCACCCCATTCTCCTGCCTCAGCCTCCAGAGTAGCTAGGACTACAGGCGCCTGCCACCACAACCGGCTAATTTTTTGTATTTTTAGTAGAGACGGGGTTTCACCGTGTTAGCCAGGATGGTCTCGATCTCCTGACCTCGTGATCCGCCCGCCTCGGCCTCCCAATGTGCTGGGTTTAGAGATGTGAGCCACCGCACCCAGCCGAATGCTTGAGGACCTTTATGCACCACATTCAGTGACAGCTGTCAGCTGTGAGCGTAATTGTTAAGTTTTCATTATAGGGTTTCATTCAAAGCAATCTTTATTTATTTGAAGGCTAATATTAAAATGGGCATGTGGCAGTTGCACATATTATGAGCAAAACTCTGCCTAAAACCATACCTATGAACCTAAACACTCAGGCATACACATGAAAAGCCATACATGGCCGGGCGAGGTGGCTCAAGCCTGTAATCCCAGCACTTTGGGAGGCGGAGGCAGGTGGATCACGAGGTCAGGAGATGGAGACCATCCTGGATAACACGGTGAAACCCCGTCTCTACTAAAAATACAAAAAATTAGCCAGGCGTGGTGTCAGGCGCCTGAAGTCCCAGCTACTTGGGAGGCTAAGGCAGGAGAATGGCGTGAACCAGGCAGGCGGAGCTTGCAGTGAGCGGAGATCACGCCACTGCACTCCAGCCTGGGCGACAGAGCGACACTCTGTGTCAAAAAAAAAAAAAAAAAAAAAAGCCATACACATCGGTTGCATGCACACACACACAGAAGCTTTAAATTGCTTGTATCCGTCTCTTAATTTTTTTTGGTGGAGCATATATCAGTGAATTGCTATAAAGTAAGTGTTTATGGAGCTATATCATGATTCATAGTCTGATTACTGCTTGTGAGACAAACAAAAATAGAATGTATCCATGAAAATGAACGCAGAAGTATTTATTATCCATTGATCTTTGTTACTGTACATTTATAACTGAGTTATATTGATCACTTGTTTAAAGTACGCAATTATATAAAATATAATTTTATTAACGAAATTATATTTATCATGTATGACAGCTACCAGGAGAGTCATTGTATTGGAAACTAAGAGAAGTAAATGGATAACACTTACACTGTGCAAAGTTTCCACTACACGTCATTAATTTCTGTAGTTCCTAGATAATCTTTTCAGGTAGAATAAAATGTCCACAAAACAAAAGTAATTAACCAACATAGATTCCTGAATTGCTTGCTCTGCTACGCACTCTCTACTCACCCTCATGTCTACATTCTGCCACTAACTCAAATATCCTAAACTATTGCACATGCCATCAACCCCCGCACCCCGCCGCTAAAATGTTTCAATCAGACTCACGCAGGCACCATCTGACCATTCCCTCAATGCTAATCCATAAGAAAAGAAAAGTGACAGTAGGAAAACATCAGGATAAACACACATAAAGAAATTCTTAGCCAGTTCTGACCTCTGCTTATATGGACGAAGCAGAGTATTACTTAAGAGGAGCCACACAGGCCGAGCGCGGTGGCTCACGCCTGTAATCCGAGCACTTTGGGAGGCCAAGGCGGCTGGATCATGAGGTCAGGAGATGGAGACCATCCTGGCTAACACAGTGAAACCCCATCTCTCACTAAAAATGCAAAAAAAAATTAGCCGGGAGTGGTGGCAGGCACCTGTAGTCCCAGCTACTTGAGAGGGTGAGGCAGGAGAATGGAGTGAACCCGGGAGGCGGAGCTTGCAGCGAGCCAAGTTCGCGCCACTGCACTCCAGCCTGGGCGACAGAGCGAGACTTCGTCTCAAAAAAAAAAAAAAAAAAAAAGAGGAACCACACAGAAGAAATTTAAGGGACACTCTTTGTAGTTGGAGAGATACTGATCACAGGTGTCACTCTGTTACACTCCTTTATATTGGCCTCTGTAGCATCTGTTCAAAGAAAGTATCATATTTACCAAAATTTAGCCATCTCATGAAACTTAAAAACTTTAGGAATTCTGCCATAGAACTCCAATGACTAGGAGGCTGTATCAGGAAGCCTTCTATTGTTTGCAGTGGCAAAACTATAGTCAACAATAATTTATTGTACATTTAAAAATAACTAAAAGAGTATAATTAGATTCTTTGTAATACAAAAAAGGACAAATGCTTGAGGTGATGCTTACCCTGTTTACCCTGATGTGATTATTACACATCATATGCCTGTATCAAAATATCTCATGTACCCCATAAATATGTGCACTTACTATATACTCACAAAAATTAAAAAATTAAAATTACTTTTAAAACTTGAAAAACCAATAATAAAATATTTGCAGCAATAAAATAATTCCTATCTCTACTCCACACATAATGAATAAACATTGCTACCTGGGAGATCACTTAAGGAAATTTACTTTTACTAAATGTCAATGGCATTATTGATTAAGCTTGTCAATAAACACAAGTGAAAATGATTAATAAAAAAAACACACAAATGAGCAAACAAAACCACCAACAGCAACAGGGAAACAAGACTTTTCCTGACCGAATCCCTATCTTCTCACCCTGTTCTCAGCAGCTGCCTTATGCCTTTTGCAGGTTAGAATCTTAGAATTGAGAAATAATAATTGCTTAATTTTAATAAGTTTCTACTAAATCCTTTACATACGTTTTCTCCTTTTATCCTACTACAACCCAATGTAAGAGTAGCATTATCACCATTTTACAGATGAGAAAACTGAGATGCTGGAGGCTAAATAACTTGCTGAAGGTTTTACCGCTAAAATGTAGTAAGACTAAGATTAGAAGGCAGTCCATCTGGTCCCAGAACCGTAAGTTTTAACTCCTGTGGCTAGGTTCTTACTATTAGCCGCAGATTTATTTCACATCTGAACTTTCACATATTATATGTGGGCAAATTGCCAGGAACCTAAGCTTGATTTGTTGGTACAACATCTTCCATTCCAAAATGCCCGTAGCCAGCCCTCCTGAATCCCTCGGCCTATGGGGCTAAAAAGCTGGTTTTTTTCTATGGCCATTCAACTATTTTACATTTTGTCAACTTGTCAAGGTATCATACGCTATTCGTCCATAGATCTCCTTAATGTCCATATCACACCCTGTGGACTTGCAGAGGTTGCACATTGAAATATGACTTACCCTGGTAATCCACATCTTAATTTCTTAATAATACCCATCTCAGCCGGGCGCGGTGGCTCACGCCTGTAATCCCAGGACTTTGGGAGGCCGAGACGGGCGGATCACGAGGTCAGGAGATCAAGACCATCCTGGCTAACGCGGTGAAACCCCGTCTCTACTAAAAATACAAAAAATTAGCCAGGCGTGGTGGCGGGCGCCTGTAGTCCCAGCTACTCGGGAGGCTGAGGCAGGAGAATGGCGTGAACCTGGGAGGTGGAGCTTGCAGTGAGCTGAGATTGCGCCACTGCACTCCAGCCTGGGTGACAGAGCGAGACTCCATCTCAAAAAATAAAATAAAATAAAATAAATTTAAAAATACCCATCTCAAATAATACCTTCTTCATGGAGTTCTCATAAGGCACAAATACAATTTCAGATAGATGTCACTTATATGCATACAAATATACATGCAAGTGTTTTGCAAGCTGAAAGGTATTTAACAGTATTCATAACTCTGGAAAGAGTCATCTTTATTTGCTTTTCTTCAGAATTATTAGATTTTAGGACAAAGACAGATTACAGCACAGATGACTAAAATAACCTAGATGATATATTCTAATTGTTTAGTTTTACACCATGTCCTGCCCAAGTCTATGAACGCTGCTGGTCTTTAATAATCCCACACAGGGCAACCATTGTCCTTGTGGGAGAAGCATGACATAGCATGGCAAAAAATTGGAAGAGAAATATTTCTACCACATAAGAATACCTGAGTATGGATTTTATCACAGACATTTGGGGATTTTTGTCTACAGAGTTCATAAAAAGATTCAAGTTAGTGTACTGTATCTCTTATAATTAAGATTAACTAATTTAAAAATTAGTGTTGAAAATTACCATTAAAAAGTTGAAAAACATTACACTGTCTAATCGTGATAAACTCTAACAGAAGATTTGATGTATTTAAAAGAAAAGCATGCTTTCATAGCCAGTGACCGGATTTCAAAACTGAACCCTGTACTGTCTGAGGTTTCCCCAGACTTTATATTTTAGTAGATTGCTTTCACATATGAAGGCCTGACCCCCGCAACCTCAGCCTAAGTATTAGTTGTTTTTCAGAAAATAGTAGGAAACGAGGATAAATTTTTCCACATCTTTCCAGGTCTTCTGTGTGGCAATAACATCTACTGACAGGATAGTTTGTAAAGATAGGGGTGTGGCTTATTGGTAAATGACAGAGAGCTCTACCTTTACAATCAAGTTCCAAGCAAGGAGCAGACAAGGACAAACAGCTAAGATTCTCCTTCCTTCCACCAGATATTTTGACAATTTCTCTCTGACATAAGTAGACATATTATCATAATGAATAAATTCAATGAATATATCCTCATTATTATTTATTCACTGAATATATCCTTGTTATTATAGAAATAAAGAACAAGATATTTCAGACCTCTCTAATCAACACAGCAATGGAGATAAAGATCAAATACAAAGATATCTAGCTTAAAATGAAGGATGCCTTTCTAATTTGACTTTCCTAATTTGCTGCATTGGAATAGGTAGAGTGATGTGCAGTACAAAATGTTCAACTCAAAAAGAAAAGAAATTATTTCTAATTCTTGTCTCTTACACTCATCTTAATATCTCAGAATCAATGAGATGATCATGGGTGATACAATGATTTTTTTAAATGATGAGTTACTATATTTTTACAGTAAATAGGATCTACTTTTCACCTCTTTTTTTTTTTTTTTTTTTTTTTTTTTGAGACGGAGTTTCGCTCTGTCGCCCAGGCTGGAGTGCAGTGGCGCGATCTCGACTCACTGCAAGCTCCGCCTCCCGGGTTCACGCCATTCTCCTGCCTCAGCCTCCTACTTTTCACCTCTTTATACTAAATAAGAAAATTAATAGGCCAGGCGCGGTGGCTCACGCCTGTAATCCCAGCACTTTGGGAGGCCAAAGCGGGCGGATCACGAGGTCAGGAGATCGAGACCATCCTGGCTAACACGGTGAAACCCCGTCTCTACTAAAAATACAAAAAATTAGCCCGCTGTGGTGGCGAGCGCCTGTAGTCCCAGCTACTTGGGAGGCTGAGGCAGGAGAATGGCATGAACCCGGGAGGTGGAGCTTGCAGTGAGCCGAGATCACACCACCGCACTCCAGCCTGGGTGACAGCACGAGACTCCGTCTCAAAAAAAAGAAAAGACCGGGAGGCGGAGCTTGCAGTGAGCCGAGATCCCGCCACTGCACTCCAGCCTGGGCGACAGAGCGAGACTCCGTCTCAAAAAAAAAAAAAAAAAAAAAAGAAAAGAGAGAAGTATTCGACAAATCAGTTTTGACATATGGGTTTCCTCATGTTGACTTCTGAAATATTGCTTGGTGAATATCACCAACCAATATTCCCTAGCTCCTTTGTGCACCTCAAATGACTAAGAACGGAGAGAGTACTAGAAGTAGCATCTATTTCTTTTGCAGAGATTAGAAACAAGACGCTTCTTGCTGTACTTCTTCAAAGGGTTCCGAACCGGTGATTAAGAACAACTTTACATATTTTGGAGTTGAGAGAAAGTTATGAGTCCTTTTTCAGCCTGAGACTTACTGTTATGAAGGAATGCGTACCCAGTCAGCCTTCCAAGGATACTGCTAGCAGCTGCATCAAAATATTCGTAGGGACATTGTTTTATAGACAAGAAGTCCCTTGAACCTGATGATCAAGAGAAATAAATTGATCAGGCCCTTGCAGGAGCAATTTATCACCCTGGAATACCTTTGACAGTTGCTGAAAATGCATGCTGGCAGGAAGTTTTTTAATTACCAAAACCATCAGATCATTTGCTTGGTTCTTTCAGAGTCAGTGAAATATATGAGTGAGTAATGGAGTCTGTTCAAGGAAAAATTAGCTAAGCATTGAATCTGCCACTGTCCCTGTTGCAGATGGAAGGCCAGATGTGCAGGGACAGTCACGAGTCATCAGGCTCATATATATAGAATATAGAAGCACACACATGTATGTATGTTACATATATATGTATACATGATAGTTAAAATAAGAAAGGAAAGATTTTGTAGTTTATAAGAGAACCTCATATTTACAGCAGGTTGAATTTCTGGAAAAGGCATTTTAATTAAATGGAAGTGGTTTTCTTAAGTTTAATTGGTTTTTCCTTTGGAAGTAGCATTATAATAGAGTTATATGCTTAACTAGGGGAGAGATATTCGAGTCTTTATAAAATTGGTTATAGGTCAGACACAGTGGCTCACGCCTGTAATCCCAGCACTTTGGGAGGCCGAGGCAGGTGGATCACGAGGTCAGGAGATCGAGACCATCCTGGCTAACACGGTCAAACCCCGTCTCTACCAAAAATACAAAACAATTAGCCGGGCGTGGTGGCGGGCGCCTGTAGTCCCAGCTACTCGGGAGGCTGAGGCAGGAGAATGGCGTGAACCTGGAAGGTGGAGCTTGCAGTGAGCCCAGATCGCGCCACTGCACTCCAGCCTGGGCAACAGAGCAAGACTTCTTCACAAAAAAGAAAAAAAAAAAACCTAACAAGACATCACCAGGAAAAAAACTGAGACTCCACTTCCTCTTGTGAACGTTAAGTATAAAATTACCAAATGAACTATGAGCAAGCCCATCTCAACCACATATAAAATGGTATTAATCATATATCACAACAAAGTTGATTTAATTCCAGAAATGCAAGGTTAGACATTCAAAAGCCAATCACTAAGTTACCTTATCAACATAAAAAGATAAGAAAAAAATGCTCAATCAAGAAAGAAAAAAGCAATTGATAAAATTCAGTACCTATTCATAAATCCTAAAACCTATCTAACAGAGAGGAAGCAACATGCCCAGTTAAACACTCCCATAGCTGAGAATAATGACACAACTTATTTGCAGCCAAAAGATGAAAACTGCAGGCCAGATGCAGTGGCTCATACCTCTAATCCCAGCACTTTGGGAGGCAGAGGCAGGCAGATCACGAGGTCTGGAGTTCGAGAACATCCTGGCCAACATGGTGAAACCCTGTCTCTACTAAAAATACAATAAATGAGCCAGGCGTGGTGGCACATGCCTGTAGTCCCAGCTACTCGGGAGGCTGAGGCAGGAGAATTGCTTGAACCGTGGAGAAGGAGGTTGTTACAGTGAGCCGAGATCGTGCCACTGCACTCCAGCCTGGCAACAGAGCAAGACTGCGTTTCAAAAAAACAAAACAAAACAAAAAAACAGATGAAAATTGAATATCAGTATAATCTTAAAACTTTTGAGAAATCTATGTTTTTCAGCTAAAAAGAGACAGACTCAGCCTTTTGACCTTTCCTCTTTCCCTCCCTGGAAGGCAATCCAAGGCCTGGAAAAACAACAGCCACATTGTAACCACAAAAATAAAAACATGGCTAAGGAAGTATCAGGAAACGGAAAAGAACCCTGGACTGCCTTCCTCTGCACGTTTTAAGTGACAAAAATGAAATCTATATTTCTTTTTTTTTTTTTTGAGACAGAGTCTCGCTCTGCCACCCAGGCTGGAGTGCAGTGGCATGATCTCGGCTCACTGCAACCTCTGCCTCCTGGGTTCAAGCGATTCTTCTGCCTCAGCCTCCAGAGTAGCTGGGACTACAGATGCACGCCACCATGCCCAGCTAATTTTTGTATTTTTAGTAGAGATGGGGTTTCACCATATTGGCCAGGCTGGTCTTGAACTCCTGGCCTCGTGATCCGTCCGCCTCGGCCTCCCAAAGTGCTGGGATTATAGGCATGAGCCACCGCGCCCGGCCATGAAATCTATATTTCTTTAAGTCACTGAATCAGATTTATTTTTTCTGTGACTACATGTAGCCCTAAATGATGCATTAAATACTAAAATAAATACTAAAATACATACTAAAATTTTGGTCTTGAACTCCTGACCTCAGGTGATCCACCCGCCTCAGCCTCCCAAAATGCTGGGATTACAGGCATGAGCCACTGCACCCAGCTCAAAAGCTTTGTGTTTTTAAAGATATCAGACATGTTTCTTGTTTTTTTTTTTTCAAAAAAACTTAACAATAATGTAGGAGAATAAGAGAAACTTTTTCCAAAAAAGAGAAATCACTGTGATTATCTTACTGGAATGTTGGATAATATAGTCTGCTTTATTAATCATCAAGCATGCTGTAAATTTTCCATTTTAATAGGATTTGTATCTCAATTAAGGTGATAAAGGTTTAAAGTTTTTAAAGTGAAAGCCAGCCCCGCCCCTCTCCTGGAGTGGGCGGGGACAGCAGTTGCATGGGCGGCTTTCCTTGTGACATCACAGGTCCTTCATGACACGTGGCTGCCTGGCCCCGCCTCCTTTCCCTTTCATCTTTCTCACTGACCAATGGGCTTGAAGCATTAAGGCCACGCCCCTATTCTGCATTCTAGTGCAGCCCTGGTTACACCTCCTCTGGCTCAGTCACATAGCTGCGTGGTACGTGACTGGAGGTGTATCCTTGTCCTCGTCTGAATCACGCTGATGTGGCCCCAACCCCACCTCCCTCCCCACCCCATGATGTCAGAAAAAACCAGACAGAACAAATTGGCTGAGGCCAAGAAAAAGGTAAAACTCACTGGGTTGCGGCACCCCAACCCCAACCCAGCCCCAGGCCCCCTCCCATGGCAGAACATCTGCCAGAGTCCATGCCATTCCAGAGGCACACTGGGCTGGGTCCCCCCCAGTGCCGCTGGGCTCCCCCAATCAAAATCTTCTCAGCCAGCCCCACCCCCTCAGCAGTCCTGCCCCGGCCCTTGCCAGTGACCCCAGGGTGACTGAGCCGGTGAACCCTGGGGCTCTCCACTCCGTACTCCGCCCTCACCTCCTATTACCCCAAAACTGACCTCCCTGGGCCCTTTGGGATTGTGTCTCCAAGGACCTGTGTGTCCCAGCACCTGCCCTCACCAGTCGCCCCAGGGTGACTTTGGGCAGGTGACTCCTGGGGCTCCCCGCTCCATACTTGGCCCTCACCTCCCGTCGCCCCAAGCCCTACCTCCCTGGGCTCTTTGGGCTCACGTCTCCAAGGACCTGGGTCCCAACCCTGCGAACCCCTCCCCAACCTCAAAGAGGCAACTTGGGCATAGCACTGATGTGTCCCTGGCCCTCCACCACCCCACAGAGGAGTGAAATGTAGTGGTGTCACAGTCCCTCTAGGAACTGTCATTACTGCTGCAAGACTGGCCTTTGATCTTAGGACCCGTCCCCTAAGTGTTCTCACCCTGTTTCTGCTTCCTCTGGTTGCATCACAGATTTCCAGCTGGAAGGGGAGTAGGGACCATGTGACCTAGCAGCGAGAAGTTTCAGGCTGCCTTACTCCCTTAACACAGACATTGACAGTTTGAAAAGCCTACACCTCCCCCTGTGAACTCAAAATGTTGACATTGTCTCTTGGTGGAAATGGGAGAACGGGTTTGGTTTGGTTTTCTCCCAGGCTTCTACTCTCCAGAGAGACTTTAACAGTTTTCTCTAAGTTCTCCACCTCATATTTGAATTCTCCATGGTTCTGGGACCAGATTGCCCATCAGTCAGTGATCTCTGAAGTGAGATTTGCTCATCTTCTGTGGAATAGATCTTGGGAAACTGAACTTGACAACTTGAATCTTCCTCATCGCATCTCAACCTGGGGTACTTTGAGTGCCACAGGATACATATGGGGCATCTTTCTGAAGCATCAGTTTCCCTTGATTCTCTTGAGAGAGACAAAACATTAATGTTCTTACGGATGACAGTCACACGGATTTCTAAAAGTATACCAGACTTCTCACTGAAATGAATCTTGGGTTGTCCTCTTTCTGTTAAATTCCCAGATTTAACAGAAAAGCTGCCTTCTGCCCTGAGGATACATTGATGTAAAAGTCTGAGAGGTAGTGGTGCACTTCTTCACACTAACAGATGTGTGAGGATGTACGACTCTAAACCAAACAGTGTACACTTTCCTGTCTACTTTTTACTTTTCTACCTCTGCCTCTGGTTTTGGCCCCTGGCAGCTGCGATTTGTGGCAAAACCCCAGAGCTCAGAATCAGAAGACTGAGTTTAAGTTCCATTATTGCCTTTTTTTTAGCCATGGTATCAATCCCTCTCAGTCACTAAGTGATTGCGACAACACCTCGTACGGTCGTTGGTGGCATTAAATCAGATCGTCTATGAGAGTATTTTGTATAAACTGTAAAGTGACTGTAGGAGCTTGTAGTTCTCATGAGTATCACTGCTCCTCTTTTCCACAGTTTACAGACTATCGTCAGTGGAACATTGCTGGTGTTGGTACCAGAGCAACTGACACCAAAAAGAAGAAAATAAATAATGGCACTAACCCTGAGACAACCACTTCGGAGGGTTGCCATTCACCTGAGGATGTGGGTCTTGGCTGGCCGGTCTCCTGAGGACAAGGGGCACAAGGGGAGGTCGAGGGTAACTGTTAAGATTGTGGAAGGAAGAACTGCCGGGTACTGGCTAAGAATTCTGGGTTTGAGTCCTACTTCTCTCTCCATCTGCGAGGGACACGGTTTAGGGAAAATTGCTTGAGCTCTTTGGGCCTCTCTTTTCACATCTGTAAAATGGGGATGGTAATGTTTTACTTACATGTGTGAAGCTTAAATCAGATTTGTTGCTGTTGTTTTTGTGTTAATCCCTAGTCCAGGGCCTGCTGTAAGCTCCCCTCCTCTTTGGGCTTCCGTTTCCTGAGGAGGTAGAGTTAGAGTATCAGAGGTTCTGTTTGCTCTGAGAGTCTGAGATTTAAAGATTCACTAGAATGGAAACCTTGGGGCCAAGGGCTCCTGTCTGCCTTTTCCGTCCTATATCCCAGCAGTGAAGAACCGTCCCCGGCCCCTATGTGCTTGCTCAATGCTTGTTGAATGAATGCACCTTTCTAAATCACAAGCTAGCAGAAGGGTGGGCTTTTCTCACACTCCATCTCTGAAGGTTTATGTTACTGTCTTTTTGAGATAATCTAGTTTCAGACTTTCAGTTCCGTGGCTGAGGGCAAAAACCAACAAAGACCCAAATCTCTTCTTTGGGAGTTGAGAGTTTACCACTTCATGTTCCCATTGGGTCTGAGAACGTTGCCCTTTAAAATCCATTCCTGACCCCTGCGTACCGCTTCCTGGCCTGGGGAATAGAGTCCAGGGGGCCACCCTCAGTCACCTTCCTTTGACTCTCCCCACAGACACAACAGAACCGAGCGCAGCTGAAAGAAGTAACGTGATTTGTTTGCTCACGACATGACTGCTGGGTTTGGAGGGCACTCAGATGTAGAGGCCCGTCTCATCTCGCCTACTCCCAGCTTGGGGAAGAAGGCTCACCGCCAAGATTCCACCCCATCCCCACAGGGTCCCTGATAACCTGGTCCCATGGGTGCGCCTGTCCTGGGGCATTGGTGCCATTCTGGGGGCATGTCTCTTGCTGTGGATCTCTGCCTCCCCCTAGTAAGAGCTCTGTCTTCCTCTTTCTATAGGAAAAGAAGGCAAGCCACCAACATCAGGAAGCCCTAAGGCGGGAGATAGAGGTGAGTGGAGGGTGTGAAGTTCCCTCCTGTCCTCTGGAGAAGGTTTTTTTGCTTCTCTTTCAGCACTTGCTTGTCTTTTCTCCCAAAGGCCCAGGATCATACAATACGAATTCTCACGTGTCAGAAAACTGAACTGGAGACAGCGCTCTATTACAGCCAGGATGCTGCCAGGAAATTTGAAGATGGGAACCTGGGCACCCCATCATCCTTCAACCTGGCACTTTCACAGGCCTTTAGGGGGAGTCCTTTGGGCTGTGTCTCAACCTCTCTCATTCCAGGAGAGTCCAAGGATCTCGCCGGCCGCTTGCATCATTCCTGGCACTTTGCAGGAGAGTTACAGCGGGCTCTCTCTGCTGTGTCCACATGGCACAAGAAGGCAGACAGGGTAAGTCCAATCACCTCCCCAGTCTCCTGGGATCCCAGCTTCGCAGATGGAGGAATGAGCCTAAAGGTCCCTCCTGCAGGATGCAGTGTCCTGCCCAGAAGATAGTATGGGTCATTTCTTGCTGCTTTTGTGTGTGGTTATTAGAGGCAGGTTGGGGCTGAGTCAGCTGCTGTGGGTGAGTTGGGGGGCACTGTGGGGAGCGAGCACTGGACACAGAGCTCCAAGGCCAAGAGCCTGCCCTGCCCATACTTGGCTGTGGCCTTGACCAAGTCCTAGGCAGGGGTTAAGGTATTTGTACCATGAAGGTACAGAAGAGTATCTTTAGTATGTTACCATTTGTGTAGAGAGAGGGAACACACATAAGTGTGCATGTGCGTGTGTGTGTGTGTGTGTGTGTGTACGTATTATGGTAACATACATAAAAACATATTTGTAAGGATTCATAAAAAACTCAGGAGACAGGAACAGTGTGTGTGGGGTAGATATTTCCCTTCTCTACCTTCTGAGTTTTGGACTATGCCAATGTATCGTTCTTTCAAAAAGTCAACAAAGGATTAATTTCCTCCTTCTTATCTGTGCCCCTACCCCCAGGGAAAGAATGGGCTTAGAGAATCAGATACACCTGGGTGTTGAAATCCCAGCTCTGTCAAAGTGATCTTAGGCAACCATTTAACTTTTAATACCCCATGTTTTGCATCTATACAATAGAGGTAATAATGGTAACCGTCTCCTATGGAGGTTGTGAGGATTAAATGGGATTGTTAGCATAGTGCCTGGTGAAGCACTCAAGAAAGGTTCCAACAGTGGCAGTAATAACAGTAATAGCAATAGCAATATTATCTGATCTCTCTGGGCCCCTGTTAGCCAGCTATCAATTCAGTCTCTTTCCCTGTCCCTTCTACCCTTACTGAGTTCTCTGAAAAACAAGTGAGAGCCAGGTGTGGTAGCGCATGCCTGTAATCCCAGCTACTTAGGAGGCTGAGGCAGAATTGCTTGAACCCGGGAGGCAGAGGTTGTCATGGGGCGAGATTGCGCCATTGCACTCCAGCCTGGGCAACAAGAGCAAAACTCCATCTCTAAAAGAAGAAAAGGAGAAAAAAAAAAAGAAAAAAAAATGAGACCATGGGCTTGGAATTGCCTTGAGAACATGTCGGGTGTGATGGAGAGTGAGGGAGTGTTACTGTGGAGTATCAGTGTAGCTGTTGTTCCTGGTCGGCCAGCTGCTCTTCTGCCTGCTCTGTCCTGACTTAACCTTTCTCTATTTGCAGTACATCGAGGAGTTAACAAAGGAGAGGGACGCCCTGAGTCTGGAACTGTACAGGAACACGTAGGATGGGGGAAGGTGGGATGGGAGGTCTGGGGGCCCTTAGCGTGGGTGGTGTGCTGGGAGGTGGGGGGTACAGGTGAGCATGGTAGGGGGTCATACAGGTTTACATGTGTGCACAGGGAAGCTCTAGTGCCGGCTGTGCCACTGACTCATGGGGTAGCCTCAGGCAACTCATGTCTTCTCTCTGGCCTGCCACCTGGGACTTTTAATTCCTGGGGTCCCTTCCAGTGCCACGGTTCTGTGCTTGTGGGGCGAGAGTAGAGGGTTGATCACCAAAGCAGTCCTTTCTGTTCTTCGTTCATTCCTTTCTCTACTGCCTCGGGCCATAGCATAACCAATGAGGAGCTGAAGAAGAAAAATGCCGAACTACAAGAAAAACTTCGACTTGCAGAATCTGAAAAGTCTGAGATCCAGCTCAACGTGAAGGAGCTAAAAAGGAAACTGGAGAGGGCCAAGTTCCTGCTGCCACAGGTGAGCGGCTGCAGCCCCAGGGGTTGTGGGAGACCCATCCAGCTAGGACCATGGTCTAGGGATCATGCAAGGTATGGGGAGGGTCCAGCCAAGAGCTGGAAAATTTGGGTCCTTGTTCTGGTCCCACCATAGAATCCTCTAGAGTGTGCTAAAAATCTACAAATTTGGGGCCCTGCCTGGGAAATCAGAACCTCAGTGTTAAGGCTTAAAAATTTTTTTTAAAGAATCATAGATGAAAACTGTTATTTTATAGATTACATTTATATAGCTAGTTCATAAGTCTATTTCCTTTTGAGGTTCAAACCAACACTTTGCAGGAGGAGATGTGGAGGCAGGAGGAGGAGCTACGGGAGCAGGAAAAGAAGATACGGAAGCAGGAGGAGAAGATGTGGAGACAGGAGGAGAGACTGCGGGAGCAGGAGGGGAAGATGCGGGAGCAGGAGGAGAAGATGCGGAGACAGGAGAAGAGGCTGCGAGAGCAGGAGAAGGAGCTGCGGGAGCAGGAGAAGGAGCTGCGGGAGCAGAAGAAGCTGCGGGAGCAGGAGGAGCAGATGCAGGAGCAGGAGGAGAAGATGTGGGAGCAGGAGGAGAAGATGCGGGAGCAGGAAGAGAAGATGTGGAGACAGGAGGAGAGGCTGTGGGAGCAGGAGAAGCAGATGCGGGAGCAGGAGCAGAAGATGCGGGACCAAGAGGAGAGGATGTGGGAGCAGGACGAGAGGCTACGGGAGAAGGAGGAGAGGATGCGGGAGCAGGAGAAGATGTGGGAGCAGGTGGAGAAGATGCGGGAGGAGAAGAAGATGCAGGAGCAGGAGAAGAAGACGCGGGACCAGGAGGAGAAGATGCAAGAGGAGGAGAGGATACGGGAGCGGGAGAAGAAGATGCGGGAAGAGGAGGAGACGATGCGGGAGCAGGAGGAGAAGATGCAGAAGCAGGAGGAGAATATGTGGGAGCAGGAAGAGAAGGAGTGGCAGCAGCAGAGGCTGCCGGAACAGAAGGAGAAGCTGTGGGAACAGGAGAAGATGCAGGAGCAGGAGGAGAAGATATGGGAGCAGGAGGAGAAGATACGGGACCAGGAGGAGATGTGGGGGCAGGAGAAGAAGATGTGGCGGCAGGAGAAGATGCGGGAGCAGGAAGATGTGGAGACAGGAGGAGAGGCTGCAGGAGCAGGAGAAGCAGATGTGGGAGCAGGAGGAGAAGATGCGGGATCAGGAGCAGAAGATGTGGGACCAGGAGGAGAGGATGTGGGAGCAGGACGAGAGGCTGCGGGAGAAGGAGGAGAGAATGCGGGAGCAGAAGAAGATGTGGCAGCAGGAGGAGAAGATGCGGGAGGAGAAGAAGACGCAGGAGCAGGAGAAGAAGACATGGGACCAGGAGGAGAAGATGCGAGAGGAGGAGAGGATGCGGGAGCGGGAGAAGAAGATGCGGGAGGAGGAGGAGATGATGCGGGAGCAGGAGGAGAAGATGCAGGAGCAGGAAGAGAAGATGCGGGAGCAGGAGGAGAAGATGTGGGAGCAGGAAGAGAAGATGCAGGAGCAGGAGGAGAAGATGTGGGAGCAGGAGGAGAAGATGTGGGAGCAGGAAGAAGAAGATGTGGGAGCAGCAGAGGCTGCCGGAACAGAAGGAGAAGCTGTGGGAACACGAGAAGATGCAGGAGCAGGAGATCAGGAGCAGAAGATGTGGGACCAGAAGGAGAGGATGTGGGAGCAGGACGAGAGGCTGCGGGAGAAGGAGGAGAGAATGCGGGAGCAGAAGATGTGGCAGCAGGTGGAGAAGATGCGGGAGAAGAAGAAGACGCAGGAGGAGAAGATGCAGGAGCAGCAAGAGAAGATGCAGGAGCAGGAGGAGATGATGTGGGAGCAGGAAGAGAAGATGCAGGAGCAGGAGGAGAAGATGTGGGAGCAGGAGGAGAAGATGCGGGAGCAGGAGGAGAAGATGCGGGAGCAGGAGGAGAAGATGCAGGGCCAGGAGGAGAAGATGCGGGAGCAGGAGGAGAAGATGCAGGGCCAGGAGGAGAAGATGCGGGAGCAGGAGGAGAAGATGCGGGGCCAGGAGGAGAAGATGTGGGGCCAGGAGGAGAAGATGTGGGGGCAGGAGGAGAAGATGTGGGGGCAGGAGGAGATGCGAGAGAAGGAGGAGAGGATACGAGATCAGAAAGAGAAGATGCAGGAGAGGCTGCCAGAGCACGAGGAGCGGTGCTCAGAGCCCTGCCTCCCTCCCTCCAAAGTTCTTTGTAATATGAGCCACACTGGCAGTGTGGAGCCTGCAGGAGGAGAGGCTGGGGAGGGTTCTCCGCAGGACAACCCCACTGCACAGGAGATCATGCAGCTGTTTTGTGGGATGAAGAACGCCCAGCAGTGCCCAGGATTAGGCAGTACCTCCTGCATCCCATTCTTCTACCGAGGAGACAAGAGAAAGATGAAGATCATCAATATCTAAAAGTTGGCACTGTCAACAAGGCCTACAGAAGCATAAGCCGCCATGTCACTGTGTGAATATAGTCTGAGCACAAACTTGAAAAAAAAAAAAAAAAAGAAAAGAAAATTTACTTTAAATTGTGGTAAAATACTAGCCAGGCCTTGTGGCCGAAACCTACAACCGCAGCACTTTGGGAGACCTAGAGGGGGTGGATCACCTGAGGTCAGGAGTTCAAGACCAGCCTGGCCAACATGATGAAACCCCGTCTCTACTAAAAATACAAGTTAGCCGGGCGTGGTTGTGCACGCCTGTAATCACAGCTACTCAGGAGGCTGCAGTGAGCCAAGATCACACCACCGCATTCCAGCCTGGATGACAGAGCGAGATTCCATCTCAAAAAAAAAAAAAAAGTTTCTACCTGAGGACTCTGATATCTATGTATGTTTCTATTGTTTTTCTTCTTGGTCTTTCTCATTTAGTCTTGTTTTGTTTTATGGCATTCCTAGTAAACTTTTATGTGCCTCCAGAGAGTATTGACTTTGACTTTATGGCACACAATTGGAGTAAGAGCAGATTGCCTTCATCTAGTTTGGGACTAAGCTAGTTCAAAGCAGGTTTTAGTTTGTGACGGCTGGTCTATTTTTTATTCATTTGGACTCCTAGGGGTGGCCCTTCCAGAGTTGCCACCAAGGTCCCATCTCCTTCCTGGGACCCAAATTCTCATTCAGCCCTGTGAGAGTGCCAAACATTCAGCTAGGCTTTCCAGCCTGTTAACTACCACTTCATAATACTCAGTTTCTTAGCCTCTTAGCCCTCTACTGTTGACCAATCACCAAATGTGGGAAAGCACTACAGACTGTCAGGCTCACCTCCCAGGCCTGGTCACTCAAGTTCTGGCTGAAGTCTCCCATTACCTTCAAACAATTGTTTTTGATGGGGGGGCACATTTTTGTCCAGTTTCTCTAACTGTTCTTGTGGGGAAGCTAATCTATAACAAGCTACTCTGCCTTTAGTGAAAGTTGAAAACTTTTTTTTTTTTTTTTTTTTTTTTTTTTGAGACGGAGTCTCGCTCTGTTGCCCAGGCTCTAGTGCAGTGGTGCTGGATCCCTCCCACAGCCCTTCTTTGGAGTATCTATTTGGACTGACTGCTCATTTCATAGAGAGGGGTGTGTCTCACCGCAGCCCATCTGGCATGTCTAAGGCAGCTGTGGGGTCAGAATCTGCGGCTCCCAGCCCTCAGCCCTGCAATAGTAGGAGAGGCTGGGCCCCACATCTCTGAAGTCCCACCGGGCTGGTGCAAGCGGGCTTCTAAGTCCAGGGCTGCTCTGCAGGCTGTGGGGCTCATGCGCCAGCTCTGAGCCCACCTGATGTGCTCAGGTTGCTCATCTTTGGGCCCGTCTTGCATCTCAGGCATTCAGCTGACCCTGAGGGCCTCTCCCTCATCTTGACCACCAGCTACGGGCTCTGATTTAGAGGTTCCCAGAACCTTAGACCATTTGACCCAACCCCCCATTTCTCACCTGAGGAAACTGAGACCAAAGAGGGGAAGTAACTTTCTCAAGGACCCCCAGCAAGTCGGAGGCAGAACCGGGTCTAGGAGCCTCTTCCCAACAGAAGTCCTCCCTGTCCCCTGAGCCTTCTTTAGTGCCTCATTGACTTCCCTGTAAGGAGACTGCCCTGCCAGGTGGGAAATGATGCTGTCCAGGGTGCTGTCCAGCCAAGATTGTGCCACTGCACTCCAGCCTGGGCAACAGAACAAGACTCTATCTCAAAAAATAAAAATATTTTTAATAGTGTATCATACTTCTCTCAACAGATTGAAAATATTACCATTTCAACATGAAATCAATATAAGAAAAATTGTTGAGATATTTTATATAGGTTATTTTATAATAAGGCCTCAAAAACCATCAGGGTAGCTTACATATGTAGTACATTGCAATTTGGACAGTGAAATTTGCATTGAAAATATCTGATCTGCACTTAGACTCATAAAAGATACAGTTGACGAAGTAGACTCACATGGCCAAGTGATTCTAAACATACTTAAATGCTACCTAATAATGGAATCAAGTTTTTAAATCTGCATTTTAATAAAAATTAAACATAAAATATTCAGTGTCTCAGCTATGATAGACACACTTCAAGTGCTGATCAGCAAACGGTGTGAGTGCCAGGCAGACGGGCCAGCGCAGGCTACACAGCTGCAGCTCAAACAGCACAGCTGCAGGTCAAACAGGCCAGTCTCTCTGCGCACGGGAACAGTCTGGGCAAGCATGAGACGGGGAAAACGGGCACTGTCCTCATGAGAACAAAGGACCCACAACAGGAACCCTAGACTCACCTTCTGCCAAAGACACCAACAGCCCACGACGCAGCCTCCTCACAAAAGGGAGAGGCATTCAAGAACTTAGAAAATCACCTCTTCCTGGAAAATGCTCACTTTAAAACTTTGCATGTAACTTTAAATTTTAATTACAAAGTTGTTAACATCCATTTTCTCATGTATTCTTAATTAACTCTGTGAAAGTAAACACAGCTTTTATTCTTACTCCTATAGTTACTGTGTTGGAAGTCCACCTATATGAACAAACTGTTGCAACTGAAATTTTCTGAGAACAAATCCCAAGCTCTTTCCATTAACACAAACTATATTGTTTAGTTCTCTAATTTCCACTGGTTAAAGATCAGAATGTGTGAAATATGCATTATCAGACTAGAAAAACAAAACAAACATCGGAAAAATGTTTTTCAAAATAGCATTTACTAAAATCTATGATAGAAACTAGCTCTAAAACTTCCTGTTTCAAAATGTCACTGTGCGTCCACTAAGTTCGTTTTTCTGGCTGTGGACAGCAGGCCCACCCCACGCCACGGACCCACCCCACGCCACAGGCCCACCCCACGCCGCAGGCCCAACCCCACGCCGCAGATGCACCGTGGCCCCATGAAGAGGCCAGCTGAGAGCTGCAGCCACTGCCCAGGGCTCCCTGCTCTGTGCTCGGCTGCCTGATCAAACCTGCCAGGGCTCTGCTTTCTCTATGTGTAGAAACAAAAACCAGGAGCACGATTTGACAAAAAGCAGATTTTTATTAAACAGAGGTATAAATGTGTTTCATTTTCTAATAAATCTCTTTCACAAATCACTTTGTTTTTTCACTCTTCTTGAATGATCATTTTTAGACAACACTGTCTGACCGTTTTGGCTTCTGCCAAGGTTAGCGTCTGTTCACAGGCTGAGTCTCACTTCTTCCCACCTCCTCCTAGTCGGGCCTTCCAAAACAATGCTCACCATTCTTTCACATTGACTTTAGTTTTGAAAAGAAAAGTTATCTTACAAAGTAGTATGTATAACTCTGTAATATATAAAGTGAGGCAATGATAGAACCAGTTTTAAAAATAACCTTCCATGATGATTTTCATTTACATCCACCTGCTTATTAGCAAGAATCTTTTTACAGGTTTACTGCACGCCCCAATTTCTCTTCTGTGAAAAACTTTTGAACATCATCACGCTCTCCAACTTCTCCTCTCACCTATATCGAAAAGGGTCTGCTCTTTACCCTAAAATCTATACTAGGTAATTTTCAGAATATTCCTTCAATCATCAAACAAATTTTTGAGATCCTTGCGCTAGATTTCACTATCTTAATATGAAAACCAATAATCACCTATTAAAATACAATACAGGCCAGGCACAGTGGCTAACACCTGTAATCCCAACATTTTGAGAGGCCAAGGCAGGTGGGTCACCTGACGTCAGGAATTTGAGACCAGCCTGACCAATATGGTAAAACCCCATCTCTACTAAAAATACAAAAATCAGTCAGGTGTGGTTGCAGACGCCTGTAGTCCCAGCTACTCAGGAGGCTGAGGCAGGAAAATAGCTTGAAGCCAGGAGGCAGAGGTTGCAGTCAGCCAAGATCGTGACACTGCACTCCAGCCTGGACAACAGAGCGAGACTCCGTCTCAAAAAAAAAAAAACAAAAAACATTAGTAAGTAAATAAATAGGCCAGGCGTGGTGGCCAGTGCCTGTAATCCCAACATTTTGGGAGGCCAAGGTGGGTGGATCACCTGAGGTCGGGAGTTCAAGACCAGCCTGACCAACAAGAAGAAACCCCATCTCTGCTAAAACTACAAAATTAGTGGGGCGTGGTGGCGCATGCCTGTAATCCCAGCTGCTCGAGAGGCTGAGGCAGGAGAATTACTTGAACCAGGGAGGCGGAGGTTGTGGTGAGTCAAGATTGCGCCACTGCACTCCGGCCTGGGCAACAAGAGTGAAACTCTGTCTCAAAAAAAACAAAAAAAAGTAAATAAATAAAACACAATACAATACAGCTAATATGATTTACCTAAGAAGCTGTTGTATGAGCTGAACCAGAGGCAAACACTGTTTGCCAGAAGACTCACAGATCCCCGTATTAATAAGGTCTTTATCCAATGGAGTCCTCCTTCTATGAAATGTTGAGGCATTTGCTTCCTGTTCATCAATTTCTTTTTCCTTCTGTCCTTCTTTTTTGGCTTCAATATCCTGTAATTCATAAACAGAAATTGTTTACAAGTGATCTCATTACCAGGTGTGAAGACACATAGGCTGGCTGAGCCCTGACCCCAGTGCCAAGCTATCCCAGCCTCTGTGGCTGCCGCACACACCTACCCACAGGCCCCCACCTGCCTTGTTGGAAACCCTAACTCAGTTGTGCAGTTTCAAACAGTGTCTTCTGTTTACAGATCCAAGGTCCAGGCTGCCTCTGCTGATGCTCTCCAGCCTCCTTCTGTGAAGTCCCTAAAATCCTTAACCCTGCTACTGGCTCTCACAAAACCCAATGTGATCTGCCCCACACACGCAGCATCCAGCTGCTTTGTAAGGACAAGAAGGAGCTAGAATTCTCACACACACTGGTTCAAATGTAAATGGCAAAGCCACTTTGGGAAACTATGAACACACACTTACCCCAGGACCTAACAAATTCCACTCCAAGTGTTTACCCAAAGGGAGAACGTATGTTCACTAAAGTACTTGTTCACAGCACAATCGTGGCAGCTCTACACGGCCAAAAACCAGAAAGCCTGGGCGCAGTGGCTCACACTTGTAATCCCAAAACTTTGGGAGGCCAAGGTGGGGGGATCACTTGAGCCCAGGAGTTCAAGACCAGCCTGTGCAACATAGTAACACCTTGTCTCTACAAAAAAATAAAAAAACTAGCTGGGCATGGTGACATGCCTGTGGTCCCTGCAACACAGGAGGCTGAGGTGGGAAGATCATTTGAGCCTAGGAGGACAAGGCTGCAGTGAGCCAACATCAGGTCACTGCATCCAGCCCGGGTGACACAGCAAGACCCTGTCTCAGAAAAAAAAAAAAAAAAAAGAAAACAAAAACCAAAAACAATTACATGTCCTTCAATAGGAGAATGAACTAACAAACAGTACTACACCTATAAAATGGAAAACTTCCCAATAATA
Source organism: Homo sapiens (assembly GCF_000001405.40). Lineage (NCBI taxonomy): Eukaryota > Metazoa > Chordata > Mammalia > Primates > Hominidae > Homo > Homo sapiens. The sequence continues at coordinate 23,434,099 of NC_000015.10, read as the reverse complement.
AAAACGAAGTCGCAATGCACACAACAGTGAGCGAATCTGAAAATCATTCTCCAAGGCAAAGCAGGAAAGAGTGCATACTATACAGTTATATTGCTGTGACACTCAGAGCAGGAAAAATGAATCTAATCTCAGGGCAGGGGAGTATCCTGGCTGCAAGTGCCAAGGAGCACAGGGATCTTTCCGGGTGACGGGAATGGTCTACATGAGGAACAGGTTACCTGTTAACTTCACTGAAACAGACAACATGCAGTATTTTATCACAAATCATCTCAATAATTTTTAAAATTAGCACATAAAAGAATTTTAATTTAAAAAAATACTTGGATATAAGTTTAGTGTTTTACTGTTTTCAGTTATTCTTCACATGTGTGAGTGTGGTATTTCCGATCTCAGCCCACCACCAGGTCACGTGTGCCTCCAAGGCCATACCTGGATCTCTGCAGTAATGGCTGCGTGTAAGGCTGACTCCAACCCTCCATCAGCCATCAAGCTGCCCACCAGAAGATCAATCACCAATCGATGACCTGGACTTATGCTCACTTCATTGCCTGAAACTGAAATAGAAAGTGTGTGCCAATTTGAGTGAAACGCCATCCCCTCCCAGCACCCTGACCCATGCCCTCTCCTGTTCCTTCCCCGAGCCCACCTCCGCAGGACAGGAGAGCAGAGTGCCCGGGCCTGCTTCTCAGCGGTGGGCAACAGCATGGACCAGCCGCTCTGCAGCATGGCCTGGGAGGCCGACTGCACGGTGCTCAGCACGTCTGCGCTGCTTGCCAGGGTCACCACCTTCTGCTTCAGGCTGTTCAGGAAGACGCTGCCCAGACCTAAACCAAGGAATTCCAGGTCAACCTGGTGACTAATGGCAGCATGCAACTGAAAGGAGAAAAACAATTTTCACTTAGAACCCCTAAAAATGAGTGAATTTCAAAGTCTTATTAAACACTGAATAAAAGTCAATTTGAAGTATTATCTAAATAGACAAAATAACTTCTCAGTTTACGTATTTTTAAAAACTGGACTAAAAAAACTCTTACCCACAATAGTTGAAGTATTTTCTAGAGGAATTTTTTTTAACCCCACTATGAACACATATATGGAAAAGCTCAAGATGAGCAGAAGAGCTAAACAACTAGCAACAGCAACCTCCACCCCGCCCCAACAATCTGCACCAAACACAGAAATAATGGCTACAATGTAACCACAAAAGCTGCCACAGGCGGTGGCTCATGCCTGTCATCCCAGCACTTTGGGAGGCCGACGGGAAAGCTCACTTGAGATCAGGAGTTCAAGATCAGCCTGGCCAACATGATGAAACCCCATCTCTATAAAAAAATCAGCCGGGTGTGATGGTACACACCTGTAGTCCCAGCTACTTGGGAGGCTGAGGCAGGAGAATCACTTGAACCTGGCAGGCCAAGACTGTACCACTGCATTCCAGCCTGGGTGACAAAGTGACACCCTGTCTAAAAAAAAAAAAGAGCTGCTAAAAATTAGACTGCGGAGCTGAGAGTACACAGGGAAACTCCTCAAGTGCAAAACCAAAATTCACGTGGGCACACACAGCAGGAGTCAAGAGGTTCCGGGCTCTGAAAGCAGAGCCAAGCCGCCAGGCTTCAGCACAACCTCCCACACGGGAATGCACACAAGGACCCACTGAACTCGAGCTTCCTGCAGAAGGCTGGGAGCCACTCAGGATCACCTGCCTGCCAGCCAACCGCAGCCAGGGGGCAACACACTGCCCGTCCCAGGCTTTGGGTAGCAAGAGGCCCCATGAGAAATCAGAGACCCGGCCTTGCCCTGTGAGTAGAAGTGAAATCAAAAGCACACCGCTCATCTAGGTATAGATATCACAGGTCAGGAAATGACCACCGAAACTCACCTGGAGTCTGTGAAACCTACAGAACCCTCAGGACCCCGGAGAGGCAAATGCAAAACCATACGCTGGGACACCTCGACAGCCTAAGACATACACAAGGCCACGCCCCACAGCACTGACCAGAACAGACACATCACCGCAAACCAGGAGGGGCAGCAAACACCTGGGGCGCAACCACGCAAACGCCAGGATGCCACAGATATGGTGATAAATGAGTGCTACAGAGGACTAGAGGAGAAGCATGCTCCAGACCTCTGCTCAGTTCATTACTGCATCTAAACACTACACTCAGTTCTGTACATTCTAGAAGCAGGGCAAAAAGGGGAGGGGCTGGAAGAGGGACATGACGGGTTGTTACAAGAAACCACTGTAATAAAAGGGAAAAATTACTATGTCGAGAAAACCGTGGTTCTTGTCATTAAGTTAGAGGGTTTTATTACAAAGACAAAAGATGATGATCAAACACTTCAGCTTTAGTTTTGCTAGGGAGGAAGGCTTTTGTAGCTTTTATTTTGACCCTAACCACAGCCTTCATGGTGAGGAAAGGAAGGTATTGCTTTGGGAGCCGAGCTTACTGAGTAGATCAAGCTTGTTCAACCCACGGCCCGAGGGCAGCATGTGGCCCAGGGCAGCTTTGAATGTGGCCCAAAGTAAAATTTCTTAAAACATCATGAGATATTTTTGGGATTCTTTTTTTAAGCTCATCAGCTATCATAAGTGTATTTTATGTGTAGCCCAAGACAATTCTTCTTCCAGTGTGGCCCAGGGAAACCAAAAGACTGGACCCTCCTGGAGCAGGGTTTTCACAGGACAGAGGAGAGACAGGCCAGCACTGGTCTCTCAGCTGAGCGCTGTCTCTCTCCATCACCTGTGATCTCACCCAGTCATTTCTCCACACGCAACAACAGTAAAACAGTAAGAATACCAACAAACTAATGATTATAGCAAAAATAACACAATCCATATACACTCTTCCTGCATGCCGAGGCTGACTTCCAGGACAAACATAAAATAAACAGATCAAGTTTTTTAAGCCTTGCGTCCATTATTAGTGCATTACAATCTTACTTTAAAATACTTCCCCCAACAGGCTAAAACCTATGTCCTTCAAAATACATAAACCTTCTTACAAATCGCTAAGACACTTATAAAAGGAGCAAGAGGAAGGGAAATCACGAATACCTGAAGTCGGGGAAGATTCAGCGTTGCCACGGCCACGCACTCTTTCTCCTGGGGCGGGGGCCAGTCCGCGGAGCCATCCATCCCCTCACTCACCTGCCGAAGCAGGAGATCCAGCTGCTCAAAAGTCACTGAGCAAATATCCACCCCAAAAGGGACATGGAGGCCAATGGACCACTCAGAACACGATGACCAAGCAATGCTCTAAGAGGAAACGCAACAATCGGAAATGAATCTCCAAATGCAGCTCTTGGTCTGTCGCACAGGAGTCACCAGCTTGTGTGATGGAGCTGCCTTATATTATTACCTATCATCCCTCTAACTGCCCAGTGGAAAAGCATTCATGGGTGTCTAGCTCACACACTATCAGCTTCCAATTCTCCCACCCATTTCACTAGCCCCATCTCACTTGGCCATACCTAAAAGAGTAAAAACATTTTAAAAAATCTTTTCACTCTCAAAATGATTAATGCACATTAATGGATGGCAGGGAGGCTCTCCATCCACTTGAAGTGGTATAATAGCAACTCTAACTAGACAATGAATTGTTAGACACATATAACACACACAATATCTTTCATAGTGAGAGAACAAGTAATCGGCAAAAATCTAGGAGAACTGTAGAACACCTTCAATAAACTGGATCTAATTTATGGAACACTTCACCCAACAACAGCAAAATACATATACTTTTTTTTTTTTGAGACAGAGTCTCGCTCTGTCGCCCAGGCTAGAGTGCAGTGGCACGATCTCAGCCCACTGCAAGCTCTGCCTCCTGGGTTCACGCCATTCTCCTACCTCAGCCTCCTGAGTAGCTGGGACTACAGGTGCTCACCACCACGCCTGGCTAATTATTATTATTTTTTTAATTTTTATTTTTAGTAGAGATGGGGTTTCACCATGTCAGCCAGGATGGTCTTGATCTCCTGACCTCGTGATCCACCTGCCTTGGCCTCCCAAAGTGCTGGGATTACAGGCGTGAGCCACCGTGCCCGGCCATACATATACTTTACATATACTTTTTTTAAATTTTATTTTTTTGAGATGGAGTCTAGCTCTGTCGCCCAGGCTGGAGTGCAGTCGCATGATCTCAGTTCACTGCAAGCTCTGCTTCCCAGGCTCAAGCCAGTCTCCTGCCTCAGCCTCCCAAGTAGCTGGGACTACAGGCGCCCGCCATCATGCCCGGGTAATTTTTTTTGTATTTTTAGTAGAGACGGAGTTTCACCCTGTTAGCCAGGATGGTCTCGATCTCCTGACCTTGTGATCTGCCTGCCTCGGCCTCCCAAAGTGCTGGACCATACATATACTTTTTAAGCACATACAGACCATACATATACTTTTTACACATATATGTATACATATATGTATATACAGACCACACATATACAGACCATACATATACTTTTTAAGCACATACAGAATGTTCACTGAGAACATAACCTGACACATAAATCTTAACAAATTTAAAAGAAATGAAATCATATGCAGTTTGTTCTCCAATCACAATGGTATTAAACTAGAAATCATTAACAAAACAATCTGCAAACACTTCAAAATAAAACCACATACTTAATAATCCATGGGTCAGGCCGGGCGCACTGGCTCACGCGTGTAATCCCAACACTGTGGGAGGCCAAGTTGGGGGGATCACCTGAGGCCAGGAGTTGAAGATCAGCCTGGCCAACATGGAGAAACCCCATCTCTACTGAAAATACAAAACAATTAGCCGGGCATGGTGGCGGGTGCCCGTAGTCCCAGCTAATCAGGAGGCTGAGGCAGGAGAATCGCTTGAACCCAGGAGACAGAGGTTGCAGTGAGCCGAGATCATGTCATTGCACTCCAGCCTGGGCAACAACAGTGAAACTCCGTATTGAAGAAAAATAATAATAATAATAATAATCATCATCATCATCCATGGGTCAAAGAACAATTCTCAAAAGAAATTAGAAAATATTTTGAACATAAATGAAAATGCACCAAAATTTGTGGGGTTAATTAAAGCACTGCTTAGAGGAAAATTTATTGCATCAAATCATTATATATTACAAAAAAGATAGGTCTAAATCAGCAATCTAAGTTTCCACCTTAAGAAACCAGAAAAAGAGCAAAGTGAACGCAAAACAAGCCAAAGGAACAAATGCCAAGATAAAAGCAGAAACTAATGAGATTGAAAGCAAAAAAAGAAGGGAAAAATTAATGAAACTTAAAGATCATTCTTTGAAAAGATCAACAAAATTGAAAAACTCTAGGAAAACTGACAAAGAAAAAAACAGAAAAGATACAAATTATCAGTATCAGGAATGAATGAAGGGACATCACTGCAGGCCCCACAGACTTCAGACGGTTAGCAAGAGAACACTAAGGAAAACTTGACACTTAAAAATCAGACAACTTAGATGAAATAAAGCAATGTCCGAGTGCCACAAACCAGGAAAATCCTCCTAGAAACAAACAGGTTACCTGAATAGTTCTGTATCTGTTAAATAAATTGAATTTGTAAAAAATTTTTTTTTTTTTTTGAGCCGGAGTCTCACTCTGTCACCCAGGCTGGAGTGCATTGGTGCAATCTCAGCTCTCTGCAATCTCTGCCTCCCAGGTTCAAGTGATTCTCCTGCCTTAGCCTCCTGAGTAGCTGGGATTACAGGCGCACACCACCAAGCTCGACTAATTTTTTGTATTTTTAGTAGAAACGGGGTTTCACCATGTTAGCCAGGCTGGTCTCAAACTCCTGACCTCAGGTGATCCACCTGCCTCGGCCTCCCAACGTGCTGGGATTATAGGCACGAGCCACCGCACCAGGCCAACCACTTCTAACTACAAGGGAAGCTGAGATACTAATGTCCAGGAAAGGGAAAGGGATTGCTGCGATGGGACCAGAACCCTCATGACGTGGCCCCTGGAGCTGGGCACATGTGCTTCCTTCCTTCTTGGTAGCACTCATCACAGCTGCAATCTGGTCTTAATGTGGACCTGTGGTTGTTCGGTGTTTGTCTCCCATGGACTAGGAGCCCCTTGAGGGCAGGACCTGCTTGTACATTCTCCTCCATGTCCCTAGTCCTGGATCTGGCACACAGAAGGTACTCAGATCACAGATTAACTGAATAAATGAACAAGTGAATGATCTAAAGAAGTCTCCTTCTTGGCCAGGTGCAGTGGCTCACACCTGTAATCCCAGAACTTTGGGAGGCCAAGGTGGGCAGATCACTTGAGGTCAGGAGTTGGAAACCAGCCTGGCCAACATGGTGAAACCCCACCTCTACTAAAAATACAAAAATTAGCTGGGCATGGTGGCGGGCACCTGTAATCCCAGCTACTCAAGGGGCTGAGGCACAAGAATCACTTGAACCCGGGAGGTGGGGGTTGCAGCGAGCTGAGATTGTGCCACTGCACTCCAGCCTGGGCAACAGAGTAAAACTGTGTCTCAGAAAAATAAAGAAGTCCCCTTCTCTTTTGGGCTGACAGATGAAATCTGAAGTCTCTTTGAGCTCCAACATCCTACAGCTGGTTGGCCAGGCTAAAACCACTCTTTATGGAGTGTCTACCATGCACACTAATAAATGTATGTGCTGGGTGCAGTGGCTCATGCCTGTAGTCTCGGGATGATGGCTTGAGGCCAGGAGTTTAAGACCAGCCTGGGCAACATAGCAAGACCCCATTTCTACAAAACAATTTAAAAACTAGCTGGGAGCCAGGTGCGGTGGCTCACACCTATAATCCCAGCACTTCAGGAGGCCGTGGCAAGCAGATCATCTGAGGTCAGCCATTCAAGACCAGCCCGGCTGACATGGTGAAACCCCATCTCTGTTAAAAATACAAAAATTAGCTGAGCGTGGTGGTAGGCACCTGTCGTCCCAGCTACTTGGGAGGCTGAGGCAGGAGAATCGCTTGAATCTGGGATGCAGAGGTTGCAGTGAGCCAGGACTGCGCCATTGCACTCTAGCCTGGACGACAAGAACAAAACTCCATCTCAAAAAAAAAAAAAGATTTTTCTTATATGTAGAAAAAAATCCAAATCACCTTTCCACAGCCTGCTTTCAGCTAATGACTGAGCACAAATTTTTACAGACACAGACTCAATCCCCATTATTTGTGGATTCTGTATTTGCAAGTTCACCTACTTATTAGAATGTATTTGTAACCTCAAAAATCAACACTCGAGGTGCTTTCAAGGTCATTCACAGACAAGTGCAAGTGGCAAAAAATTTCCAGGATCTGAGGGGCATGTTCCCAGCTGAGGTTTCAGAAGATCTCACACTGCCTTCCGATCTCAGCTCTCACATCGCAAACAAGTATCCTTTTCATGGTTGGCTTAGTGCCAAATTTTTCCCATTTTTGTGCTTTCTGCAGTCGTGTCAATGTTTAGAATGACCCCCATGTGCAGTGAGAGCAAGGCAGGAGTGACTACGTTACAGAGAAAACACATGTGTTAGAGAGGGTTTGTTCAGGCATGCGTTAGTGCTGTTGCCTATGGACACGTATGTGTTTAATTATTTTTCTTTTCTTTTCTTTTTTTTTTTTTTTTTGAGACAGAGTCTCGCTCTGTTGTCCAGGCTGGAGTGCAGTGGCGCGATCTCAGCTCACTGCAAGCTCCATTTCCCGGGTTCACACCATTCTCCTGCCTCAGCCTCCCTGAGTAGCTGGGACTACAGGCGCCTGCCACCATGCCCGGCTAATTTTTTGTATTTTTAGTAGAGACGGGGTTTCACTGTGTTAGTCAGGATGGTCTCGATCTCCTGACCTTGTGATCTGCCCACCTTGGCCTCCCAAAGTGCTGGGATTACAGGCGTGAGCCACCGTGCCTTGCCTATTTTTCTTTTTGACAGAGTCTCACTCTGTCGCCAGGCTGGAATGCAGCAGCACAATCTCGGCTCACTGCAACCTCCGCCTCCCGGGTTCAAGCGATTATCATGCCTCTGCTTCCCAAGTAGCTGGGATTACAGGCATGCGCCACCACTCCCAGCTAATTTTTGTATTTTTAGTAGAGATGAGGTTTCACTGTGTTGGCCAGGCTGGTCTCAAACTCCTGAGCTCAAGCCATCTGCCCACCTCAGCCTCCCAAAATACTAGGATTACAGGCATGAGCCACCGCACCCAGCCAACATGTTCGATGTTAATGAATCACTTATATATTAAATAAAGTGTCTACAGAGAAACACATAAAACCAGGTTAGGTATTGATTGGTTGATGAAAATGTGACCAGAGGCTTGTAAGAACTTAACCTGTATTTCTCCCTAGAAGCAATGGCTCCAGATCTGCTAATTCAGTGTTTGCAGGGAGTTTACCACTAATAAGCATCCACTATGTGTAATGCATGTCATCTACCATTCCCATTACTCAGGTGAGAAACAGGCTTGGAAGACTTCCATGACTTTCCAAGGTCACAAGGCTAGCTGTCCTCTGATACAGGACTTGAGCCCGAATCTGAGAATGATAGTTCCACAGCTCCTGCCCCAGAGTCCAGGCATCCGGAAGCACTGGTGGTGGGGTTGCTGCTTAACAGCTCTGCCGGGCTGCCTGCCCCACTCTCCAAACACCCACGCGGCTGTAAGGAGCCTCGTCCGTCCCCTGACCTGGCCACTGAACAGGTGCAGGCAGAAGGCAGGGACATGGGTAGAGGGGCAGGCAGGCATGAGATAAGACCACCTTATCCAAGACCATCTGCTAGAGATACAGGGGCAGAAAAGAGCCCAGCAGGTTTCCGGCCACCCTGTTGCTGATTACAGAGGGTGACCCATCGTCAAGGGAGGCACAGAGAGGCTGGGTCTGAACCCTACCCTGCACCTGCAAGCTGTGACCTCAAGCAAGTCCCTGGATGCCCCAGTCTCTGTTAACTTATCTGTGAGACTGGTGCTAACTCCAACTCTTTTTTTTTTTTTTGAGATGGAGTCTCACTCTGTCGCCCAGGGTGGAGTGCAGTGGCGCAATCTTGGCTCACTGCAACCTCTGCCTCCGGGATTCAAGTGATTCTCCTGCCTCAGCCTCCCGAGTAGCTGGGATTACAGGTGCCCACCACCATGCCCAGCTAATTTTTGTATTTTTAGTAGTGACAGGGTTTCACCATGTTGGCCAGGATGGTCTTGATCTCTTGACCTCGTGATCCACCCGCCTTGGCCTCCCAAAGTGCTGGGATTACAGGCGTGAGCCACCGCGCCCAGCCTAACTCCACCTCTTAGAAGAGCTGAGAGGCACACCTAAGACAGTTCATCTTGAATTTTGGTGGTTGAGCAGGCACAGGGATTTACCTGAGCCCATGAGCAACCTCTGTGAGAGACGTGAGCCTCATCGCCCCCGTCCATTTCACAGATCAGGAAGCTGGGGCTCAGCACTGGTGCCCACAATGAGCCAGGCCCTCACCACTGCCCTGCACCTTCCTCCTGGACTGTCATGTGAGCACAGGGTGGGGGTGAGACAGTGCAGTACCCAGACCCCTGGAGGACAAGGAGGAAGACCAGAGGGGGCCCTGGTCTCTGTCACAACCCCCCTCTATTGCCAGTTTCTCACTAAAGTGAAGATACACAGGACTAGGCACAGCCTTGGGTCTGTTCATTCTGCAGATTCTACAAACATTCATCCATCACCCGCTATGGACCAAGCACTAGGTTGAACCAAGTGACACACGGATGCTGGTGCCCAAAAGGTCACAGTACAACATGACTCAGAAAGAGCCACATGTGGGGGCTTGTGAGGCCTAATGCGAACACATCTTCAAGGAACACAGAGCACTGTCGCCGTTTCACCTGCAGAACCAGCACATTGCCTTGGAGGCCACAGTCCGAAGGGCCATCAGGGGTCCCAAAGTCACACAGTAGAGGGCAAATGAGGGGAACCCGGGTGTGGAGGAAGGCATCTTCTAGAAGAGGGGTCAGCAAATTATAGCCCACAGGCCAAATCTAGCTGCTCTTCGATTTTTTTTTTTTTTTTTTGAGACAGTCTTCCTCTGTCACCCAGGCTGGAATGCAGTGGCGCAATCTCCACTCACTGCAAGCTCCGCCTCCTGGGTTCACGCCATTCTTCTGCCTCAGCCTCCCAAGTAGCTGGGACTACAGGCACCCACCACCATGCCTGGCTAATTTTTTGTATTTTTAGTAGAGATGGGGTTTCACTGTGTTAGCCAGGATGGTCTTGATTTCCTGATCTCGTGATCCACCCACCTCGGCCTCCCAAAGTGCTGGGATTACAGGCGTGAGCCACCGCGGCTGGCCTGATTTTGTAAATAAAGTTTTATTGGCACACAGCCATACCCCCTCATTTACGTATTGCATATGGCTGCCTTCCAGCTACAACTGCAGCCTTAAGAGTTGTCATGGCCCACGAGGCTTAAAATATTTACTATGTGGCCCTTTATGGAGAAAGTGTGCCCACACCTGTTCTGGAAGGTCAGTTGCATGAGGTTAGAACTTCATCAGTTTCATGGTCTGCCATCTCCCGAGCACCCGTCACAGTGCCCAGTCCAGAGCAGATGCTTATAAAGTGATGGGAGGCTGCTTGTGTCACATTCTAATTCTGTGACCATGAGCTAGTTAAGTACTTATTGGAAAATGCATCTTCCAATCAAGTAGGAAGGCGTCCAGCCCCACCTCCAGCCCTTGACAACACAATGGAGAATAAGGAGGTGCAGCCCTGGACCCCCTTCTGGTCTCCTGGCCCGCGGGTAGCTCATCTCCTACCCTGCCCTTGGTGTCCTGGGGCTGCCCTGCAAGCCTAGCCAGGCCTGTGAATCATCAGGACTGACTCACTGTCTAAAAATACATATTGTCTCATGTTGGCGGGTGCTGCTTTGATCACTGTTTGCACTCAATCTAGTCTTTTTCTGCTTGACTTTGAGGTCTTCGTGGGCAAGGTCTGAGTTTTCGCCACTCTGAGTCCCCAGGGCCAGGTTCCTGCTGCAGCCTGGAGCCAGAAAGGAATCTGGGAGGAAGAGGTTGTGTGTTGGGGCCAGCAGACTAGGGGACAGATTCTGCCCTGCCACTCATTTGCTGTGCAACCCTCAGCAAAGCACCCAACCTCTCTGAGCCCTAGCTTCCCCATCTGTGAAGTGGGGATCACAAGGCCCATCCTGCAAGGTGGTTTCCAGGGTGAAAGTAGAAAAGGAGGCCTGTTCCTACAGCCTGTGTGTCTTGGGAGGCACTGCTCGTCATCTGTGATCCTTTTCTACCTGATTACAGGAAACGGGAGTGATCCGCTCACTGACCCCTGGCTGGGCTTTTCTCTGCCAGTGAAATCATCTGAAATTGTCCAAGGAAATCAGGAACCTGAGCCGAAGCCAAGTCACCGAGCTTGGTGCCAAGCACTGGGGGAACTCCGGTTACAGAAAAAAGTGGAATCCACAGGCCCCAGGCTGAACATGGAACTAATTTGGGAGGCAATGAGAAGGAGCAGAACATAAGGTGGAGCCTGGGAGGCAGGTCTGCCCCGAGCCAGGATGCCGTCCAGGTGGGGTATCTGGGGCTCCTTGAAATTTTCGAGGTCCTGCTTCTGAAGTGGGGAGAGCCAGGACATGATGGGGACCCACTTTGGGATCTCTGAGTCTGGCTGTGCAGAGACTCAGGGCATGGGCCTGGGGTCGGAGCAACTGCAATCACATCCTGACTTGCCCCCTCGATGCTGTGTGACCCGGGGCCTGTCACTTCACTTCTCTGAGCCTCAGCTGCCGCATCTGTGAATGTACGATCTAGGGATCCCTTGCTCAGAGGGCTGCTTCAAAGAAGGCTCAGTACCATGCCAGGCACGTAAGCCACTCTCAGGAAATCAGACATGTCGAGACATGACATGGAGGGTGGGGGGCAGCATTGGAGGAGCAAAGACCAGTAACATCTCCCTCATTCATCTGTTCGTTCAGCAGATACTTACAGAACATGCAACCTACGACAGACTGGGGAACACAGGAGGGAACAAGACAGACCTAGCCCCACCCAAAAGGAAACAAATAGTGTGTATCTAATTGTAATCATCCTATGAAGGATAAGAACAGGGTGCTTGGATAAAAAAATAACTGGGGTGGGCCAGGCGTGGTGGCTCATGCCTGTAATCCCAGCACTTTGGGAGGCCGAGGTGGGCGGATCACCTGAGGTCAGGAGTTTGAGACCAGCCTGGCCAACATGGCAAAACCCCATCTCTACTAAAAGATACAAAAATTAGCCAGGCATGGTGGTGGGCACCTGTAGTCTCAGCTACCGGGGAGGCCAAGGTGGGAGGATCGCTTGAACCCGGGAGGTGGAGGTTGCAGTGAGCTGAGACCGTGCCACTGCACTCCAGCCTGGGCGACAGAGTGAGACTCTGTCTCAAAAAAAAAAAAAAAAAAAAAAAAAAAAAGAAAGAAAGAAAAGAAAAAGTAAAAGTAAAGAGACAATGCACCCAAAATTTTGACGGATGGATGTGCGATCACTCAAATTTAGTAAAATGTTAGTGAGTTGATGTTGCTGTTTCAAAATTTTCATAATAAAATGTTGGGGGAAAGTAACAAAACCAAGAAAAAAAAGAGGTAGATACAAATTCTTTAACGGCTCTCCTTTCCTACAGAACAGTGTCCAGGTGCTTAGCTGGGCAGCCACCCCACAAATCCTTGCCTCACGCCCCAAACTCACTCTAAGTGTGTAGCCCTGGGCACACCCTCAAACCTCTCTGAGGCTGCAGTCCTGGTTTCGTAGGAAGTGAGAGGCCCTCCTCCGGGAGAGGCGAGGCTGAGATGCACACAGCTGTTTTCAGAGCAGCAAGGCCACTTCAGCAACACCCAGAACTTAGGGAGGACCTGGTCAACCAGTCTTACTGGGGCCTGGGAGACTCCCCACTGACACAAACTCCCTTCCTGTTTGCACTGGGGACGTTCAGTCCCTTGGATGATCCATTCACTGGTCCAATAGATATTTTCTGTGTGCCAGGCCCTGCACGGGGCACTGCAGTGTGAAGTCTGTCAGGTTCTTCCCTTTAAAGAACACCCCCAAGACACAGACAGATCCAATCCAGTGAGACACACACTCCGAGGGAGCCGATTCCAGCACCACAGCACAAATCCTGCAAATTCCAGCCTGGATAGACGCCAAGCCGCACGGCCAGGCCTCAGACTGACTCCCGCCTCAGTCTGGAACCTCAGCACAGGAAGGACCCTCGTGTTGGGATGTCCAGGCCCCGCCCCAGCCCTATGGCCCCTGCCCCTCCTCAATGAACTAACTTGAGCTCCCCGCCCTCTGGGGACAGAAGCCCCCCAGTGAGTCTGCTGCAGTCACAACAAAAGGTAATGGGGGCCAGGCGCAGTGGTTCACGCCTGTAATCCCAGCACTTAGAGGTTGAGGTGGGCATATCACTTGAGGTCAGGAGTTTGAGACCAGCCTAGCCAACATGGTGAAACCCCATCTCTACTAAAAGTACAAAAATTAGCCGGCAGTGGTGGCATGCACCTGTAATCCCAGCTACTCAGAGGCAGGAGAATCACCTGGACCCGGGAGGCGGAGGTTGCAGTGAACCGAGATCACACCACTGCACTCCAGCCTGGGTGAGAGAGGGAGACTCCGTCTCTAAAAAAAGCAATGGGGTTGTGGTGTCCACTTGGGAAGAGCTGGGGAGGCAAAGGGAATAGGAATGATCTACTCCCCTGCCAGCCAGGCTGAGGCTGTGATCCAGCACAGAGGACCGGAGTCAGGACAGCTTAGAGGGGCCCACCCAGTTTAGAGATCACGTTCTCCAATTCGGCCAGAATTATACCTACGTCCTCCTCAAGCGAGGCATGGGCCCAGAAATTATGCTTAGGGTCTCCTTCCAGCTTCACGACAGCCTCAGGAGGTAGATGCTGTCATGACCCCCACTTTGTAGGCGGGGAAACTAAAGTTCAGAGAAGTCTCATAACTTGCCCCAGGTCACACAGAGCCAGCCATGGCCACTGCCTCTACTTAAACAAGAGCAACAACAATCATGACAGCTGGAGTCACTTTACATGCATTATCTCATTTGACCAGAAGTAGGAAAACTTCTTGTCTCCATTTTACAGAGCAGAAAACTCAAGTTCAGAGAGACTCAATAACTTGCCTGAAACAACTGAATGGGAAGATGGCAGAGCCAGCCTACGACAAACAGGATAACAATAAGAATGGCAGCTATATTCATTCTGTATTGCTGCTCCAACAAGCTTCCACAAACTTAGTGACTTAAAATAAGATACATTTATTCTCTTACCGTTCTGGAGGTCCGACGTCTAAAATCAAGGTGTCAGCAGAGCTTGTTTCCTCCAGGGCGTTCTGAGGGAGAATCTGAGTCCTTGTCTTTTCCCGATTCTACAGGCCTGCCGCAGAGCAGGTGCCTCCACCTTCAAAGCATGCATTCCACCCTCTGCTTCCAGCCTCACATCTCACATTTCTTCTTGCCCTGCCCACCATCTCTTATAGGGACCATTGTGGCCAGGTGTGGTGACTCATGCCTGTAATCCCAGCACTTTGAGAGGCCAAGGCCACCTGAGGTCAGGAGTTCGAGACCAGCCTGGGCAACATGGGGAAACCCCCATCTCCACTAAAAATACAAAAAGTAGCTGGGCATGGTGGTGCACACCTGTAATTCCAGCTACTCAGGAGGCTGAGGCAGGAGAATCGCTTGAACCCAGAAGGCAGAGGTTGCAGTGAGCCGAGATCGAGCCTGCACTCCAGTCTGGGCAACAGAGTGAGACGCTATCTCAAAAAAAAAAAAAAAGACCCTTGTGATTGCATCATTGGGCCCCTCGGGGATAATCCAGGTGAATTCCTTCGTCTCAGGAGACTTAATTTGATCACACCTGCAAAGCCCCTTTTACAATGTAAATTACCACTTTCACAGGTTCTGGGGATTAGGATGTGGACCTCTTTGGGGGACCATGAGTCCATCCACCGCATTAGCTAACATTCATGGAGCTCTTGCTAAGTGTCAGGCCCTGTGCTGAGCATTCTGCATCATTTTCGACCTGCACATCTCACACTTTTTAAAATGTTTTATTTACATAAATTTATGGGGTACAAATACAATTTCATTACATGCATAGATTGTGTAATAGTCAGGTCAGGGCTTTTAGGATCTCCATCATCCCGATAACATACATTGTACCCATTCAGTGATTTCTTTTAGTTGTTGTTGCTTGCTGCTGTGTTTTTTTGAGACAGAGTCTCGCTCTGTCACCAGGCTGGAGTGCAGGCTCAATCTCGGCTGACTGCAACCTCCACCTCCCGGGTTCAAGCTATTCTCCTGCCTCAGCCTCCTGCGTAGTTGGGATTACAGGTGCCCGCCACCACGCCCGGCTAATTTTTGTACTTTTAGTAGAGACGGGGTTTTGCCATGTTGGCCAGGCTGGTCTCGAACTCCTGACCTCAGGTGATCCACCTGCCTCAGCCTCCCGAAGTGCTGGGATTACAGGCGTGGGCCACCGTGCCCAGCCTATTTTTGTTTTTTTAAACAGGTTCTCATTTTGTCACCTAGGATGAAGTACAGTGGTGCAATCATGGCTCACTGCAGTCTCTATCTCCCAGGCTCAAACGATCCTCCCATCTCAGCTTCCTGAGTAGCAGGGACTACAGGTGCGTGCCACCATGCCCAGCTAATATTTTGCATTTTTTGTAGAGATGGGGTCTTGCCATGTTGCCCAGGCTGGTCTTGAACTCCTGGGCTCAAGTGATCCTCCTGCTTTGGCCTCCCAAAGTGCTAAGATTACAGGTGTGAGCCACCTCACCTGGCAGCCATTAAACTATTTCTCATGGTTCACAGTGGTGGATGAACTGCCAGAATTTACATTCACTCTCCTGAATCTCCATTGTTTATTATTCCACTCTCTGTGGAGCCATGTGTATGCATTTTTTAGCACCCACTTGGGAGTGAGAACATGCAATATTTGTCTTTCTGTATCTGGCTTATTTCACTTAAGATAATGACCTCCAGTTCCATGCATGTTGCTACAAAAACATCTCACACTTTAATGTACACACAGATCACCTGGGGGTCTTGCTAAAATACAGATTCTGGTTCAGTAGGTCTGGATTTCTAACAAATGTCCAGGTGATACTGAGCTATTGGTCCAGAGACCACTCTTTTTTATTTTATTTTAATTTTATTATTTTTGAGACAGAGTTTCACTCTTGTTGCCCAGGCTGGAGTGCAGTGGCGCGATCTCGGCTTACTGCAACCTCCACCTCCCGGGTTCAAGCGATTCTCCTGCCTCAGCCTCCCAAGTAGCTGGGATTACAGGTGCCCACAACCATGACAGCTAATTTTTGTATTTTTAGTAGAGACAGGGTTTCCCCATGTTGGCCAGGGCGGTCTTGAACTCCTGACGTCAGGTGATCCACCCCCCCTTGGCCTCCCAAAGTGCTGGGATTACAGGCGTGAGCCACCGCGCCCAACCCCCAATTGTTTTTTCATAAAATAAAAATCAAAATGCAAAAATCATTGTTAGTTTAACGTCCATGCAAAAATAGACGGTCAACCAGATCTGGCCTGTGAGCCACAGGATGCAGACCCTTGTTCTACAATGCCAGTTCCAGGAGGGCATGTCTGCCTGTCTGTCTGATTATGTTTCCTGAAGTATCACTTGCGTCTAAAACAGTGCCTGGCATCTAGTAGCTGCTCAAAAAATATTTGCTGAATGAAAGCGCAATTCCTCTTGTTTAATTCTTACAACTGCTTTACCAAGGGGTTACATAGATGAATATTGTGTTACAGAGGAAGAAATGATGAGAGTAATGTCTCTGCATTTATCGACGGGAAAACAGGCACAGAGATGGCATGTTGCAGCCTGTGCAGCTGGTCTCCTAGAGGAAGCAAAAGCACTGTGATCCTCCTCAGCAGTTCGAGAACCTCCTCCCCAACAGATCCCCCGGTCCCCAGGCGGCTCGAGGCTCCCCGACCCTGAAGCTGGAGACCCCACACCCAGGCAGTCCGAGGCCCCGCCCCTGAAGCATGAGGCCCCGCCCCCAGCCGGCCCGAGGCCCCGTCCCCAGACAGCTTGAGGCCCCGCCCCCAAACAACCTGAGGCCCCACCCCCAGGCGGCTGGGGCCCCGCCCCTGCAGCCCGAGGCCCCGTCCCCAGTGGGCTCGAGTCCTCGCTGGACCAAGCGCCACAGAACTGGGTGCGTCCCCACCACAGCAGGTCCGGGACCCCTCACGCCAGCCACATCTCGGGCCAGGCCTCGCGGAGCTCTCACTGGCAATCAAAAGCAGCAATACATTCTCTCCTATGTTTGTTGGAAGCAGCAAACAGCCCGGCCCAGCCAGCTTGGGCAACCAGGCCTCACTCCACAGGGCGGGGCGCAGGTCAGGGGACACTGGCAAGGATGTTTCCAAAGCCCGGCAGGTCAGGGCCTGGCACGCAGATCCCCTTCAGGGGCCAGTCTGGTAACATAGACATGTGAAACGGGTGGAGTTGAAACCACAGGCGCCAAATGGCCGCTACTGCCACAGGCAGTGACACCTGTCCAGTTTCGGGGCTTTTTAAAGCCCTCTGTGGCGGAGACAACGCATCAGAGAGACCCACGTGGCTGAAAGCTTGTTGGTTTCACAGAGGGCGCCTCCCACTTCATGGCCTTTGCTCATGCCGTCCCTTCGGCCTGGGATGTTCTTCTTGCAAAACCATTCTTAGTTCCTAATCCCTGCAAAAACACTCGGCCAACGAGATCTGGGCCGTGAGCTGCATGTGCAGACCCCTGTCAGCCCCATTAGCTAACTCTTTCTCTGACTTCAAGTCTCAGAGAATTCTTCCCCAACACAGGCACCCTGCACCTCCCTTGTCACAGGGCAATTTCACATTTGTTTGCTTACTTGATCAGTGTCTGTCTACCCTTGTATTCCTTTCCCAGGGCTACAGTAACAAATTATCATAAAGCTTAAAACCACAGAATGTATTGTCTCACAGTTGTGGGGAACAGAAGTCCAAAACCAAGGTGTTGGCAGGGTTGGCTCCTTCTGGAGGTTCGCAGGGAGAATCGGATCCATGCCCGTCTCCTGGTTGATGGTGGCTCCTTGGCTGGTGGCAGCATCACTGCAATCTCTGCCTTTCTCATCACACAGCGCTCTCCCTGTATGCATCCGTGTGCCAGGGTCCCTCTTCGTATAAGAACCCCAGTCGTACCACATATGGGGCCGATCCTAAAACAGTATGACTTCATCTTATCTTGACAACATCTGCAAAGACTCCATTTCCAAATAAGGTCATATTTGCAGGTTCCAGGTGGATGTGAATTTTGGGAGGACACTGTGTAACCCAGGAGAGCCCCTGTGTGTGGGGGGTCCGCTTACACTGTGCCTGGAAGGTAGGCTGAAACCCTTCACTCACTTGCCACCAGTCCCCTGGCCTGATCTCTGCTGGGGTGAGAGGGTGACTGTGAACAAGACGGGGAGGAGAAATGGTCCAGGAGTGCACTGACCAGGGCAGGAGCTGGTGGTGAGGGCACAGTGGGTACTTGATGTCTCAGTCTGTGTGGCTTCCTTTCCTCCTCTGCTTGATGGCAGGGCCCGGAGTTTCTTCTGAAGCTTTGCTCCTCCCCACCTCCTGGTTCACGGGGTTTGGGTAGAGATGATGCCATTCCTAGGTCTGGAGATGGCCGTGTGTCCCAGGCCTGGCCAATCAAACAATGCTTCTACCTCACACAGTGACCAGTTCAGGACTGGACAGATGACCCAGTCATTGCCAACGGAGTCTCGTTCTGTTGCCCAGGCAGGAGTGCAGTGGTTTGATCTCGGCTCACTGCAACTTCTGCCTGCCAGGTTCAAGTGATTCTTCTGCCTCAGCCTTGCAAGTAGCTGGGATTACAGGCATGTGCCACCACGCCCAGCTAATTTTCATGGTTTTTTGTTTTTTTTTTTTTAAGTAGAGACAGGGTTTCACTGTGTTGGCCAGGCTGGTCTCGAACTCCTGACCTCAAGTGATCCACCCACCTCAGCCACCCAAACTGCTAGGATTACAAGTGTGAGCCACCAAGGCCAGCCTCAACTTGGGCTTCTGATGGAACTTATCCTTAAGTAGCTGAGCCCTTGGCTATATGCCTCTTGTCCTGCGCAGCCACCTTGCCACTATGAGGAGGGAACCAATGCTCGAATGTAACCCCTGCAGAGAAAACTGAAACCAACAGCCAGGAGAGGGACTCCCGATGCCACATGTGGGTGCCTTGATCCAGCCGTTCCTGAAGCCACACCTATGCTTACACTTTTTGGTTACATGGCCCAGTGAGTACCCTTTTTGCTTAAGCCAGTTTGAGTTGGTTTTCCATCGGAGATAACAGAGTGAAGTGATATGTAATGTGAAAGCCACATTGGATCCCAGGACTGTTACGGAAACTGAGGTTTGGTGTGGCTGGGCCACTTTCATTGAGGTCACAGCTCTGACTTGGCAGCAGGCACTGAACTACACAAAGCAGGGTTCCTGTTTAATAGGCGATAAGGAACAATTACAGTGTCAAGAGGTGAGGCCAATTTGAGCATTTCAGTCCCCAAGCATACCCAGGAGGGCTAGACTCAAGAAGAGAAACTTCGGCGTGGCTCTAGATGCCGGAGAGAAGGGTTTGGGGTGAGGTGGGGAGATGGAAGTGGATGTGCTGATTTGGGTACCGTCCCCAAGCCTGAGAAGGAGCCTGGGGCTTGGCAGAGTCCCAAGAAAAGACAGGGGGTGTGAGGGCCCTTGGTACTAAGAACAGAGCCAGGCAAGGTGGCTCATGCCTGTAATCCCAGCACTTTGGGAGGCTGAGGCAGAAGAATCGCTTGAGGCCAGGAGTTTGAGACCAGCCTGGGCAACATAGCAAGACCCTGTCTTTACAGAAAATTAAAAATTTAAAAATTTAAAAATTAGCCAGGTGTGATGGTGCACGCTTGTAGTCCCAGCTACTCAGGAGGCTGAGGTGGGAGGATTGCTTGTGCCCACGAGTTTGAGGTTGCAGTGAGCTATGAGATTGAACCACTGCACTCTGGCCTGAGCAACACAGCCAGACTCTGTCTCTATAAAAAAAAAAAATGCTAAGAATAAGGCTCTTTCTGGCTGCTAGGAAGGGCCCCGGTCCCTAAGCTTGGCTCATGAGCAATGGAGCTGCCACCTTTGAGGGCTCCTGGAGCTTGGAGTCAGGGCACAGAGTAGGCCCAGTGTGAATTTGAGCCTGGAGGGCCTTTCCACACATACCTGACCCAATATGCTCCTGAGACCTTCTCCCAGCTCTGGGGAGCGACGGCAGGGAGCCCTGGTATTAAATAATTGTGGCTAGGTCCAAGCATGGTGGCTCATGCCTGTAATCCTAGCACTTTGGGAGGCTGAGGCAGGTGGATCGCTTGAGGCCAGGAGTTCAAGACCAGCCTGGACAACGTGATGAAACTCCATCTCTACTAAAAATACAAAAATTAGGTGTGGTGGTGCACAGCTGTAATCCCAGCTACTCAGGAGGCTGAGACAGGAGAATTGCTTGAACCCAGGAGGCAGAGGTTGCAGTGAGCCGAGATCACGCCACTGCACTCCAGCCTGGACGCCAGAACAAGACTCCGTCTCAAAAATAAACAAATAAGTAAATAAAATAAATGATTGTGGTTCACAACACATTCCATTTAATTTAGAAAAAAATAATGTATTATGGCTTTAAAAAAAAAAACAGAGTCTTGTTCTGTTGCTCAGGCTGGAGTGCAGTAGTGTAATCATAGCTCACCACAGCCTTGAACTTCTAGGCTCAATCAATCTTCCTGCCTCAGCCTCCCAAGTAGCTGGAACTATATGTGCACACCAACACACCCGGCCATTTTTTTTTTTTGGTAGAGATGGGGTCTTGCTGTGTTGCCCAGGCTGGTCAGGGGCTCCTCAAGCAACCCTCCTGCCTTGGCCTTCCAAAATACTGGTATTATAGGCATGAGCCACTGCGCCTGGCTAGATTGTAATGTTTTCACAACCCATGTTTGTGGAGTGAAACTTATGTGTGTGATTAATGCTCAGGGATTCCACCAGGAAGGCTGGGGGCCACTCCCCTGACAGCCTCTGGAAACCCCACCCCTAGACTGTCCTCAGCTACTCAACTGCATCTCTTAACCCCTGCAAAGCACTTAGAGCAATGCCTTGTGTGTAGCAAGGTGGCATAAGAGCCTGCTCTTACTATTGCCGTTTTCATTCCATCTAGCACTTTACAAGCTTCAGGCAAGAAGTCCTAGATTCATGAAACACCAGCATGTCCTCCTGGGAAGAAAAGGCTCTTGGAGAGCCGAGCTTATGACAGAAAAGAGACATCAACAAATTCTTCTCCTAATATTGCTTGCTTGATTGATTGATTGAGACAGGGTCTCACTCTGTTGCCCAGGCTGGAGTGCAGTGGTAAGATCACAGCTCCCTATAGCCTCAACTTTTCAGGCTCAAGCAGTCCTCCTGCTTCAGCCTCCTGAGTAGCTGGAACCACAGACACCTACCACAATGCCTGGCTAATTTTAAAATGTCTTGTAGAGATGAGGTCTCGACATATTGCCCAGGCTGGTCTCAAACTCCTGAGTTCAAGCAGTCTGCCCATCTTAGCCTTCCAAAGCGCTGGCACTACAGGTGTGAGCCACGGCACCTGGCCTCCTCCTAATGTTTAAAGAGAAAAATATAAAGATGCATCGGTGAGTCCCAGGACGCTTCCCATCACTAACCTCTCTCTCCTTGGGCCACTGACTTGCTGTCCAAACAGTGCACCACGGTCATGATTCATGTGCTTTAGCCATATCCAATGGCTACCCAGCTCCTCCTGCAGTCTCGAAGCTGAGGCCTTCCCTTAGGAAGGGAAGGGACCCCTCTTTAGGGGTCCAGATTTTCCCTCCAGCTTCATAGCAAATCCCATTACCCACCCACAAATGAGAGCAAGCCCACCCTCCCCTCCCACCTGGATTCCCCCATCCAGCGTGAGACACCTGTCCACCCAAGTCCCTGCTAGCTTCCGGTTGACATTGACTCTCCCATTCAGAAAGCGCAAGAGAAGAGGATATTGATGTCTCCCTGCAAACACATGATCGCCGTGGAGATGGAGATGGGCATGCCTGGAGAGCAATGGGGCTGGAGACCCGGCTGAGGGAGGGGAAGCCATCCCGAAATGAATCCTGGAGTGGGTTGGGACCCTGTGTGGATACACTGCGACTGATTGCTTGTGCGCATGCAGCTTCAGCTCCAGGGTTACAAGGCCACCAGATGAGGTCTGGAAAGGTGAGTGCTGGGTCGTTGCCATGGGTCACAATACCCAAATAGTAATGTTTCCTGTGGTGGACACTACCTGAAAGGACCCTGATGTTAGTAAACAGGCAACTCACTATATCTTCTGAGCATATCAAATTCCTAATAGAGAATATAATGGCAGAGTACCATGTTAAGAAAAGCAATCACAGTCCAGGTGCGGTGGCTCACACCTGTAATCCCCACCCTTTGGGAGGCCGAGATGGGAGAAGCGCTTGAGGCCAGAAGTTTGAGACCAGCCTGGGCAACATAGCAAGACCCCCATCTCTACAAAAATTTAAAAATTAGCTAGGTGTGATGGTGTGCACCTGTGTTCCCAGCTACTTGGGAGGCTGAGGCAGGAGGATAGCTTGAGTCCAGAAGGTTGAAGCTGCAGTAAGCCATGATCGCGCCATGGCACTCTATCCTGGGTGACAGAGCAGGACACAATCTCAAAAAAAAAAAGAAAAAGAAAAACATCTAAGTACCAGTTCCGTAACTCTATTGCTAAGCTCAATGGTTATTAAATGCTTATCACAAAGATGCAAGCTGGACACATATCCAGCTCCTGGCTGCTTCAAAAATACTCCCGGGTTTTTTTTTTTTTTTTTTTTTTTTTTTTTTTTTTTTTTTTGAGACGGAGTCATGCTCTGTCGCCCAGACTGGAGTGCAGTGGCACGATCTCGGCTCACCGCAACCTCTGCCTCCTGGGTTCAAGCAATTCTCCTGCCTCAACCTCCCGAATAGCTGGGATTACAGGTGTGCGCCACCACACCTGGCTAATTTTTTTTTGTTTGTAATTTTAATAGAGACAGGGTTTTGCCACATTGGCCAGGCTGGTCTCAAACTCCTGACCTCAAATGATCCACCTGCCTTGGCCTCCCAAAGTGCTGGGATTACAGGTGTTAGCCACTGTGCCTGGTCCTGCTCTTTATCAGAATAAAAAGATTCATGGCCTCCTTCACACTCTTCCACATCCAAAGCACCCCCCACACACTCACAGATGAACTCACATACACACGCACACACACGGTGTTGTCTACTCAGTGTGTTCTCCCAAAAAGAGAGGTGTTCAAACTCCGTGTGCCTCATTTTGCTGTGACAACTTTCTTTTACTTTTTATTTTTTTATTTGGATGCAGGGTCTCATTCTGTGGTCCAGGCTGGAATTCAGTGGAGTGATCTCAGATCACTGCAACCTCGAACCCCTGGGCTCAACTAATCTTCCCACCTGGGCCTCCCAAGTAGCTGGAACTACAGGCACATGCCCACGTGCCTGGCTAATTTTTAAAATTTTTAGTAGAGATGAGGTCTTGCCATGTTGTCCAGGCTGGTCTCAAACTCCTAGGCTCAAACGATCACCCCACCTCAGCCTCCCAAAGTGCTGGGATTACAGGCATGAGCGACCATGCCCGCCCTGTAGTGACAATTTTCTAAACTCAATGCTCAGTCCTCCACAGCCCTCCAGTTCTTGCTGAACTTTTTTTTTTAGATAGAGACAGGATCTCCCTATGTTGCCCAGGTTGGAGTACAGTGGCCATTCACAAGCACAATCACCATGCTCTACAGCCTCGAACTACTGGCCTCAAGTGATCCTCCTGCCTCAGCCTCCCGAGCAACTGGGATTACAGGTGTGCGCCACCATGCCTGGCTACACTGGACTTTTTAAGTTAGGTACTCACAGGGACATTAGTAATGAATCAACTTCACAAAGCTTCCTCATGGGTAGAGTTCCTCTGCATTTTACAGTTAGGACCCAGGTCAACTTCTGCAACTTCATGCTAAAAATTTATCAATGTCAATTTTTTAAATGTGCAAAAATATGTTAACAGCATTAATCAAGAAGATAGGACAGTACCTACGCATCCCTTTTCCCCATATGCACTGATTTTAATGAAATTGCTGCTGTTTATGAAATACACATGACTGGTAAATATTTTTTTTTTTTGAGACAGCGTCTTGCTCTGTTGCCCAGGCTGGAGTGCAGTGGCACCATCTCAGTTTACTGTAACCTCCATCTCCCGGGTTCAAGTCATCCTCCCCTCTCAGCCTCCTGAGTAGCTGAGATTACAGGCATGCAGCACCACACCCGGCTAATGTTTGGTAGAGACGGGGTTTCTCCACGTTGGCCAGGCTGGTCTCGAACTTCTGACCTCAGGTGATCCACCCGCCTTGGCCTCCCAAAGTGCTGGGATTACAGGTGTGAGCCACTGTACCCGGCCACTGGTAAAGATTTTAAATATTGCAGTTGAGCCTTCTGTGAATGTTTTTGTTTTGTTTTGTTTTCTTTTTCTTTTCTTTTTTCTTTTTTTTTTTTTTTGAGACAGAGTCTCTCTCTGTTGCCCAGGCTGAAGTGCAATGGCATGATCTCAGCTCACTGCAACCTCCGCCTCCCAGGTTCAAGTGATTCTCATGCCTCAGCTTCCTGAGTAGCTGGGATTACAGGTGCCTGCCACCATGCCCGGCTAATTTTTGTAGTTTTAGTAGAGATGGGGGTTTCACCATGCTGGCCAGGCTGGTCTCGAACTCCCAACCTCAGGCAATCCACCCACCTTGGCCTCTCAAAGTGTTGGGATGACAGAAGTGAGCCACTGTGCCCAGCCGCCTTCTGTGAATATTTTATTAAGTTCCCATATAGCCCAGTTCACTAGCGGAAATAAGCAGCAGGGAGACTGGCACATTATATCTCCCATTATTAGATTAATACTTTAAAAAAATCTTAGGACTTTCATTAATTTTTTTTTCTGCCCAAAACATTCATTTTCACTGAAAGGCTTTGGTCTCAATCTATTCTGAAAAACTGGGGTTTCTTTGTATGTGAACTGATTCAGGAGTTCGCATTCTTCCAGGGTGACATAAATCCTGCACCCTTGGGGAAGGGCAATAATATAGATTGCATTCTTGCCTTCGGTAGGTGGACACATTATCCTGGGACCCCAGGGAGCACTTTCTAGACTTTTCTCCCAGTTATATCCACGAGGGACAGGCTCGTGACTGCAAGGACTTCAGCTCCCTGCCAAGCCAAAGACACAAGAGCAGGGGCCCCCTAAAGCCTAAAGGGAAACCAGAAGGTTTCCCTTTATGACGCTCATTCACTCAAAAAGCACCGCATGTCCCATAAACCTGACCTCAACTCCTCTCAGGGAGAAAAAACTGGGTTGAACTAGTGCACATTTATTTTTTTC
The DNA here is from genome assembly GCF_000001405.40 of Homo sapiens. NCBI lineage: Eukaryota > Metazoa > Chordata > Mammalia > Primates > Hominidae > Homo > Homo sapiens. Next base: position 23,408,721 of record NC_000015.10, on the reverse strand, counting down.
TATAGGAAACTTTATGGCATTTTTTTTTTTTTTTTTTTGAGACGGGGTCTCACTCTGCAGTCCAGGCTGGAGTGCAGTGGCCCAATCTCAGCTCACTGCAGCCTCTGCCTCCCAGGTTCAAGCCATTCTCCCACCTCAGCTGGGAGTAGCTGGGATTACAGGTGTGTGCCACCATGCCCGGCTAATTTTTTTGTATTTTCAGTAGACAGGGTTTCGCCATGTTGGCCAGGCTGGTCTTGAACTCCTAACCTCAAGCGATCCACCCGCCTCAGCCTCCCAAAGTGCTTGTATAGGAAACTTTGTAAAATGCTGCATACACCAGCCTCTGCCTGAGCATTAGCAGTTTGGAGAGAGGGAGGAACACAGAGCTACGTTATCTCTCCAGAGGGGCCAAGTCCCACCCCTGCTTGTTGCTTTGTGACTTTGTGCAAGTGTCTGGGTTCACAATGGTGAGTGGGGGAACTGAATTAGAAGGGCTCTAGCCCTTTTCCCTCTGAAATCTTACCATTCTGTGAACCCTCCTGCTGGGCTTGGGGATCTTTATTTTTGAAGAAATAGTGATTGTAACACCCGGTGCGGTGGCTCACGCCTGTAATCCCAGCACTTTGGGAGGCTGAGGTGGGCGGATCACGTGAGGTCAGGAGTTCAAGATCAGCCTGGCCAACATGGTGAAACCCCGTCTCTCCTACAAACACGAAAATTAGCCAGGCATGGTGGCAGGCACCTGTAACCCCAGCTACTCGGGAGGCTGAGGCAGAAGAATCACTTGAACCCGGTTGTAGTGAGCCGAGATCGTGCCACTGCATTCTTGCCTGGGCAACAGAGCAAGACTCCGTCTCAAAAGAAAAAAAAAAGAAAAAGAAAAAAAGAAGAAAAAGAAGTAGTAATTGTACTAATTGGCTGGAGGGCATGGGGAATCTGAACTGTCAAAGGGGAGAAGTCAGGAAAATTGAATGTTAGACACAGCCCACCTTGTCTCCTAGAGGAGCTTGGCGAAAAGCTTGGGAAGCAGACACTAGATAGTGGCCCTTCACTAAAAACCACATCTCCGGCCAGGAGTGGTGGCTCACACCTGTAATCCCAGCACTTTGGGAGGCCGAGGCAGGCAAATCACCTGGGGTTGGGAGTTCGAGACCAGCCTGACCAACATGGGGAAACCCCGTCTCTACTAAAAATACAATAATAATAATAATAATAAAATAATAATTAAAAAACCATGTCTCGTTAGTCACTTCCTGGGTGCTGGCAAACTGGATATGGGTACATTACAGATTTACCTCATTCCATCCTCACAACGGCCCTTTGGAGTAGGTATGAGTGGTGTTATTGGCCGGGTGCAGGTCTGTCCTGCCCGCGTGCAGTAAATCAGTCACTGTGACTATGACATGGGTTTTGCAAAAGAGAAAGGATTTATTTGCAAGGCCACCAAACAAGGTGGTAGAACAGCTCTCACATCCTGCTTCCTGAAGATAAGGCTTAGGGATATTTATGCGTTAGGGAAACACGGTGGTGTAAGGCATGGGGAAAGGTGATTGGCAGTAGGGAAAAATTAATTGATAGGTTTGTTCTGCACAAGCGTAGTAGTCAGGGTTTGTGGCATTTCACAGGACATGTGTACAGAAAGTGGTGGCATTAGCATGATCTGAGGGTGGGATCTTTGGCCCTCTGACATCAAAAGTCCACTTCTTGGGCATTTGGGCAGGCCCATTGAAGAATTGGTGGTCCCAACCTGATTGAACTGGATGGGAGCTGGCCTAAGTTCCTGAAAAACAACGGAAGCAAACATTACCATAGTGACCTGTGAATGTGATCTCTAAAGAAGCTAGTGAAGGGTACATTTCAGCATTTAACGCCACGGTATTCAGCTACCACAGCCTTCAGCTATGACTGTCTTCAGCTTCATAGGAAAAGAAGAAAAAGGACAGGCATGGTGGCTCATGCCTGTAATCCCAGTTTTTTGGGAGGCCAAGGTGGGAGGATCGCTTAAGCCCAGTTTAAGACCAGCCTGGGTAACATAGTGAGACCTTGTCTCTATTATAATAAAAAAAATTGACACAGCAGGCAAGGAAGGAAGGAGGAAGGGAAGGGAGGGAGGGAAGGGGGAAGGAAGGAAGGAAGGAAAGAAGGAAGGAGAAGGAAGGGAGGAAGGAAGGAGAAAGAGAGAAAGCAAGAGAAAGAAGATAAAGAAAAAAGGAGAAAAAAGAAAAATTAATAAAACAAGCAAGTGACCAAAGCAAGCGGGGCAGCCAGACCTGATCAAATTAACCCCTCAGTTTTGGTGACAGTGACTATTCATTGCTTCCCTGTCTCCAGCCTTCCCTTCCTTCTTAGTAACAGAATCCTAGAAATGTGTCTAGCTGGAAAACTATTGTATTAGTTAGCTATTGCTGTGTAACAAATAAGCACAACACTTAGCTCCTGAAATCAAAACAAAAAAGTTTGGCATCTCATGTTTTCAGTGAGTCCTCTGGCTCAGGTCTCTTGTGAGATCGCACTGAGATTTCTGCAAGGGCTGCCATCATCTGAAGGTTAATCTGGGGAAGGATCTTCTTCCCAAGCTCACTCATGATAAGACTGTTGCACTAAGGGCCTCAGGTCCTTGCTAGCTGTTGACCAGAGGCATCAGTTTCTCTTTTTTTTTCTTTTTTTTTTTTTTTTGAGACAGATTCCTTCTCTGTCACACCACGACACTGGCTAATTTTTGTATTTTTAGTAGAGACGGGGTTTCATCATGTTGGCCAGGCTGGTCTCAAACTCCTAACCTCAAGTGATCCACCCACCTCAGCCTCCCAAAGTGCTGGGATTACAGGCGTGAGTCACTTTGCCTGGCAGAGGCATCAGTTTCTTGCCATGTGGGCCTTTCCAGGGAGCACCTCACTACCTGGTGGCTGGTTTTCCTCAGAGCAAGACAGGATGCCCAAGACAGAACTGTCATCTCTTTGAAACCTAATCTCAGAAGGAACATCCCATCACTTTTACCACAGATGTTGATATGGTTTGGCTGTGTCCCCACCCAAATCTCAACTTGAATGATATCTCTCAGAATTCCCCCATGTTGTGGGAGGGACCTGGGGGGAGGTAACTGAATCATGGGGGCCGGTCTTTCCCGTGTTATTCTTGTGATAGTGAATAAGTCTCATGAGATCTGATGGGTTTATCAGGGGTTTCCGCTTTTGCTTCTTCCTCATTTTTCTCTTGGGGCCACCATGAAAGAAGCGCCTTTTGCCTCCCGCCGTGATTCTGAGGCCTCTCCAGCCATATGGAACTGTAAGTCCAATAAAATCCCTTTTTATTCCCAGTCTCGGGTATGTCTTTATCAGCCGCATGAAAATAGACTAATGCAGATGTTATTGCAGCTAGACATGGTTATGTGACTAAATTCTATTCTTCTAGCCATAGTCTATTGGTTAGAAGAAAGTTACTGGGTCCAGCCACACTCAAAGCAAGTGGGAATACAAATACAAATACAAATTTCCCCTCTTCCTCACAAGGGGGAAAATGCTGGAATAAAGGGATTAATGGGGACTTTTGGGGAGTGGAGAAGGGGCTTTTTTTTCCCTTGAGACAGAATCTCACTCTGTCACCCAGGCTAGCATGCAGTGGCGTGATCATAGCTTACTGTAGCCTTGAACTCCTGGACTCAAGTGATCCTCCCACCTCAGCCTCCCAAGTATCTGGGACTACAGGTATGCACCACCATGCTCAGCTAATTTTGAAATTTTTTGTAGTGACAGGGTCTCACTATGTTGCCCAGGCTTGTCTGGAACTCCTAGGCTCAAGTAATCCTCCTGCCTTGGCCTCCCAAAGTGTGAGCCACTGCACCCAGTGATATTGGAGGCATTTTTGAGGCTACCTACCGCAGCTACCTTTCCCAGATGTTCTTGCAGATAGGCATGGCCAAATTTTTTTTTTATTATTATTTTTTTAGAGACGGGGTCTCACTCTGTCACCGAGGCTGGAGTGTAGTGGTGCAATCACAGCTCACTGCAGCCTCAACCTTCTGGGCTCAAGTGTTCCTTCCACCACAGCCTCCCAAGTAGCTGGAATTACAGGCCTGTGCCACCACGCCCGGATAATTTTTATTTTTTTGTAGATAGTATGCCACTATGTTACCCAGGCTGGTCTTGAACTTGTGGCCTCAAGTGATCTGCCCACCCCATTTCAGCTACTGTATTCAGACCTCTGTTACTCTCAGTTGAACCTAATTGTAAATATTGCAGTATTACTGTCCCCCCTCCATTGTACAGAAGAAAGTCGAAGTTCCAGCCAGGCGCGGTGGCTTGTGCCTGTAATCCTAGCACTTTGAGAGGCTGAGGCGGGTGGATCATTTGAGATCAGGAGTTCGAGACCAGCCTGACCAACATGGCAAAACCCTGTTTCTACTAAAAATACAAAAATTAGCTGGGCATGGTGGTACACGCCTGTAGTCCCAGCTACTCTAGAGGCTGAGGCACGAGAATCGCTTGAATCCAGGAGGCAGAGGTTGCAATGAGCTGAGATTGCACCATTGCACTCCAGACTGGGTGACAGAGCAAGACTCCATCTCAAAAAAAAAAAAAAAAAAAGGAAAAGAAAGAAAAGAAAACCGAGGTTCCTAGGTACATAGGACTTACCCAAGGTCAGAAGCAAGTAAGTGGTTGAGGCTGAGCTTGACTTCCAATTTGTTTCACTACAAACCACGTCTTTCCTGCAATGCTTCTATTTTTTTTTCTTTTTTGAGACGGCCTCTTCCAATGCTTCTAGAGAGAGATCTATGGGGGTGGTGGTGTCAACCAGAGCTCCTGCCTTATCTTTTAGACAATTTTCACTATGTGAAGTCAAACGGGAGACAGGAGTGCTATGTGACAGCAGCCTGGCAAAGCAGTCCCTTTGCTAAGGCAGGGAGGTTTTATGACTGGTTTTATTTATCAGGCTGCCTGCCTGTCCTGTGGGGACACTCAGCAAGGGAACATTGTGGACTGGGAAACTGTTGGTTTGGGAAATGTTCCCAATTTCAGCATAAGTGATAGGGAAGGCTGGACTGAAAGGGCAAAAAGTCGGAATAACAGCGTGTCTGGGAAGGATCTGGGCTGTGTCTGAAGCGGGTCAGTGCTGTTGTAGACTGAAGACTTGGCAGGGCAAGGCCAGTAGCAATGCCCTTCTAGAGGAGGGACAGGGAGATTGAAAAGCCCCAACTCATGAGGCCATCTCCTTCTGGAGAAGATCTTAATCAGATCCCCACGGGAGGATGATGGAAGTTTCTTGTTGAGATGGGTCATCCCCTAACCACGGAACTCCAGTTCAGTCCCTGGGACCTAACAGACAAGCTCACCTTCCATTGGGGGTGAAGCGATGCTTGTCACCTCAACTTCTCTGAAGCTTTTTTCCTGTTTAAAAACTTGCTTCTTTCATTCATTCACCCTAACCTACAGCAGTCCCTTGAGACAGGAAAATTAACCTAGTTAATGCACTCACCTGGATGAAAGAAGAATATCAGCTCATCAATTTGCTGTAAGTTAATGAACGCCTCTCAAAGATCCAAAAAGGCTTTTGCAGATTAAGCTGGATGTTTCTGTTTCACTCTTTGCACTGGTCTGTGATGACTATGCACCAGCAGCCTCTTTTTTCACAGACTGCAGGGTCTTTTCTGCAGCCAAATATTCCTTGTAATCATTTGGGCTTTTATGGTGGCAGGTGTCAGAAATGTAACTCAAACTAGGGTAAGCAAAAGTGGGAGAAGATGTATGGATTTATGGAACAGGAAGGGATGGGGTAGATCTAGTATTGGGCACATATGGAGCCTTCCACAGCTGCTGTCCATATGCTCCCTCAAACTGGGTTGTCCTCCTTCCCTCCTCCTGCAAATGGGTTCCCAGTGTGGACTGGAAGATGGCGGCCAACAAGCCCAAATCCTGTTCTTCCAGCATAGTGGCTACAACAGGCAAGAGGATCTTCCCCGTGATTGAGCCATCTGGGTCACGTGCTCATCCCAGGGCAAGGGAGCTCTCTGATCAGCTGGCCTGGGTCCTGTGCCCACCTCCTACAGACGGGAGGGCGGGGTGCTGTGAATGGCAGGCTTCACCAGAATTCATTATTAGAGAAGATCAGCTCAAAGAAATGGGGTGCTTCCAGAAAACAGCAGCTCATTTCTACTTCAGTCCAACATTGCACAGAGGTGGATGAAGGTTTCTCTGTGCATGTTTGCAAAACCAAGTCCCCAGCAGTTGTAGAAGGATTTCCCAATGCAGAGCCACTCCTGAATCTGGTGTGGGAATCCTTCCCATCCTTCTTGCCCATCCTGTCTTCTGTCTTCCTGGCCCTCTCCCCTCACTTTCCTATCTGCTTTTCTTTTTTCCTTTCTTTTTTCTTTTCTTTTCCTTTCCTTTTCTTTTCATCTTTCTTTCCTTCCTTCCTTTTGTCATTCTTTCTTCCTTTTCTTCCTTCCTTCTTTCCTTTCTCCTTCCTTCCTTCCTTCTCTGTTTCTCTTTCTTTCCTTTCTTTCTTCGTTCTCTCTTTCTTCTTTCTTCCTTTTTTTTTTGTTTTGAGTCAGGATCTTGCTTTGTCACCCAGGCTGGAGCGCAGTGACACAATCATAGCTAGCTGCAGCCTCAACCTCCTGGGCTCAAGCAATTCTCCCTCCTCACCCTCCTGAGTGGCTGGGACCATAGGCACACATCACCCAGCTAATTCCTATTGGCTTTTCTGGGGATGAGGATCTTAACCGCTAGCTAATAAAGTTCCTGGGACAGACCCTGCTATTCTCCCTCCAGAACATACCCAGGGATGAGCTTTCTCTGTCGCAGGAGTTGCCTCTCTGGTCCTTGCCTCAGCCCTCTGACAGCTCCCCTCGCTGCACTCTGAAGACAGAAGAGCTGCTAGTAAGCTGGGCTGCCAATTCCAGACAACATTTGACCTTTCAACCTGAGCAGGCTGAGTGGCGGCTGAGTGCAGAGCCACAGCTGGATGTTGACAGTTCTTGGCCACCAAGAGGGAAAGACAGAGAAACGCAGACCCATCTTCTGCGGGCGGAAGGGGCTGTCGGATCTGGTCAGTTTGATACCTCCCAGTGCAGGCTGGGGAGACACTGGATGGGTAAGCACTTTATGATTTTGTTTCCAAACTGCTTGGGCCATAAAATAAAGCTCCTGCTTGTCAAGGAGTTCTAGCTTCACATCCATGACCCTGCACATCGTGTCTGTTCACAGCAACCTCAGCGTGGCCAGGAGTCTGGGACAGGAAAATGTGCTGGGGTTACCTGATGACCATCCAGAGGCCTCCAGGCATGGCTCCACCATGACGGTAGGAAGTTGATCAATATCTTCATCAATATCTGTGGCTGGGTATTCCTGCTCTCTCCCTGCTGTGGAGGCCAGGGTGCTGCTCCTAAGACAGTAGAAGTTTGTGCCTTAGAAGAGGGGTGCCCAAGTCCAGGGCTGTGGACCAGTAAGCATTCCATGGCCTGTTGGGAACCGGCCCCACAGCAGGAGGTGAGCGGCAGGTGAGTGAGCATTACTACCTGAGCCCCGCCTCCTGTCAGATCAGTGTGGCATTACATTCCCATAGGAGCACAAACCCTATTGTGGACTGCAGGTGCGACGGATGTAGGTTGGGCACCTCTTATGAGAATCTAACACCTGATGATCTGAGGTGGAACAGTTTCATCCTGAAACCATCCCCTCCCACACCCACCCCCACCATCCCATCCATGGAAAATTGTCTTCTACAAAACTGGTCCTTGGTGCCAAAAAGATGTGGACCGCTGGCTTAGAGAGAAGCCAAATGAGCCCTCCTAACATACAGAGGCCATTGTATTGTGTTCCAGAATTAGGATGGCCTCAGGAGTCCATCTTGTCCCATTTCTTTCTACCTTCATCCTTCCTTCCCTCCCTTCTTTCCTTCCTTACTTCCAAGCCAAGGTCTCGCTATGTTGCCCAGGCTGGTCTCCAACTCCTGCCCTCAAGCAATCCTCCCTCCTCACTCAGCCTCCCAAGTAGCTGGTACTACAGGCACATGCCACTGTGCTTGGCTTTTTTTTTTTTTTTTTTTTTGAGACGGAGTCTCACTCTGTCACCCAGGCTGGAGTGCAATGGCATGATCTTGGCTTACTGAACCTCCTGGGTTCAAGTGATTTTCCTGCCTCAGCCTACTGAGTAGCTGGGGTTACAGGTGCCTGCCACCACACCTGGCTAATTTTTGTATTTTTAGTAGAGACGGGGTTTCACCGTGTTGGTCAGGCTGGTCTCAAATTCCTGACCTCGTAATCCACACGCCTCGGCTTCCCAAAGTGTCGGGATTACAGGTGTGAGCCACCGTGCCCAGCCATGCTTGGCTAATTTTTAAATTTTTAGTAGAGATGGGGGTCTTGCTATGTCACTCAGGCTGGTCTCAAACTCCTGGGCTCAAGCAATCTTTCCGTCTTGGCTTCCCAAAGTGCTGGGATTATAGGCGTGAGCCACTGCACCTGGCTTCATTGTCTTCTTTCATGGTGGTGTCCCAAACCCCTGTTATGCTGTCAGCCTGGTATTCTAAAAGTGGGTCCCCAGACCCCCTTGGCCACCTTTCTTAGGGGTCCTGTCTGTGATGACCATCACAGTCAAGGCCATCATTTTCTGTCTAGCCACCCTCCCTTCTGCTGCACATGGTACCCTATTTTCTTAGTCATCTCACTCATTTGGGGCCAAAGGACCTAGTGATGGGGAGTGGGTCCTCAATGCCGTGTGTCACCTCCTGGGTCTGTTTGTGTCCAGGTGCTTATTTGAAACCTTCCTTTGCCCTGTGTTTCCACTGGCCCATTTTTGAGTTAAGTCATGGATACATTCATAAGTTCTGGTTTTTTGTTTTCTTAAGAGATGGGGTTCTCACTCTGTCACTCAGGCTGGAGTACACTGGCACAATCATAGCTCACTGCAGCCTCGACCTCCCAGGCTCAAGCAATCCTCCTGCCTCAGCCTCCCAAGTAGCTGAGACTACAGGCATGTGCCACCACACCCAGATAATTTTTGTATTTTTTTGATACAGACAGGTTCTCGCCATGTTGTCCAGGCTGCTCCCAAACTCCTGGCCTCAAGTGATCCTCCTGCCTCAGCCTCCCAAAGTGTTGGGACTACAGGTGTGAGCCACTCCACCTGGCCAAGAGTTTCTTTTTTAAAAAATGTTTACCTTTTTTTCTCCCTGTTTTTGGTTCTGGAGTCCAGGGGCAAGCAGAAGAGAGGGGGCAGATCCTTCTAAGTCCCAGTGCAAGCTCTCTTCCCCATGGAGGGGAATTGCTCCCAGAATTGAGCTGCTTCTCAGCACATTGGTCTATTTTTGCAGGAGAGCTGGGGGCCCCGTGCCAAGGTTTCTTACCACAAATAGAACTTCTGGAAGGGCCCACTGATTTCCTCTGGGCGTTCAGACACCTCTTCGCATTTCCTTTGGCTTTCCTGCCGTATCCCCAAAAGGAAATATTTAGAGGCTCTTCTGTTGTATTGCCATTGCAGGTACTTTCTGAGGCTCTCCAGAGGGACTCCTCCTGGGTGGGCAGTAAGCCGAGCCTCATTCCTCAGCTCTGGCCCCTGGCACGGCTCTCTGACATGCCCAGGAAGCTGAGCCGGAGGCCCCTGGGGTAGCCAGAAGGCCCATCTGAATTCCACATGGTGGGCTCATTCCCCTGAAACAGTAAAACAGACAAACCACCAGTGCCCACTGTCAGCATCCCTGTCCCTCAGACTCCCTGGGCTTTCAAGTGCCTCTGGATCCCACCTGTCATTCGGGACAGGATTTGGGAGTTGGGTGTGTGTCACCCTAAGAGCCATGGGCACAGTGATACACAACCAAGACCCCTACAATGGGATGTCTACAAGTCTCAGTGCTCACGGCACAATTCCTAAGAGTCAAATTACAACAGGTTGGGGAAAAAAGACAAGACCACCTCACCAGCTTGATGGGGACTGTCAACCAGGCAAGAGCCACATGTGCCCAAGACTGGCTTTGATGTGTCAGGGTCCAAGTTTAGAAGGGGCAGGGGAAAGCCATGCCTCACAGCACTCAATACAGAGCTTCAGAAGATTCCAGAACACCACCACACCCAATCATTTGCAGGGCTCCCACCTTATATAAGTGTCTCAACTCTCTTTCTCTCTCTCAGCTTGTGTGGCCGTTAAAGCTCCGTCTCTGGCAGATGGACTGGGTTTGAGTTTCAGTTCTGCCACTTAATAGCTGTGGGACATTGGGTTGTTTCTAAACTTCTCTGAGGGCTGGGTGTGGCGGCTCACGCCTGTAATCCCAGCACTTTTGGAGGCTGAGGTGGGCAGATCACAAGGTCAGGAGTTTGAGACCAGCCTGGCTAACATTGTGAAACCCTGTCTCTACTAAAAATACAAAATTTAGCCAGGGGTGGTGGTGGGCACCTGTAATCCCAGCTACTTGGGAGGCTGAAGCAGCAGAATTGTTTGAACCCAGGAGGCAGAGATGGCAGTGAGCCAAGATCGCACCACTGCACTCCAGCCTGGGCAACAGAGCAAGACTCCGTCTTGGAAAAAAAATTAAAAAAAATAAACTGCTCTAAGCCTTCATATCCCCTCCCGAGGGAACAACAGGGATATTAATAATAACGTGCCTAGGCCATCATAGGCCTCGGTATGAAGAACAACGGTTTGTGAGGGCTAGGCTCCTTAGCATGAGGGACAGAGGGACATTTTCCATGTGGTCAAATCATCCAAACTAAAGACACTATTGAGTTAAGAGGCGCCAACTCATCATGTGAACGAGAGATGGAAGTGACGTTTCCCTTGGACTTGCTCCCAGCTGGCACACATTTGGTTATAAATAAGTGTGGTACATTTCCTCTTTCAGTTGACCTAGCTTTCTGCAGACCAGCAGCTCCCAAACTTGCACAGGCACTAGAATCACCTGGAGGGCTTGTTTGCAGACAGCCGGGCCCTGGCCCTGGAGTTCCTGACTCAGTAGGACTGAAGTGGGGCTCAAGAATGCGCATTTCTAGCAAGGTCTCAGGTGAGGCTGATGCTGCTCCACTGGGGCCACATGCTGAGAACAAGGAGTTTCAAAGCCCAGCCAGCAGGTTCCATGTCTGTTTCTTCCTGGAGGTGAAACCCCTTGTCGCTGTGGGCCCCCATATCCCCCTTGTAATTGAAATGTTTAAGGCCGGGCGCGGTGACTCACACCTGTCATCCCAGGTGTACCATAAACCCACCTATCTACCCACTACCTAGATTTGGTAATTATTATTTTCTGTATTTGTTTCATCTCACTCTGTGAGGTTAAAGATAAGTTAGACATTAGACATGTCACTCCTAAGCACAATTAACACATTTCAGTATCATCTAATAGCCTGTCCACATTCTAATATTCTCAGTTGTCCCAATATATAAAAACATATTTCACCATGCACAGTGGCTCACACCTGTAATCTCAACACTTTGGGAGGCCAAGGTGGGAGGATCACTCAGGGCCAGGAGTTTAAGACCAGCCTGGGCAATATGGCGTGACCCTGTCTCTATGAAAATTTAAAAAATTAGGCTGGGTGCGGTGGCTCATACCTGTAATCCCAGCACTTTGGGAGGCCGAGGCGGGTGGATCACAAGGTCAGGAGTTCAAGACTAGCCTGGCCAAGATGGTGAAACCCCGTCTCTACTAAAAATAACAAAAAATTAGCAGGCGGGGTGGTGGGCACCTGTAATCCTAGCCACTCGGGAGGCTCAGGCAGGAGAATGGCTTGAATCTGGGAGGCGGAACTTGCAATGAGCCAAGATCGTGCCACTGCACTCCAGCCTGGGGGACAGAGGGAGACTCTGTCTCAAAAAAAACAAAAATAAAAAATAAAAATAAAAATAAAAAATAAAAAATTAGCTGGGCGTGGTGGCATGCACCTGTGGTCCCAGATATTTGGGAGGTTGAGAAGGGAGGATTGCTGGAGCCTGGGAGTTCGAGGCTGCAGTGAGCTATGATTGTGCCACTGCACTGCAGCCTGGGTAACAGAGCGAGATCTCATCTCTTAAAAAAAAAAAAAAAAAAAAAAAAAAAAAAAAAAAAAGGCCGGGCACAGTGGCTCACGCCTGTAATCCCAGTACTTCAGGAGGCTGAGGTGGGTGGATCACCTGAGGTCACAAGTTTGAGATTAGCCTGGCCAACATCCTGTCTCTACTAAAGATACAAAAATTAACTGGGTGTGGTGGCATGCAACTGTAATCCCAGCTACTAGGGAGGCTGAGGCAGGAGAATCGCTTGAGCCTGGGAGGCGGAGGTTGCAGTGAGCCAAGATTACGCCATTGCACTCCAGCCTGGGTGACAAGAGCGAGAATCCATCTCAAAAAAAAAAAAAGAAAAAAGAAATGATTGGCTGGTTTGGGAGGTGGGTGTTTTAAATGCTGCACTGCAGGATCTGTAGTCCTCTGGCTGATGAGTAAATTGGAAAACAGTTTGGCCACATGTATCAAGAGCCTTTGAAATGTTTCTGCTTCCTGGTGCTGTAATCCCCCTTCCTGGAAGCTATCTCTTAAGAATAATCTAAGAGATGGACAAAGTGTGATGTCTGCCTGTGGCATGCAGAAAGGGGAAGTTGCAGGTATGTGTATAACTCTATTTCTAGAGCTACAGACAGAGAGAGTGGGAAGAGGGGGGATTCTGGCCCCATCCAGGTGCACTGACTCCAGAAGGATCCATGCTCTACATAGATGAGCCAGGTTTATGAAGGGATCCCAGCCACCCTCAGTTGCTGGGCACCTCCACCTCCTTCTATCTTTATCTCCCTACCCTGTGATGTCCTTCATCTGGATGACGGTATCAAATCGTGGTTAGGCACATGGGCGTTGCAGTCAGACATCCTGGGGCTTGAATTCCAGCTCTGCCACTGACCCTGACCTCCAGTGCAGGTTACTGAACCCGCCTGAGCCTCCGTTTACCTTCAAATGGGGATAATCATGCCTAAACGTCAAGAGTACAAAACGCTTCCCATAGAGTGAGCTCCAATACACAGTTCCCTACTGCTATCAGAAAAAAACATACAGTGGCGTAGAGAAGAAAACTCACTTTCAGAAAGCAAGGATGACACACCAGAGGGCAAGTCTGTTTTAAAATGGAAAGTTCTTGAGAGCAGGGGGTGTGTGTTTTCCAGGAGGAGGCTGTGGGTGCTTCCCAGTGTCAGTAAACAATGGCAGGAATCTGGGAAAATGCCTCGGTGAGCACTTACTACCCGTGGGTGCTTTCCGTTCTCCCCCTGGTTTAGTCCCGTCTAGTCCCACAGCTGAGGAAACCGAGGCTGGGAGCCGGGACAGCATCCTCGGGCTCACACAGCTGGTGAGCAGCACAGCAAGCTCCGAGCTCAGATCTGAGCAATCACCCAGCCCAGATGCTGATTAGTGTGGCCCCGCTGCCTCTAATGCGTGGTTTCCTCAACACTGTTACTGATGAAAACTCTTTCAGGGTGCCACTAGCCAAAGTAGGAATGAGCAAATGGAAAAGGGAGACAATGAGGGCTCTGAGGCTCTGCGAGGTGGGTGCTCCCATCACACCACCCAATCAGGATGCGAAGCACTTGCTGATTCACACACACGCAGACAGTGGGGAATTCTGAAGCCTTGTAAAAACAGCAGAAACACCCAACAGACCCTCCATTTTTTCCTAGTTAGCCCCAGCCTCCAAAACTAGGGCAAAAGCCTAAGCTTTGCTGAGTCACAATCGTTTATCAAGGTAATTTGTAGGCACAGCACTCGAGATGCTATGCAATTTTTACCCCATTCAACAAATGCAGGACAACCTGCCGGGGAAGATTAGTCCTTCCTAAGTAACAAGAAGGACTCTAAATTCTCAGATTTTGGGTTATTAGGAATAAGAAGAGGCTGCGCAAACTAGACCGCAGCGCGCAGAGAGGAGATGTGTAAGGAGACTTAAGTTTCCTCCCTACCGACAGCCGCAACTAGGGAACCACATTCAATCTAACTGGGTGTTTTTTGGCATTCTGGCTGTTGCCTGCCCACCAAGGCCTGCCAGGAACCAAGAATCCACCGCCCAGGCTTAGACACCTGCAAGGGCACTTGGGTGGAAGAATCCTGTCCCCCCACCCTTCCTCCTGCAGGAAGAGGACGGCAGCAAAAGGCGGGTAACTGGTTCTCTGGTTGTTATTGGAAATATGGGAAGACGTGTCCACGGAAAAGTTGCACGGGCCTGGCACAGGTGCCTAAGGCTTCGCTTTGCTCAAGTCCACGCTTGCACACACAGGCAAGGCTCCCTGGCTTCAAGTTTCTGATTTAGCATTTTCCTATGTTTTCAAGCTTAAAAAATATCACCGTGAGGGTTCACTCTTTCCTTATGAAACATACTTAAGTTCCCCACCTCACCCCCTAAAACAGAAAAAAAAAGGTGCTTCTTTGTTGTCCTTTTTTGACAAGAATCATCTGTCTAAACCTTTATTTTTGGAAAACTTTTTTTTTTCTTTTTTTTTTTGGTCACCCAGGCTGGAATGCAGTGGTGCGATCTTGGCTCACTGCAACCTCCGCCTCCTGGGTTCAAGTGATTCTCCTGCCTCAGCCTCCCAAGTAGCTGGGATTACAGGCATGCGCCACCACGCCTGGCTAATTTTTGTGTTTTTAGTACAGACGGGGATTTGCTATGTTGGCCAGGATGGTCTCGAACTCCTGACCTTAAGAGATCTGCCCGCCTCGGCCTCCCAAAGTGCTGAGATTACAGACATGAGCCAGTCTAAAAGATTTCCATTTAAAAAGACCCTCAACTTGAACGTGTAGCGTTTTCACCAGGCCCAGTCAGCATCAAGCTTTCTCAAGTTCAAGTTCACAGCACGACTAGAAAAAGCAGGCAGCTGAAGACAAACAGAACTGCTGTTTGCAGGGATCAGGCAACTTGGAGGAGAGGATGGCTCACAACCAGGGGAAACATGAACTGGCCTTCAGGTGTCCTATTTCCCCTCCTCAGCAAAAATCAGATGCATTGATTTACTCCATGAATCATTTTGGGGAAAAAGATTTCAGCTGAACTCATGAGATTTTTAAAAAAGTAGCGAAAAAGATTGAACTATTTTTAATACTCACTGGTTTCCCAGGTCTGGAGAGGGTGGCTTGGCCTCGCCTCAGCAGTAACCAAGTGTCATAGCATTTTCTTTTCAACGTCAAGAGGAGTGTTGCAAAATAGTCCAAGTGGGAACACACAGGAACTGTGAGACTCTCTTGGTGCTGCTGTTCAGTAATAATGATGCACGCTTTAAAAACACACACACTCGGCCAGGCGTGGTGGCTCACGCCTGTAATCCCAGCACTTTGGGAGGCCAAGGCTGGTGGATCATGAGGTCAGGAGTTCGAGACCAGCCTGGCCAATATGGTGAAACCCTGTCTCTACTGAAAATACAAAAATTAGCCGGGCGTGGTGGCGCATGCCTGTAATCCCAGCTACTCAGGAGTCTAAGGCAGGCATCACTTGAACCTGGGAGGTGGAGGTTGCAGTGAGCTGAGATTGTGCCACTGCACTCCAGCCTGGGTGACAGAGCGAGACTCCATCTCAAAAACAAACAAACAAACAAACAAAAAACAACAAAACAAAACCACACACACACACACTCAGGGGCTGGGCGCGGTGGCTCACGCCTGTAATCCGAGCACTTTGGGAGGCCAAGGTGGGTGGATCACTTGAGGTCAGGAGTTCGAGACCAGCCTGGCCAACACAGCAAAACCCCGTCTTTACTAAAAAGTACAAAAATTAGCTGGGCATGGTGGCGGACACCTGTAATCCCAGCTCCTTGGGAGGTTGAGGCAGGAGAATTGCTTGAACTCGGGAAGTGGAGGTTGCAGTGAGCTGAGATCATGCCACTGCACTCCAGCCTAGGGAACAGAGCGAGACTGCATCTCAAAAAACAAAACAAAACAAAACAAAACAAAAATTAGCTGGGTGTAGTGGCATGTGACTATAACTCCAGCTACTTGGGAGGATGAAGTGGGAGGATCACTTGAGCCCGGAGGCAGAGGCTGCAGTGAGCTGAGATTGTGCCACTACACTCCAGCCTGGGTGAACCACGGATGTAATGTTTCCACACATATAATGTATAATGATTACATAAGGGTAATTAGCATATCCATCACCTCATTACGTTATATATGTAATTACAATATGACTCTGTCTCAAAATAAATAAATAAATAAAAAACTCACATTCACGAATGTAAACTAGTATAGCCGCTATGGAGAACAGCATGGAGGCTCCTCAAAACACTACAAATAGCACATCATATGATCCAGGCCAGGCGTGGTGGCTCACGCCTATAATCCCGCACTTCTGGAGGGAGGCTGAGGCGGGCAGATCACTTGAGCCCAGGAGTTCGAGACCAGCCTGAGCAACATGGTGAAACCCCACCTCTACAACAACAAAACACAAGAAACTAGCCAGGTGTGGTGGCATATGCCTGTGGTCCCAGCTACTCTGGAAGCTGAGGTTGGAAGGTTGCTTTAGCCTTGGAGGTCAAGGCTGCAGTGAACTTAGATCACGCCACTGCACTCCAGCCTGGGCAACAAAGCGAGACCCTGTCTCAAAAAACAAACAAACAAAAAATTACTATTACTATTGGCTAAGGGCAGTGGGTCACTCCTGCAATCCCAGCATTTTGGGAGGCTGAGGTGGGAGGATCACTTGAGCCCAGGAGATCGAGACCAGCCTGGCCAACATGGCGAAACCCCGTCTCTACTAAAAATTCAAAAAACTAGCTGGGCATGGTCATGCATGCCCGTAATCCCAGCTATTCAGGAGGCTGAGGCAGGAGAATTGCTTGAACCCGGGAGCTAGAGGTTGCAGTGAGCTAAGATTGGGGCGCTGCACGCCAGCCTGGGTGACAGAGCGAAACTCTGTCCAAAAAAAAAAAAAAAAAAAAAAAGAAACATTACTATGTACTCCATGAGCATGTACAATTATTATTTGTCAATGAAAATAAATAAAATGAAACACACACACCCCCTCAAGATCCATGCTTATAATTAAGTAAACAGAATTTTGACCAAAGCAGCACAACAATTAAACAAAAAGGTCTTCTCCACAGATGGTTCTGGAATAACTAGACAACCATATGGAATGAGGGAATCTCAACTCTAGTGTCGTACCATCCATAAAAAGTTAATTCAAGATAGATCATAGATTTAAACATAAATGCTAAAACTAGAAAGCTCGAAGGAAACATGGATGAATATAACTTGGGGGTTTCTTAGGCAGGACATAGAAAAAGTCTATAAAACAGACTTCATCCTAATTAAAAACTTCTGCCCAGTAAAAGATACTGTTAAGAAAATAAGCAAGCCAGCTGGGCACAGTGGCTCCAGCCTGTAATCCCAGCACTTTGAGAGGCCGAGGTGGGTGGATCACGAGGTCAGGAGATCGAGACCATCCTGGCTAACACAGTGAAACCCTGTCTCCACTAAAGATACAAAAAATTAGCCAGGCGTTATGGCAGACGCCTGTAGTCCCAGCTACTCATGAGACTGAGGCAGAAGAATGGCGTGAACCCAGGAGGGAGAGCTTGCAGTGAGCCGAGATCGCGTCACTGCACTCCACCTTGGGGTGACAGTGTAAGACTCCGTCTCAAAAAAAAAAAAAAAGAAAATAAGCAAGCCATACATTGGGACTAAATATTTGCAAAACAACTATCTGACAAAGGACTGATGTCCAAAATATGTAATCAACTTACTGCTACAACTTTTTTTTTGGTTTGATTTTGAGAGAGTCTTGCTCTGGCTGGAGTGCAGTGGCGTGATCTCAGCTCACTGCAACCTCCGCCTCCCAGGTTCAAGTGATTTTCCTGCCTCAGCCTCCCAAGTAGCTGGGATTACAGGCTCAGGTGCCTGCCACCATGCCCAGCTAATTTTTGTATTTTTAGTAGAAACGGGGTTTCATCGTGTTGCCCAGGCTAGTCTCGAACTCCTGACCTCAAGTGATCCTCCCACCTCAGCCTCCCAAAGTGCTGGGATTACAGGCGTGACCTACCATGCCTGGCCAACTTCTACAACTTAATGAAGCGACCAACAATCTGATGAAATATGGGCAAGATAATTGAACAGCTAACTCACAAAGGAAGATATACCTGTGGCCAGTAAGTACATCATTAGGAGTCATCAGATAAATGACAACGAAAACTGCAAAGAGATATACTATACGCCCATCAAAATGGCTCAATTAAAGTCTGACACCACCAAATGTTGCTAAGGAAGGGAGATAATAGAACTCTCATACATTGTTGGTGACAGTATAAATTACATGATCACTTTGGAAAAAGATCTGGCAGTTTCTAAATAGACCACCTATCCCATGACCCAACAGTTCCACTCCTTGGCATTTACTCCCCCAAATTGAAGATTTTGTTCTCAAAGACTTGTACAAGACTGTTCACAGCAGCTTTATTCATAATGGCCCCAAACTGGAAATAGCCTAGGTGTTCATCAGTTGAATAAATAAGCAGCAGTAGAGCCATACTCAGAAATAGAGAGGAAGGAAGTACTGATACCTACAAAACATTGATGAATCTCAAAAACGTTATGTAGGCTGGGCACTGTGGCTCACGCCTGTCATCCCAGCACTTTGGGAGGCTGATGTGGGAGGACTGCTCAAGGCCAGGAGTTCGAGGCTGCAGTGAGCTATGATCATGCCACTGCACTCCAGCCTGGGCAACAGAGTGAGACTGTCTGTAAACAAAAAAAAAAAAAAAGAAAGAAAGAAAGAAAGAAAAGATAAATTGAGGAATGGAAGGATATGTAATAAAGCAAATACAGTCACATGTCACTTAATGATGGGGATACTTTCTGAGAAATGTGTCATTAGGTGATTTAAAAAAATTTAATATTCCCAAACGTGGATAGAAGGATTTTTATTTTATTATTTTTAGAGAGAGGATCTCACTCTGTCCCCAGGCTGGAGTGCAGTGGTGTGATCATAGCTCACTGCAGACTTGAACTCAGTCCTCCTGCATTGGCCTCCCAAAACACTGGGATCACAGGTGTAAGCCACCATGCCCAGCCTGCAATGTTACCATTGTATGAACATCATAGTGTCCTTACCCAAACCTAGATAGTATAGCCTATTGCTCCTGGGCTACAAACCTTTACAACATGTTACTGTATGGAATACTGTAGGCAACTGTAACCCAATGGTATTTGTGTATCTAAACATAGAAAAACTATAATAAAAATACAGTATAAAAAATAAAAATGATACATTTGTGTAGAGCACTTACCGTGAATGGAGCTTGCAGGGCTGGAAGGCGTTCTGGTGAGTGATAGAGAGTGAATGTGAAGGCCTGGGACTCACGGTTACCCTGAATTTTAAAAAAATTTTCCTTTCAAGAAGAAAATGACCTTAGCTTACTGTAACTTCTTTACTTAATAAACTTCTAAATTTTTTTCAACTATTTGACCCCTTTGTAAAAACACTTAGCTTAAAACACAGATACACTGGAGCTGATAGGAATTTCCCAGCTCTAAGATCATCTAGTGGGACCTCCATTGTTGACGGCAAGGCATGACTGTATAACAAAATGGTAATGATGACCTAGGTGGTGTATGCTTGAAAATCTTCATAATAAAATCTCAAGGGGAAAACTGGAGAAATACACAGTTATGAAAATGGACAGAGCCACAGCGCTTGGTCTCCAGCCCAGCTCCAAAATCAAAGGACTACAGAACTATCTGCAGGGAAACACGGAAGTTCCCACTCTGACGCCTGCCTCCAGATCTGGCTACCATATTCAAGAAGCCCCCAGACCATAGCCTTGTTGTCATAATATGCCCCTGGGCCTCGGTATCAAAAGGCCAGAAGTACCATCCTAGGATTTTATGCCCAAAAGATATGTCAAGAAAGCCCGGTGTGTGTGTGTGGAGGAGGAAGTGGGTTAGCCCAGCTCACCTGTTTTGTTTTTGACAGGGTCTTGCTCTGACACCCAGGCTGGAAGCACAGTGGTGCAATCACAGTTCACTGCAGCTTCAACCTCCTAGGCTCAAGCAATCCTCCTGCTTCAGCCTCCTGAGTAGCTGGGACAACAGACGAACACCACCACACCCGGCCAATTTTTAAATTTTCTGTAGAGACAGGGTTTTGTCATGTTGCCCAGGCTGGTCTTGAACTCCTGGCTCAAGGGATCCACCTGCCTCCACCTCCCAAAGTGGCAGGATTGCAGGCGTGAGCCACAGCTCACTTGTTTTAAGTCATTTGATGCAGCAGAGAAAATAAAGTTCTGGGCATGTATGAAAGCTCCTCTGGGTGTTTCATTCTAAGCCACATTCCAGTGACTATGTCTGCTCCCACTGATAGAAGCAAATGCAGTAAGGGTTTCAGATCAAAACCATGACTTTTAAATATAACTACAATTTACTATGTACTTGCGCGTCCTGGGCATTGTATGTAATTTCATTTAATCCTCACAACTACCCTGTGAAGTTGTTTATTTTCCTTTTATTTTTGAGACAGATTCTTGCTCTGTTGCCCAGGCTGGAGTGCAGCAGCACAATCTCAGCTCACTGCAACCTCCACCTCCCAGGTTCAAGCGATTCTCCTGTGGTCCTGAGTAGCTGGGACCACAGGCATGCGCCACCATGCCCGGCTAATTTTTGTATTTTTTGTAGAGATGGGACCT
Source organism: Homo sapiens (assembly GCF_000001405.40). Lineage (NCBI taxonomy): Eukaryota > Metazoa > Chordata > Mammalia > Primates > Hominidae > Homo > Homo sapiens. Next base: position 23,388,137 of record NC_000015.10, on the reverse strand, counting down.
CCCTATGTTGCCCAGGCTGGTCTCGAACTCCTGGGTTCATGTGATCCTCCTGTCTTGGCCTCCCGATGTGTTGGGATTATAGACCTGAGACACTGTGCTGGGCCCCCTCTTTTTCTTTCAAAAAGAAGGGTCAGACTCTCCTCATTTCTCCCTGTGAGTGCTGCTGACTCGGCAGTCTGGCAGCCCTCTCTACACACTCCTGCATACACCCTCCTTTACTGTCTGTCTCCATCCCACCTTCACACTTTCCACTGAGCCGTGGGTGCTGACTACAGGAGGGGTGGGCAGTCCTTCCAGCCAAGCCTGGGTTTCTAACTTTGTGGCTACAAAACTCCAGAAGTTAACATGCTTAAAAAAAGAGAAGTTGTTTTTTTTTTAAACATGCTTAAAGAGAAGTTAACATGCTTAACAAAAAAAAAAAAGAAATTTTTTTTCTTTCTTTTTCTTTTTCTTTTTTTTTTAAAGAGACAGGGTCTCACTGTGTTGTCCATGCTGGTCTTGAACTTCTGGGCTCAAGTGATCCTCCCATCTCAGCTTACAGGTGTGACAGAGGCTCTTGATTGGGGAAATTGTCTTACAAATCGGAATCTGCATAACGTCCTGGGATTCCAGCGTGAGTGCTAAGGGTCCTCATTCCTCCCACCCTCCTACAAGGCCACTTAACACCAGGGCTCAGCTCTGCACTGAGGAGCTGACCCATCGTGGCAGGTACAGCAGTTAGGGGTAAAAAGAAAAAGAAAAAAATCCATGAACATCAGCCTTAGTGGCTTAGCAGATTTTTTAAGAGTGTGAAATTTATCTGTGTATTACTAGAGAGTGAAAACATCATTCACTTATTTAAAAAAAGAGAGGAGAAAACCAGAGTCCTATGAAAATGTCTTTAATTTTCATCTTTTGGAAATACATTTTTCATTTTTATTTCCACCATACAAAAATGTGAAATATCTAACAATGATCTATCTGAAGCGGGTGGAGTGAAGCGGCGCCATGAGTGTTTGTCGTTGCTGTGATCTGTTTCAACAGAGAATGGGCTGGGACATGTAGATTTGCACGATTTCACACACACACACACACACACAAACACACATACACACACACGCTGCCGTACCCCGAGACCGCCATCCAAACAGACTCTGGAAAGTGAACACAGCGCCACGCATAAGAACAGAAGTTAACCTTTTTACTCGTACATCCCCCATCAGAAACTCACGTCTTAGGAGAAAGGAACTCTACATAAATATGCCCAAAGGCCAGGGCATACGGCAAGCCCCCTCATGGGTGGGCGTGAGTGGACACCTTCCTGATGGAAGGACAAGCGTAAGAGCGTCATGTTTTCAGGCAGCTATGGTGGGAAGCAGGGAGGCACAACTGATTTCTCTCCACTGGGAGACTAACCGAGGGCTGCAACCGCCTCAAAATCTCAGCGCGAGAAGATGCACAGGCAGGAGAGTACACCCCCAATTCATGATCACGGCAGCCGGAACGTCAGCTCTTTTTGCAGATTTCACAGCCGACACTCCCCATCAGGCAGGTTCTTAAGCACAGTGGGTCATGACAGGAAAGGCCTCACACGAGCAACATGGAATTCACTGGTTAAGCACGTACACATTCATGACAGCCTACAACCCTGATGAGTGTCAACATCAACAGGCAGTTAGATTAAAAAGGGAAAAAAACACAGCCACAAAAATAAAACCTGTCTTTTCTTCCCCCCAGGAGACAACTTGGTTTCCAACCCCTCCCATACCACATTTGATTAAGTTAAATACAGTATGGCTTCCAAATGTGCCACCCGGCTCTTGCTCACAGAGACAGCACCAGCGGTTTGCTGCCCTCAGGTCTTGGTTACCATGTGTCGGGAACTTCAAAGAGCGTGGCAGGACTGTTCGTCCAGATGCTTCCTGGTGGGAAAGAATGAAACAATATGAACAGCAGGACGGCACCTTGAGGAGAGCATGACATGACCAGCAGAGAGACAGAGGGCCTGTGATGGCTGCAGACGGGGCCAGCGTCTGGCTAAACAGCTGTACTGGAAACAGTCCACAGACAGGTCTTGTCTAGGGAGGGCAGTGCCCAGCATGGGAAGGTGAAACCACAGAAACATCACGGGGGGGCGGAGGAAGCACCTCCCTGCCTCCAGCATCTATTTATTTCACAGGAGTTAAACTGTAGCCATGCACGGTATTCCTCACTGAGCACCATGCTGGATTCTTTGCTGGCAATACAGTGGGCATTTAACTCATATAATCTTCATTAAAAGCCCACCGAGGTGGTAACACTACCCCATTTTACAGATGCAAGAACAGATTGCGAGAAGTGGGGTAATATGACCAGATGCACAGAGCTAGCAAGTGGCTGAGATGGGGTTTGAATCCTCCCACAGCACCAAGATCCCTGCCAAAGTCCCCGGAAACTGAGTTTCTCTGTGCTGTGCTGTGGCTCTGCCCAGGTGAGAAATCTCAGGTGGGCAGCTGTAGGGCAGAGGGAAGCCAACCAGTGGGGGTTCCAATATCTCAACAGGGGCAAAAGAAGGTTGCAGCTTTTTCCAGCTTTGGCGAAGCTGGCTGGGTTCCTCTTCTTGGATTGAAAAGATCTCTTCAGTGACAAAGTTTCACCCCAGTGTCAGAAGCCCTTCATTTTTATTCATTCCACTTTCTACAATAGAAGCAGCCGCGGCCAGCAACTGAGCCGGGACTGGACTTCAATGAATGTGAGGGAAGTCAGGAAAGAGCATGTTCATAATGGAAAGTGTGGCCCGACCAGGCATCAGCTGCACAAGTGGTGCCATGCATTAAGTCATAAAGTAGGGCTGGCGGGGAAGACTGGCAGTCTCTCTTCTAGCTGCTAACACCAAGATTTTAGAAAGGGAGAGTAGTCTTTGATGATACCTCCAATGGCAAATAACTTTTAAATATGGAGGGGGTGCAGTGTCTTACAAACTAGGGAATCAGAGTGGTTATCATCAGTAACAGGGATGCCTAAAGATAACGAGGTCTAAACACAAGAAAAAAACATGAAGAGAATTTCAGCTAACATGAGAATTTCCACTTCTGATCATTTACTGTGATAAGATCCAAGGAGTTAGGATGAGGAGACCGGGAAAGGGTAACCGGAATCTTTCTGCCCTGGGTCTCATCGCTCTGAACAGACACGTTCTGGGACTCCCAGTAAAGATGGTGAGACCACTCCGGAGTAGTGAAGATGGGCAGGAGATGATCCACTGAAAAGGACTCAAGGGGTCCAGTGAAGTACTGCAAGAGGCCTGTGATAACCTGCAGCTAGCCTGGCCTTCCCAGTCACACACTGATACAATAAACACCTAACTGGATGAAAAGAAACATCCATTAAGGCCACTTTTATAATTCACATATGAAAGAAATATTGCAGTAGCCAATTAGCCATTCTAAAGGTAAAAGCTACAATGCCAAATGTGGGAAACTAAAGTAAATTAAATCCAGCTCAGAAGAAAAAGGAAGATAAATTGCTAAAAGCAACTGCACTGCAATACTTGTCATCTGCACCTGCCAATCTGCACCTGCCATTAGTTGGTGTGTGTGTGTGAGTGCACAGTGAGCCATCAGACACACAGGAAGTGGTTCCATGAAGAGCTAACAGGAAATAATGGCATAAGCAAAAAGTTCTGGAGTAAGGCAAGTCAAGTTGAACCATTTTACTAGCTGGATGACCTTGAACAGATCTCACTGCTTCATCTAAGATGGACCTAGTACTATTTTATGCTATATAGGACTTCTGTGACACAGCAAAGTTGCTGGGTAAGTTTTTAATGAATGCTAGGTCTCTTCCCCTTATCAATAAGCTGACCCAACATGGAACATGGCTGTTCCCCAGGAAGCCAACAGTCTATAATCAAAAAGATGCTAGTTTTCACTGTCTACCTGTGCAGCTGCTGAGCGAGAATGATGTGTACAGAGGGGCCAGAATCGTAGAAGCCATCTACAGGAGACCCAGACCAGAGGGGAAATGAAGGCCACTAACAGTGTTCTTTCCAGCATCTTCCAGAAAAGGAGAGCTGTAGATCAACAAAGGGCCAGTCTCAAAACGGGCGGATAAGAAGGTATGGTTTTTAAAAAGCAGCAGCTACGGTCAGCTTTCCACATAACTCATTTTCACAGCCCTGTTTTACTGGAGTGTAAGGAATCATTTAGGAACAACTTTTCTTTTTAAACAGACACTTGGCTGTGTGTGGTGGCTCATGCCTGTAATCCAGTACTTTAGGAGGCTGATAAGGGAAGGCTTGAGCCCAGGAGTTTGAGACCAGCCTGGGCAACACAGGGAGACCCTGCCTCTACAAAAAATTTAAAAATTTGTCAGGTGTGGTGGCACACACCTGTGGTCCCAGCTACCTAGGAGGCTGAGGCGGGAGGATCACTTGAGCCCAGGATATCAAGGCTGCAGTGAGCTGTGATAGTGCTACTGCATTCCAGCCTGGGTGGGTGACAGAGTGAAACTGTCTCAAAAAAAAAAAAGAGGGAGGGAGGGAAGGAAGGAGGGAGGGAAGGAAAGAAGAGAGGGAGGGAGGGAGGGAGATACTTAAGAACATCTGCCGCTTGCTACAGTGGACCTTAATCCATAGCTTGCATTATATACAAAGATTAACTTGAACTGTACATTTTAATTGTAAAACCTAAAACTGTAAAACTTCTGGAAGAAAACATAGAAGAAAATATTTGCAACTTAGAGTTACGCAAAGATTTTTTAGATATGACACCAAAGGTAAAATCCAAGGGGAAAAATCTGATAAACTGGACTTCATCAAAATTTAAAACTTCCACTCTTCAAAAGACACTGTTAAAATAATGAAAAGAGGCTGGCTGCAGTGGCTCACGCCTGTAATCCCAGCACTTTGGGAGGCTGAGGCCAGTGGATCACGAGGTCAGGTGTTCGAGACCAGCCTGGCCAACATGGTGAAACCCCATCTCTACTAAAAAAGTACAAAAATAAGCTGGGCATGGTGGCAGGCGCCTGTAATCCCAGCTACTCAGGAGGCTGAGGCAGGAGAATCGCTTGAACCCGGGAGGCGGAGGTTGCAGTGAGCCGAGATCGTGCCACTACACTCCAGCCTGGGCGACAGAGCAAGACTCTGTCTCAAAAACAACAACAACAACAACAAACCACCACCACCACCAACAACAAAATGAAAAGAAAAACCAATCTAGAAGAATATATTTGTAAAATGCTTAAAAGGACTTGTATCCAGAATCTATAAAGAACTCTCAAAATGCAGTCAGAAAATAAACAACCCTGGACAAAAGGGAAAAAATGAAAAGATATTTCGCCAAATAAGAAATCCGGATGGCAAAAAATCACAGGAAAAGATGCTTATTAGTCATTAGGGAAATAAAAACCAAAGCCACAATGAGATACCACTACATACCCATTAGAACTGCTGAACAAACAAGCAAAAGGGGTGTGTATCAATATCAAGTATTGGTGAAGGTGCAGAGTGAGCTGAAGCCTTGTATACTGCTGGGGGGAATCCAAAATGGTGATGCCACTTTGGAAAAGAGTGTATCAATTTCTTATGAAGTTAAATATACAGTTACCATATAACCCAGCAATCCCACTCCTGGATATTTACCCAAAGAAAATGAAAACTTAATTCATACAAAAACCTGTAAACAAATATTTATAGCAGCTTGATTCTTGATTGCCAAAAACTGGCAACAACCTAAATGTCCTTCCCCTGGGTGATGGATAAATAGTGATACCTGCATACAGTGGAATACCACTTAGCAGTAAAACGGAGTGAACTGAGGATACACGCACCACCACAAATCGCAAATGCATCATGCTAAATGAAAGAAGTTAAATGGAAGGCTCAAAAGGCTAACTATCACATGATTCCAGGTATATGACATTCTGGAAAAGACAAAATCGCAGGGACAGAAAGAAGACCAATGGCTGCTGGGATCTGTGTGGGGGTTGGGGGAAGGATCAACTCCAAAGGGGCATGAGGGAAATTTCTGGAGTGATGGAGTTCTATATCTTGATCATAGTGGTGGTTATATGACTGTACACAGATGTCAAAACTTATCAAATTGCATACCTGAAAGTGATGACCTTCATTGGGTACAATTATATCTTATTGAAGCTGACCTGGCAAAAGATATTAAAAACAATGTTTTAAAAGAAAACCAACAAAATTTTAATATGAAATACTATGCTTATGGTTAAGATTATTTGGCCAAGAGTTTCTAAAAGGGGAAAAGGCAGGATACAAGCTGCATACAGGGTATGAGGTTGGCCGCAGAGCAAGAATGCTTGTTACCACAGCATCGAGTGGGGGGCTGGGGGCTTAATTGTCTTCTACTTTTCTGCATTTTCCAAATTCTCATGCTGAATATGTTATTTTTATTAACCGAAACAACAAAAAATTAAAAGATGGGGAACACAAAAGGTGAATATTTCTACTTTTCTCCCCTTTACCTAACTGGAGTTTAAATGGAGAAACTTCAAGGGGTAAGGCATTGCTTTTTCCAGGTGAATCCCAAATGGAATCTAAGAAGCTGCACAGGACACTGGAAGCTTCCCATTGTATCCTTTTCCACAGAGTGGACATCTGTACACAGGAAGGTCCCTTGGGAAGCTGCACACAAGTTTCTAACTACGAAACGCTCAAGGGGGTATGCCCTGGGGCCAGTTTCCCACACTAAGAAGGTGAGCCCCCTCCCTGCAAGGCTGATGACATCCTGGAGTTGCCAGGAGGAACAGGCAGGGCACAAATGCGCACTGAGTGCTCTGCCTCTGCCTCACTGCACAGCAGCCCACACCTCCTTCGCCACGTTCACTGCAAACCACACTTGAACCTAGTAATTAAAAGGCTCCTTGGGAGGTCGCTGGGCTGCCTCAGCCTGGTCTCTCAGGTGACCGACAGCAGCAGCTGTAGATCTTGTTTCTGACTTTAAGGAGACCAGTAACAGCATGAGGAGACTGCTGCTCTAAGTAGGTTCTAAATTTTTATACTGTAACCCTCAGGGTTTCAGCTTGAAAAGTTCAGCAGGTTAGTCAAGACTCCAGTAAAACTCCAGGTTCTTTGGCAAACACTTAAAAGGCCTAACGTGTTGTTTTAAATGTTAGGGGAAAAAAGACTTTGAACAATGTCTCTATTTACAGGACAAAAAATAACCAGGAATAGTCAATGTATCTCCTTTGGGCATGCCTCTGTAAACACCGTGTAACCAAGGTGCTGACCTGCTGCTAGGGACCAGCCAGCAGTATTTTCAGAATGGTCAGCCCGGGCAGCATCATACCATCCATGCAGCCCTGAGATTCTCCAGAGAAGTGACGGGGTGGGCAGCATTTCTCCAGGCCCCAGGAACACATCAACAAGAACAAGTATGTGACAGAAATCCTTCAATTAAACATGACCTGGGAAAACAGCCACACTTCCTAAACACATTTTATTCCAGCATTAATGGCATGCAGAATAGTTTTCCTTTGCGTACCAACCGAGTATGTACCTAGAACTGCTCAGATGGAAAGTGGCTGGCACTACCAATCAACACAGTCATATCAACAGAAAAGGAGGGGACTTACGCTGTACATTCACCTCCTGAAAATAGGATCGAAACAACCACACTTAAGAGAAAAATATTTGCTGAGTACATAGTGTATACATAAACTAGAAGCCCTGAAGGAGAGTGGTTACTTGGCTTTCCCTCCCTCCCTCCCTCCTCTCTCTTTCTTTGTTTATTTCTTGAGACGGAGTCTTGGAGTCTTGCTCTGTCACCCAGGCTGGAGTGCAGTGGCGCCATCTGGGCTTACTGCAACCCCAGCCTCCCGGGCTCAAGCGAGTCTCCTGCCTCAGCCTCCCAAGTAGCTGGGAGCACCACCATTCCCAGCTAATTTTTGTATTTTTAGTAGAGACAGGGTTTCGCCATGTTGGCCAGGCTGGTCTCGAACTCCTGACCCAAGGTGGTGGAATAACAGGCGTGAGCCACCATGCCCAGCCCGCTTGGATTTCTATCGAATGACTTTATCACATGAAAGTCTAGATTGGTAATTGTTTCTGATCTAGAACAGCTGCAAGAAACACTCACCTGTGTAATGAATCCTTCATTTCCTCTAAAGTCTGGATGAGTTTCCCATCCTCCCACATGTCAGTTAGATACTTTTAAGTCTGCAACTCTAAGCCTCAGTTTCCTCTGTACAACTGGGAAAGAGTATCTGCATCTTACTGCATGTTTAAAAGGTCTAGACAAGACAATAAAGGATGTTCCTAGCACGCTGTCTAATAGTATAAACCCAATAAATAGTCCTTTCTTCCACTATTTATGTCACTTTTTGTTATCTGGGATTGGGTCTAGTACTTAATTCTTAGTGTATCTTCGATATCAAAATGTATACTATGAGTTCACATGCTTGGGTCAAGAAAAAAATTAAAAGAAAAAGAACAGATACAAAGAGATCACATTTTTATTTTTTCAGACGGAGTTTCGCTCTTGTAACCCAGGCTGTAGTGCAATGGCATGATCTCAGCTTACTGCAACCTCCGCCTCCCTGGTTCAAGTGATTCTCCTGCCTCAGCCTCCCGAGTAGCTGGGATTACAGGTGTGCACCACCATGCCAGGCTAATTTTTGCATTTTTAGTAGAGACGGGGTTTTGCCATGTTGGCCAGGCTGGTCTTGGACTCTTGACCTCAGGTAATCTGCCCGCCTCGCCCTCCAGAAGTGCTGGGATTATAGGCGTGAGCCACTGTAGCCGGCGAGATTAAATTTTTAAAAATTTGTTTTGTGTGGTATTTGCTGAGCACCAGTTGTTCTGGGATTGCTACAACACAGGATATTCCAGCATCCTAATTTTTGCTACTTCCTCCTTGGAGAACAGAAAATACCCACAGGTAGTGCCCTGTCTTTTATATCTTTCATGCCCTCACTGCCAATGCTGAGCCCCCAAGCCCCCGAGGATCTGTTGAGTACCGGCTGAGGTGCTTTTCTGAGTACCGGAGCTCAGACCCCATGCCTCAGCACCGTTTTGGGTTGGACAGACTTTGTCGCGCCGTACCTAGCGCTCTAACACAGTTCCCGCCACCACCCGAACCAGACCCTCGCGGCTCCTGGCACACTCTAAATACTTCTGAGAGTTTAATGCAGACCCTCAACAGGGCTTGAACTTTGTACTCTCACTCATTATGGGACCTTATTAAAGTAAACGAGCAAGCCAAATTGGCTGATTCCACAGGTTCTGCACCTGATACCCTGACTTACATCCTGCTGATACTAATAGGATTAAACACTGAAAACAAACCAGGTGGAAAGGATCCATTAAGTTTCCACCTGGCACCGTCAGGGGTCTTGCTCGATGAATGGTGCTTCAGAAGAAAGCTCGATTCACTCAAGTTCTCTGATTGAATTAAAAGTTGTCAAGATGTCTCTTTCTCTCTCTCTCTCTTTTTTTTTTTTTTGGCAGCGCTGACAAAGAAGTACAAAATCTACGATTTTCTTTTAGCTCAAATCTTGTGGCAGTGACAGCTTTACTGTCAGTGGGAGGAAAAAACCCTTATTTTAATTACAGTATTATAAATTCAAAACCCTAAATAACTTATAGAAAGTTTTCACTTAAAACGATGAAAGCTGTACAAGGAACTAATCTATTAATGCAGTCTATTATTAGTTATTTTAATTTTAATATTTTTCAGATTATGCTGATCTAGAGGAGAAAAACGAAAAGCTTGTCCCTGAAAAGTAATAAACTAAAAAATCCAGAAGAGACAGATATGAAGGACAGGAATACAAGTGGGGAAACCCCCCTGCCCCTCTAAATCCTGCTCAGTACGATCTCTAGAAATCATGCTGAGATTCATTATTTTAACATTTGTTGAGCACATGAAACATGACAGTGGTAATAAAGGTATGAAATTTGAAGACTAAGGATGCTACAGATTAAAAACTTCTCCAATACTTTTTCTTTCTTTTTTTTCTTAAGACAAGGTCTTGCTGTGTCCCCCACGTTGGAGTGCAGTGATGGGATCATAGCTCACTGCAGTCAAAACTCCAGGGTTCAAGCGATCCTCCCGATTCAGCCTCCTAAGTACCTGGGACTACAGGCCCGTGCAGCTAATATTTAAAAAAAAATTTTTTTTTTTTTGGTAGAGAAAAGGTTTCACTATATTGCCCAGGCTGGTCTTAAACTCCTGGGCTCAAGCCATCCTCCTGCTTCAGCTTCCCAGAGTGGTGGTACTATAATTGTGAGCTACCATGCCTGGCCCCCTCCAATAGTTAATTCAGGGAAGGGAGAGGAGGCCCTACTTTTTTTGATATGATGTAGATGCAGGCAGAAATATCTAAATAGGGTTATAATCACCCCAAATCTTTTTTTCAACTATCATAAATTACCACAAAAATTTCGTTCCATGTGAAAAAAGATTACCTAATGAATGAATAAGTAACTTGGAACTTTAAGAAAATGGACACTCATTCACACACGTAAATAGAGGAGGTGCATTGCAGTAGAAGAATTTCTTTTCTAGATTAATGGTTGTAAATGTTCCCAATCAAATATTAGTAATAAGGCAACATTGTCTTTGAAAATAATTTGAGAAATGACAATAATTTTGTTTCTGCTACTAATTTTTACCTCTGATTGCTAAATGATCTAACAACTACCCACTGTTCTCTTTGTGTTTGTTTTCTAGTGTAAATTTGGTAGACTTAATTATGGGTGATAATAGTAGCATTTTTGAGGGATGACAACCTTGTGCATTTCAATGCATAATTATGAAAGCACTCTTCACAAATGAATTGATCACCTGCACAAAATAGGCATGGGCGTAAACGCAGGTCAATCAAATGGAAGATCAATCATGTTAAGCAATATTTTCCAATAGTTCTTTTGAGAAATATTCAGAGAAACAACAAGGAAAGTAAGTTTTAAATAATATTGGAGATGCTATATTTTAAAACATACTAAGTACATTTTTTGTTTGTTTTTAACTGCAAGGTTTCTTAATGCAATGAACAGACCAATGTGCAATGAATTTCTTGGAGGCAACTATATAGTTCACTGTTGAATGTATTTGGCAATGAGACATTTTTGCAGTTATCTTGTGGAACTAGGATAATGTGGGATGGACTCAGAAAATCTGAATTTAAGAGTATACAGCTCTGATGAACCACATTATTTATAACTTCTAGCTGGTTTAAGATCTGTCTTTCTAGGGGAAAAATGAATTTTAGATGATTTGTACACTGCATGTAGAATGGCCCATTGTAAAAGTTTAAAAACCTTCCGTTATCCTCTTTTTCCCAAAAGCATATCTAGTTCTTTTGCCTTGAGAATGAATAATGGTTTTTCATCACTTCAAACATGATTGAATAACCTACGAAGACCCAAATACAGTGGAAAAGACAGAAGAGAGTCCCAATTCATTGGTTATTGATTATAGCTCTGCTGATTTTGTGCCATCCCATCTTGGTCATTTTTACGGGTTCTAACATATTCCATCTGTTGAGCACCTATCTCTCTGTGTCTTTGAACTGACACTGAACACGTGGACTCTAATTAGTTCTTTTACAGTTTCCTGGAGTATGCTCTTAACTGTTTATTTGAAATCTCATGGCCTCTTGACAGCTCTTTGCTATCTACGTTGTTACACATAATTCAAAGATAGAGAAAACACAGTGAACATTTAGATCAACTAACTCACACTACAAAAGAGGAAATACAACATATTACTTCTTATCTACTCCTGCCCATGTGACTTTGCAATGTAATAATGATGCTTTGAAACCTCACTGATTTCTACAGAGTCTCCAGACCTAAATTCTCCAAAGTGATACCTTCAAACTACTGCTTAGGACATGGCCTGTCCCTGGAGGAGAGTGAGGTGCCCCCCCAGTCCCCACCACTCACATAGAAATGTTTATGGGAATAGGACTAAGCTAAAAATTTCATGAGGCAATAAACTATTTCTGAGCCATGCTAGCATTGTTTCACATCTCTGTATTCCAAGAGTTAGCTTTGCAGCTGTTGCCTAACACAGAGAAAGCCCTCAGTATCTTTGTGTTAGAGGAATAATCAGAAATATAGATAAATAAATTGAAAGCAATGGCTAGAGTAAATTATATAATCAGAGCCAATTGTCAATAATACAAACTGTATAGCTTGAAGGACATGGTCTAAAATTTATTTTTTAAGGTAGAAAAAACATTATCTTCTTTACTATATTTCCAAAAAGCATGATTAAGCCCTCATCAATTTCTGTACCTGTGAATGTGCTTTGGCGTTATACTTACACAGCATCAGATACTTTATACTCTGGATAATTAGCGGACAGTTTTGCAGCTTTGATTTGATATTATACCATCAGTATTCAAGTTACTTTAACCACTACCGAAATATTTTAAATCCACTGCCATTTAATCATAGTAATTATCCTGTCTGCAGAAGTTTCCAGTGACAGAGAACTACCCTGTGTTTGACAACCAATGATGAATATTTTTTTTTTTGACACTAAGTTTGGCTAACAAGTAAATGAGGATTCTTCACATTTCTTTGCTTTGCCTTGCCAAGTGTAAAAACTGTAAGTCCTCTAGCTGACATTTGACTTGGTGAAACTATAATTGTCTCATTGGTTGTGGCTCTGTTAGAGAAAAAAAAATTATTATATATATATAATCAACTGTGAGCTCAGATGAATTTCTCAGCTATATTGCTTACTTTTGTTGGTCACAGAATTAACAGGAAAATTTATTTTTCTCTTTAATCTCCCTTAGAATATAATAATTGAATTCATTTCCCACCATAAAACTCTCATCTCCTGCTTTGCTTTTTTATAAAGAGAAACTTTAGCACAAAATACATATGGCCCAAAGACATGTTGAAACATATACTGAATATATCTACAAAATTTTAAATACATTGTTACACTGGGAGAATCAGGCTAAACTAGCATTTAATATGTCACTATGATGGTATATTAGTTGCTGTTTTTTTCTTCAACATAAAGCATGCAATTTAGGATTATATGTTAATTGAAAAGTTAAAAAATGAATATTACTGTATATTAGAACCTGGTGTGTTTGTATGATTTAGTAGGTCATATGGGCATGCCAGGGTATAAACTAGGTGATATGTAAAGTGTCTTACAGCCATATAGGTACTTTTCAGGTCATGTAGAGGGAGCCCCACAACACCTTCTGCAAAAAAGAGTTTCCCATATGTTCATTTAATTTGCATAGATTTCACTATATGCCTTTCTGCCAAAAGGAAAGATAATGGGATATGGATGATGTAAATGATGATGGTTAAAGCCCCAGTTAAAGTATTAAGTATGGTCCAATTTTAAGCGTGATCTAATAATCCCCTATGAGGTACCTACTATTATCTCCATAAACAAAATAAATCTAGGTGCCTAAACAAATAAACTCAAGTCACAAAACATATTTTTCCTTAAATAGTAAAAAAAAAAATGCATGTTTCAATTAAATAACTATCTTTGTTTCTCGCTTCTATAATATGCTTCTCCCTGCACAGATCTCCCCCTTCGCCCTACATAATGCTTGAAAGGTAACTCTTGGTTCAGTACTCAATCCTTTAAATGTTAATCCGACTGGGCCGGTGCACCTAAATAATTAATAAATGTCCTCCTAAACCCCGTGAGTCTATCTAATTCCTTAAAAATTCCGCTACAGGATTGCAGGTGTGAGCCAGCGCGCCCCGCCTAATTTATTAATCAGAGAGGAACAGATCGGCCTGGCATGATGGCTCATGCTTGTGATTCAGGGACTTTGGATGGCAGAGCACTGGGGATCATTTGAGCCTAGGAGATCCAGACAGGCCTGGGCAACATGGTGAAACTCGGTCTCTCTTTTTTTTTTTTTTTTTTTTGAGGCGGAGTTTCACTCTTGTTGCCCAGGCTGGAGTGCAGTGGTGAGGTCTTGGCTCAACGGGCCTCCGCCTCCCGGGTTTGGGTGGTTCTCCTGTCACAGCCTCCCGAGTGGCTGGGATTGCACGCGTGAGCCACCATGCCCAGCTCATTTTGTTTTTTGTTTGTTTTTGTTGTTGGAGATGGGGTTTCTCCATGTTCATAAGGCTGGTGTCAAACTCCCGAGCTCAGATTATCTGCCCGCCTCGGCGTCTGGAGGTGCTGGGATTGCAGGCTTGAGCCAGCGCGCAAGGCCTAATTTATTAATCACAAAGGAATAGCGCGGGGGATCGCTTGAGCCTAGGAGTTCCAGACAGGCCTGGGCCACATGATGAAACCCGGTCTCGCTTTTTTGTTTTGTTTTTGTTTGTTTGTTTGAGGTGAAGTTTCACTCTTGTTGCCCAGGCTGGAGTGCAGTGGCGCGGTCTCAGCTCCCTGCGGCCTCCGCCTCCCGGGTTTGGGTGACTCCCCTGCCTCAGCCTCCCGAGTGGCTGAGATTGCAGGCATGAGCCACCATACCTGGCTAATTTTGTACTTTTTTTTTTTTTTTTTGCTACAGACGGGGGGTTTCTCCCTTCGTCAGGGTAGTCTCAAACTCCTGACCTCAGGTTACCCGCCCGCCTCGGCCTCCCGGGGTGCTGGCATTGCAGGCATGAGCCACCATGCCCAGCTTTTTATTTTTTTTCTTTTTCGGTAGAGACAGTTTTCTCCATGTTGGTCAGGCTGGTCTCAAACTCCCGACCTCAGGTGATCCGCTCGCCTCGGCCTCCCGGGGTGCTGGGATTGCAGGAGTGAGTCACCGCGCCAGGCCCAATTTATTAATCAGAAAAGAAGAGATTGGCCTGGCGTGGCGGCTCACGCTTGTGATCCCAGGACTTCGGATGGCCGAGCGCGGCGGATCGCTTGAGCCTAGGAGTTACACGCCGGCCTGGGCAACATGGTGAAACTCAGTCTCTCTACCTCTTTTTTTTTTTTTTTCTGAGAGGGAGTTTCACTCTTGTTGCCCAGGCTGGAGTGCAGTGGCAGGATCTCGGCCCCCCGCAGCCTCGACCACACGGGTTTGGGTGGTTCTTCTGCCTCAGCCTCCTGAGTGGCTGGGATTGCAGGCGTGAGCCACCAGGCCCGGCTACTTTTGTATTTTGTTTTTTTTTGGTAGAGATGGGGTTTTCTCCATGTTGCTCAGGCTGGCCTCAATCTGACCTCAGGCTTTCCGCCCGCCTCGGCCTCCCGGGGTGCTGGGATCGCAGGCGTGAGCCACCGCGCCCGGCCCAATTTTTAATCAGACAGGAATAGATCGGCCTGGCGTCATGGCTCACGCTTGTGATCCCAGGACTTTGGACGGCTGAGTGCTGCGAATCGCTTGATCCTAGGAGATCCAGACCAGCCTGGGCAACATGGTGAAACCTGTTTTTTGTTTTTTGTTTTTTGAGGCAGAGTTTCCCTCTTGTTGTCCAGGCTGGAGTACAGTGGCGTGGTCTCGGCTCCCCGGGCCTCCGCCTCCCAGGTTTGGGTGATTCTCCTGCTTCACCCTCCTGAGTGGCTGGGATTGCAGGCGTGAGCCACCATGCCCAGCTACTTTTTTATTTATTTATTTTGGTAGAGACGGGGTTTCTCCATGTTGGTCGGGCTGGTCTCCAGCTCCTCACCTCCGGTGATCCGCGGGCCTCGGCCTCCCGGTGTTTTGGGATTGCAGGCGTGAGTCACTGCGCCTGGCCGGAAACCCAGTCTCTTAACGGAAAAACACAACAAAACCCACAAAGATTAGCTGGGCCTGGTGGGCCCCGCGGGTAATCCCAGCTGCTCTGAAAACTGATGCAGGAGGATTGCTTGAGCCCGGGGGGAGGTGGCAGTGAGCCATCATGGCGCTGCTGCAGTCCAGACTGGGTGACAAAGTGGGACTCTGTCTCAGGAAAAGGGAAAAGAAAAAAGAAAGGAAAAGGAAGTACATAAAATTGCTAAATCAAGGAACAGCTTGACAGTATATTATTGAGAGAAATAGAGGCAAAGGTTAGCAGACACCAATGTTCTCTTAGTGGAACTGCAGGTGTCCCCAGACAGGAGGCTGCTACTTTTCCAAAAGAAGTCTATTATTGACCAAAACAAAAAAAAAGTTGGTTTGTTACAATATACAAATAGCTAAACTTTATATAGCCACCACCCTCTTCTAGCACTGCTCTAATGAAACAGCTACTATTTTTACCTCCGTTGTAGAGAAAACAGATGCCAGAGGTTGCTGTGGAAGGACCAGGGAAACGGACTATGAAATTGACTTGTTGTAAGTTTCGGACTTAAAGGTTCTTCCTGCTCTGCTCCTTAAATTGCCACATTTTAGTTAACATACCTCTTAAAATACTGGTCCTTTCTGTATTTGGAGGGACTCCTCTTGGAGTTGGAAGTTTTTTTTTTTACACTAAGCATTTGGTCGGAAGATCATCTGCGTTTTATGTCAGTTTAAGTTTAGACATTTTTCAAGTGGGAATGTAAATATGAGCAAACAGTTACCTGATTGAATTAGATAACCTAGAAAAAATCACTTATGAGAAAGTCAAGAAAATGTGAACTCTGGATTTGTGGCTATTTTCAGAATATTAATTTTTTTGGTATTTAATGGCATTGTGAATATATTTGTTTTTAAAAATTCCTTGTCTTCTACAGATACATATAAGGTAATTAAAAAATGATATGATGTATAGGTTTTACTTCAAAATAAGAGGAAGAAGGAATGTATACAAATGAAGTGGGAATATAAATCAAACAAAACTGGCTGTGGCCAGGTGTGGTGGCTTACACCTGTAATCCCAGCACTATGGGAGACCAAGGCAGGTGGATCACCTGAGGTCAGGAGTTCAAGACCAGCCTGACCAACGTGGTGAAACACCATCTCTACTAAAAATACAACAGTTAGCCGGATGTGGTGCTGGGTGCCTGTAATCTGAGCTACTTGGGAGGCTGAGGCAGGAGAGTCGCTTGAACCTGGGAGGCGGAAGTTGCAGTGAGGCAAGATCATGCCACTGCACTCCAGCCTGGGCAACCACAGCAAAATCCCACCTTTTAAAAAAAAAAAAACAAAAAAACAAAAACCAAAAAACTGTCCATACCATGAATGAAAAATTGTTGATGATGTGTATATGTAGGGCAATTACATTATTTTTCTCAACTTATTTTAGGTTTGGAACTTTTTATTGAACACATGCACACGTCACTTGATAACTGGGGCTGCTTCCCCATTATTCTTGTAGTAGCCCTTCTGATTTTCACTTCATCTTCAGTCTTAGAGATTCTGGATTTTTTTTGGTGTGGCAATTTCAAGTATGCCTTTGCAAGGAGTATCCAGCATGTCTACCTACTCAGCCGTATTATCAGAAACAGAAATATTTTCCAGATTCTGTTCTTGTCCTGTTGAGACTTTTTAAGTTCCAAGAACAGTCACCTTCTACCAGACTCTCTGTTGTTGGAAGACAAAGCATATTTTGTAAGTGGCATGATTTCTGGGCTCATATTTAGAACAGAGCCACAGCTTTCAACAACCCAAAAATAACTTACTGTGACTCACCAAATTTAGAAAGACGGAGATTATTAAAAAAAAGAAAACCTTAATTTACTATGTGACCTCTAAGTATCTGGGCTGAAAATTGTAAATGTAGAAAGGTAAATCAAAAGATACAGGGACTGTAATCATGCACTTAATGAAGCACTAAATCAAAATATTTTTGGCATACGTGAAAGAGTTTAATTTTATCACATTTTTTACTGGCACTATAGCTATTTGCAAGTACATATAAAACTACAGTGTTACATATAAACTACCAAAAAAGAACTTTTTAAGAAATGAGACTCATCTAGCAACTTTATTTAAAAGTTTATCTTCAGGGAATAATTAAGGATGGCCGTACAAAAGGATTTAGCCATGGCATGAGAATGTTCTCCCTGGCAAACCAACGGAAATTATTAAATGTGCAAAATGGAACTGTTGGAATAAATTGTAATGCCTTCATATGATTGTATATTTAACCTTTTAAAATGATATTGAAGAGTTGCATACATTGACTTAAACACACATTCGTAACACATCACTGAATAGGAGAAATATGGGCCAGCAAAGAACATAGAGTTGGTCCAATTTCTACCAAAAAAAGAAGACTCTAATAGCATGACAGCAGGGAAGGGGAACTATGTCAACGTATGTGTGTATATGTATGTATATGCATAGCAAGTATGAACTTGAAAAGATATATTTCAAATTGTTTACACAGATTACCTCAGAGAGGTAAATAACTTTGGACTTTGGTGTTCTGTATTCCACATGCTCTGAATTTTCTTTTTTTATTTAAATAGAGATGGGATCTTAGCCAGGAGCAGTGGCTCACCCCTGTAATCCCAGCACTTTGGGAGGCTGAGGAGGGCGGATTGTTTGAGGCAGGAGTTCAAGACCAATCTGGCCAACACGGCAAAACTCTGTCTCAACTAAAAATTCAAAAATTAGCCAGGGGCGCAGTGGCTCATGCCTGTAACCCCAGGCACTCGAGAGACTGAGGCATGAGAATTGCTTGAACCAGGAGGCAGAAGTTGCAGTGAGCCGAGATCACACCACGGCACTCCAGCCTGGGCAACAGACCAAGACTCTGTCAAAAAAACAAAACAAAATAAAACAAAACAACAACCACAACAACAAAACAGTAATAAAGAGAAAACCTAATGGACAGGGGCAATGTCTCATGCCTGTAATCCCAGTGCTTTGGGAGGCCAAGATGGGAGAATTGCTTGAGGCCAGGAGTTCAAGACCAGCATTGGCAACATAGTAAGACCTTTTCTCTACAAAAAAATTTAAAAATTAGCCAGGCATAGTAGTGCATGCTTATACTCCCAGTTACCTGGGAGGCTGAGGTGGGAGGATCACTTGAGCCTGAGAGTTGGAGGTTGCAGTAAGCTGTGATCATACCACCAGAGAGCCACGACCCCATCCCCGCCTCTTTCCTCTGTCCTGCGCTAGCAATAAATAAGTTTCCCAGCCACAAATAATTATTAGAACCTCCTCCCCATGTGCCAGCTCCAACCTCTGCTAGGTATGATACAGGGGCAGCCCTACCCTCTGGAATATACAAAATGTTACACAGACACAGTATGTACACCGGGGAAGGTGGGCCACCCCAGCAGCCCATGCCCTCGCTGGTCCACAGTTAGCCCCGCTTTCTGGCCTCAGCTACCTCTCTGAATAAGAAGATGGGAGCCCCCCTGAGGGAAACGTTGCCATGGTGAGAGTAAGGGGACCATCAGGCCTCCTCCAAACAAACCAACTCCACCAGCCTCTGGCTTTTAAGTAACAATCATCATCATCCAGAAATTTAGGGACTCAGCCCTGGTCAAGGTGGCAAATGGTCTGTTTGTCTTTCCCCATTAGACAGAGGTCTTGTCCTGCTACCCTAATTGTAAAGGGGTGCCTGGGAAGAGGTGGTAGGGACATGGTGGCGGTGGAGACTCCGGCCCCACTTCTCCAGGCTTTGCTGACAGGGGCCTGCTTTTAATTTTTATTTTTATTCCATGACTTTTTAAAAAAATCCCATAACTTCTTTTTCATAACTTTTTTTGTAACTTTTCATAAAACTTTTTTCTACTTTTTTCCCAGAAGTTTTTTTGCCACAACTTTTTTACATTTTTTATCCCATAACTTTTTCACCCCATAACCATTTTTAATAAAAAGTTATTTAATAAAATAACTTTTTATAAAACTTTAATAAAAGTTTTTTAATAAAAAAACCCATAACTTTTTTATTTTGTGTTTTTAATAAACACTTGCATAGTTGTATTACAATTTTGTAAAAATGAAACACATTATCTCATGTCAAGCATGCCCAGCATTTGCACAGTATCAATACCTTTAATACTATAGTTTTCAAGAAACACAAAATAAAATTTTAAGGCAAAAACAACACTTAGAAACAATTTAATGATTTATTACATTACAGTGGCATCACACCAGCAGTCAATAAGGCCACTCTAGGGAAAAATCTTTCAGTATTTCCATTACACATTCTGTTTACAAGAATTCACAAACTGGTAAAATTCATTCTAACAAAACTTGGCAAATAAAGCTTTGGACTGGAATTGGCATTTCTTTCTCTGCTTTTCCTTCCCACTGTTTCTTTCTTTTATACTATAGTATTCATATTTTAAAATGTTTTAACTTATTTCAGAACATTAAGATAGCAGTTACATTTTTAATAGTTATATTATTTTAAAATGACTCTAAGATAAAGTTTTAGAGAAACTATATTATGGATAGGGCTGATTTACATTTTCAAATTTTCTAAAATCAGCTTTCGTTTTAGAGCTGATTTTTTTTTCATTTCTGGAAAATTATCAGGTTTAATCAAATACTTTTAAAATGATTATTATATATTGCCATCTTTAAATAGGTGTTTTGATTCTTCCTACAGAAATTAAAATGTATTCAGTGGAACTCACATTTTAAAATTCTATGTTTCTGATGAACTCTAACATTCCAATGTTGCCTTCTAAGCAAACTGAAAGCTGCCTTATACCGAATGAGGAAGAGCACAAATACTCGGCTGAATGAGGTATCGCAAAAGACTGCATGCACTTTGGAGAAAGACTTAAGTTATTGTCATACAATTTCCATTCCTTTTAGCTTTTTCTTAAATATATGACAAATACCTACACAAAGAGTGGTATTTCAGTCAATATAGTAAATTTATTTTCCAGACTGACCTTCAGCTTAAATATGCCAGTGTGTGATTTAATCCATAGGCACCTCATGAACACATTATTGTCAGATTGGTTACAGATGCTAAACGCTATCCGAAGGTCATTCCTAGTCACTGATATTTATCAGGGTAAAAGTGAAGTGATTTCAACGATAAAAGTACCTTTGAAATAATTTATCAATGTATTAGATAAACCCAGTTTCAGAATGATAAAAGAAAAAACGTTAGACCAAATAATGTGGCTGATTAACAGTGGTCCGATTTCTAGCCCGAGGGTTTAAAATGCTCTTAAAGTAACCGTCTTTAAACTGAACTCAAAGAATGCAAAAGCGGCAAGTTCAGAAAATAAAAGGCGAGAACAGGACTTTAAGTGCATTTTAAACCCACGGGCTAGAAATCGTACCACTGTTAATTAGCCGCATTATTTGGTCTAACATTTTTTCTTTATCATTCTGAAACTGGGTTTATCTAATACATTGATACATTCATAAAATTTGGAAGAGTCAGTTGAAGTCACAAGGACCGAATATTTGCACTCTTTCAGTGAATGCCAGCAAATCTGTTATTCCATCGGTAAAATCGTATTGTTGCTCTCCTGTTAATGTCATATTTATAGAAGTATCATGAGGATGCCAAATGCTAAAAATGGAGATGATCTAGTAACTAGAAATCCCCACCGCAGGGAGCACACACACCTATCTCCCTGCATCCTAACAATGTGATGTGTTTTGGAACACAGACATTAGAACTTCATGAAGTTTTAACTGTTGAGTCTTTCCCAAGCATCATCAAGTTACGATTTAGGCAATACATAACTGAAATGCATTCATTCATCATGCATAGGCACAATCACATAAATATTGCACAAAATATGTCCCGAACAGAAACCCAGAGATACAAAAACATATTTCACTTTGTAAAGAAGTCTGTGAGAAAATATAACTCTGTGATTGTATAGGCACGTTTCCTGATAATACATTGACATTCACGAACAGTAGATTGCACTGCAGTTTGTACACATTTTAAGTTTCATAAACTTCTCCTTGATTTTCAAAGATAGTATAATACCGTCTACTAAAACTCCCTTTTGTTTCAACTAAGTATCTCACATATATTAGTTTATAATAATGTTTCTATTATTTTTTAAAGTGTTTTCCATTCAAGGAAAAAGAAGTAAATTCCTATGTCAGAGTAACCAAGGTGGTTGAAGAATAGGTATTAGCCAAAGAGGTCTAGATGGTAAAATCAATCTTCAAGCCTCAAAGAATCTCCGTGAACAGAGAGGAATGCCAGGTGTCACACAGCTTTCCTTCACTCTAATTCATTCTTGACTAGAGCCTGTATGCCTGTTCCAGGGACATTTGAACTCGTAAAGGATTTCTTATGATCTTTACTAAATACATTAAGAAGAATGCCAACCAGTGCCCTTTTGTGTACTGGGACATGTAGTCATGTGATTAAAACAGGTAACATGAACTCTGAGTTTAAAATGTATTGTAGATACAAATGCTCTAAGCTAGGAAAGGTTTTCCACATCCACAGTCAACGATGGGAACCTTTCATTCCTCAGAAATAAGCCCTTTTTAGGTCATTGAAAAAGAGTACAACTGCTGCAGCTCATGATGCAGTATCTTCATGAGCCCAGAGCACATACAAATCCTAAGGGAACCACCATAATACACTGCTAATTCCTGGCACCGGAACAGATGAAACACACTCTATCCTGGACATACCTGCCAGAGGAGGCCACTTTCCTCTTCTGTGAGATTTAAAAAGCTCCCTCAAAAGGTTTCACTCCCATCACCAATACACAGAAAATGGAGGAAAGGCTGTTTCCAGTTCTTGGCCTTTAAACAACTCTAAATGTCAGTACTCATAGTGGCATATTACAAAGTAATAAACAGTGCACGCTTGGGGGCAAACTACATATTGAGCTAACGAAGAGCTCACTGTGATTAAGATTAGATCAAACAACAGCAGAACATAGGCAAATTTTGTCTGAATTCTGTAGTGAATATACATGCTGCAATAACATTAAAAAAGCATGGCAGCCTATTCCAAACCAGCGAGAACAGTTTTGGGCAAAGAGTGGGTCTTTGTGTGTTTGAACCCCCACCACGTAAGGGCAAACTCGATATGCATGCTAATGACCTACAATTATGAAATTAAAAAAGAAAAATGCTAAAGGATGCCAGAGTGAACATCAGTGAGAGCCACAGACACCCACTCTCTTTTAACTTTTTACAAATAAACTTAAAACTATAAATTAGAAACACAAATAATCATGAGTGACTCTAACATTCAAAGGAAGTAAATGAATTGTGTAGGAGATTAACCCCATAACTTGGTTTCTTATTTAAAAATTTCTTGAGCAGCTCTTTGATGATGGTGATGTTTATCTCCTTCTTCTTGGCAGCCAAGCCCAGCAAAAGAATGGCACACAGCAGTTGTTGCCCAAGCCTGGGTGCTCCTGGTGGTCCTGCACGATCGGCTGTGCAGTAGGCTTGTCAAGGAGAGGATCCTCCCTGGCCTCTCCTTGGGCAGAGGAGGTGAGGCTCACCTCACAAAGATCTTTGGAGAGAGGGAGGCAGGGATCTGAGCACAGTGGGAGCCCCCTCTTCCTGCCTGCCCACCCCACCTGAGGGCTCTACTCACCACCATGCTTGTCTGCAGCCCCAAGCTCCTGGGGGGCTGGGGCTCCTGGACCGGGCTCATCAGCAGGGTTGTGGGCAGCGGCCAGGAATTTTCTGTGCCCATTGTTGTAGTTGCTGTAAGCCGCAATACCATCTGCTGCAGCTCCAGCAGCTTCATCTGGAGGGAGGGGTGCTCAGCTGCCATGCCGCTGCCTGCGCCCACCCTCACACCCACCCCCACCCCCACCCCCACAGAGATGTTGCACACCCTACCTTCATCTCCTCCCTGAGCTCCAGCCTGATGGTGTCCTCCTCCCAGTGCCGCATCTTTGGCACGGCCCCCTGGTTCTGATAAAAGGTGATGGATTTTCCTGCGGGAGGACAGGGCTCAGACGCTGGGGCCCCTCCGACGGCCCTGTAGCTCCCCCTGCTGTGCCCTGGCCTCCCACTCACTGATGGCATCTCTCTTGCCAGTATTGAATGAAGCGAAGTTCTTGTTTCTTCACCAGCTCACTCAGGTCTGCCTTCTCCTCCAGGTGGTCCATAAAGCTGCTCTGGAGCCAAAATATTGTAGTCACATCTCGGCAGCGACCTGCCCTCAGGTGGCATTTTCAAGTCATGGAGAAGGTGGAGGTGAGTCCTGGCATGGGCCAGCTTCTCCGTGACTTCCTGCAGGGCCCAGTGGGTCTCCCCACTCACAGACTCGCCCCCAGGCCCTGGGGCTCCAGGGCCTCTGGCTGCCTCTGGCTCCTTCTGGGCCGAGGCCACCAGGTGAGCCAGGCGCTGGCAGCCACCCTCTGCTCTTTCACCTGCTCTTGTAACTGTGCCTGCTTCTCCTGGGCACTAGCTCCAGCGGACTTGAAAAATGCCACCTGAGGGCAAGATGTGAGCATTCTTCTAGGGGCATACACAGAAGAAATGGGGCAGAGAGGTGGAGCGCAGCCCCTTCCCTTGGGGCCCCAGAGACTGCACATGTTGGTCACAGGTGAAATGGTGTCTGACCACTGGCTCTCGGAAGGGGTGAGGGTCCAGAGAAATCAGAAGGCAGGGAAACGAAGAGCATAAAGGGGTCTTGGAGGGACCACAGAGAAAGGTGGCAAAATGGGTGCAGGGGGAGTCAGGCTCACCATGGCCTCCCTGCTCTCCAGGTCCTGTGGGATGCTAGGAATGGGCCGAGGTGCCTCCTCCCCCTCACTGTCCAGATGTCCTCCTCCATCTCCTGGGGGTGGGGGTGGTGGCCAGAGGGGTCCTCAGACAACTCAACAAGGGAAGTATTGTGGGCCCACCTCTACCTCCACCCTCATTGTGTAACCCTGAGCCAGCCCCTCCCCAGAGAGGAATGAGCTGCTGTTATTTATTTTTACTTTGAAGAACCAAGATCTTGCTATACTGCCCAGGCACATTCCCACTACTGGTCGGTGCGGGAGTTCTGACCTGCTCCCTTTCTGACCTCGGCCAGTTCAGCCATCCTTAGGCAACTTGGTGGCCCCCCGCTCCCAGGAGGTCACCATATTGATGCTGAACTTAGTGCAGGCACCCGGTTAGTATAATGACCAGCTGTTCTAAAGGTCTCTTCCAACTCCTCAATCCTATGCTGCTAGCAGTCCCCCCTTCCTCCTGGGGCTCTCTCCTCTTCCTCTGAGCGGTCTCCCGTACCTTCCCCAGGGAGAGCCATGAGGCTCAACTGGGCCGTTAGCTGCTGTTTCTGCTGGCTGGCAGCTTCCAGACGCTCCTAAGGGGCCAGGAAAGAGTGAGAAGGCACAGAGTTTGCCAGGTCGTCCCCCTCACGGCCCCATCCTCGGCAGCTCCCTCCCCTGGGCCTCCTGCAACTTTTGGCAGGCCATCTCGGCCACCGCTTTGCCCCAAGCTTCCTGCTGCTGCAACTGGTTCATTAGCTGGGTCTGCTGCAGCCACTGCCTGTACAGCGCCTCCTTCTCACAGGTCAGCTGCTGATAGGCGGCCACCTGCTGCTGATAGGTGGCCACGTACTGCTGCAGGTGACCCAGGTAATGGTCTGGCTGCTGCTGCAGACTCTGAGCCTCTTGGCTCTTCAGCTCCACCTGCAGGAAGACCCTGGGTGTGAGGGCACATGGTGGCTGGTTTGCAGATTCTGGGCCCATTAATAGGGTAGCGAGGGCACTGTGGGGCTCTGTCGCCTGCCCAGGCCCCTGGCCCCTTACTTCAGGCCTAAGTGACTGCCTTGCTTTCCTAGAACCCCATGCCTCCTTCCCCAGCCTCAAATCTCATGTCCTCTTCCCACCATTTCAACTGTAGGCCACAGAATGGTAGAAAAGTAGTGGGAGCCAACCACCATCTGCTAAATGTGCTACAGGCCTAATGCTTCCCATGTATTATCTCATTTAATCCTCAGCACCTCTGTAAGGAAAATGCTAACTTCCTTTTGAAGTTAAAGAAACAGAGACTTAGAGATGCGAAGTACTTGAATGGTGACCAGTGGAACTGAGGCTGGAATCCAGTTTTAATCTAAGGAGTCTTTTTGTTTTGTTTTGAGACAGAGTGTCACTCTGTGGCCCAGGCCGGAGTGCAGTGGTGCAATCTCAGCTCACTGCAACCTCCACCTCCTGGGCTCAAGCAATTCTCGTGCCTCAGCCTCCTGAGTAGGTGGGATTACAGGCATGCGCCACCACCATGCCCCACTAATTTTTCTTTCTTTTTTTGTTTTTTGTTTTTGTAATTTTAGTAGAGATGAGGTTTTACCATGTCGGCCAGGCTGATCTCAAACTCCAAACCTCAAGTGATTCTCCTGCCTCAGCCTCCCAAAGTGTTGGCACTATAGGCGTAAGCCACCGCATCTGGCATAAGAAGACTGTTATACCACTCTGTCTCTTCCCCTGTGATTGGGGGGGCTCCATGTCTCTAGCTGGAATGATGATGTCCAGACCTGGGAGGAGCCCAGGGCTACCCACCTCTAAAATCAGAGGGCAGGAAGCAAGAAACAGCCACAGGACTGCCCTGGAGGGTGCTGGGGTCACCTGCCCCTGGGCTGGAGCTACCGCTGGCCTGGCACCTCCCCTCCCCAGAGGCTGGTGCCCACCCACCTCCCAGACCTTCTTGGATGGGGTGGAGGTTACCGTCTCCTTCACCTTGCCTAGCTTCTCCTGCAGCTCCTTTACTTGCTGCTCCAACTGTAGTACGCTCTTGTTCTCATTGTTCTGGACAGAGAGAAGCAATCAGCAGCCACCCACTGCAGCTGGAGACCCCAGAACTTGGTGACTGCCTCCCATGGCACCGGGAAGGGTGGAGGCAGGTTAGAAAAATCATCCCCTGTCTCCCACAGCCACCAGAGCAGGGCTCTGGCTCACAGGTGCCTTTAGGAGTAACATTTCACTTGAGGGCTACACTGCCCCATTTTATAGGTGGGGAAACAAAGGCCTGGAGGGCTAGGGAGGAGGGCAGGCTCCCCAGCTGGGGCAACGCACCAGCTCCTTGAAGCTGTTCTGTGGCTCGGCCAGCTGCTGAAGCCTCTCCTCCTGCTCTGGAAGCCTCTCCTGCTGCTCCCGAAGCCTCTCCTTTTGCCCCTCATTCAGGAGACTTATGCGCTGATTGTACTCCACCTGGGCCTGGAGCGCTCCTGCCACTCTCTCTAGTTCCTTCCTCAGGTGCTGCAGCTCCGCCTCAGAGGGCACTGCTGGGGGCTCCGGGGGCAGAGGTTCAGCTGAGAAAGGAAGCAGACAATAAGAGCCTCTGGATTCCAAAAAAAAAAAAAGAAAAGAAAAGAAAAGAAAAGAAAAGAAAAGAAAAAACCCTCCTCTTGGCGCACAGCTCCTCTCCGGCTCCTCAAACTTGGCCTCACTGCTAATGATTCCTCGCACCCAGATGGTAGCCAGTCTTCCAAAGCACTTTCAGAGAAAGAGCACTGCGGGTGGCTGACAACGGGCCCTCTTTGCTGATGGGGACACTGAGGCTCATTGAGATGACAAGACTTGCCGTCTCCTGGCACAGACCTCTTTCCCTCTGCCTCAAAGCCCTTCCATCCACCCACCTCGCTGGGGCACTCCAAGCCACCCTCACAGCCCTCTGATGCCAGTCCTGCTGCCAGGTCACGCCAGCCCCATCTTACCCATCTGGTTTTTGAGTTTGGACAAGCTCCTCTCCAGCGTCTCTACCCGATATTTATCATGCTTCTTCTCCTTCTTCAACGAGCAAACCTGCCCAAAGCACAGGGGGAAAGGGCCCTGGAGAGAGGGGCTGGAGGCTGGACAGGCTGCCCTCTCCCTCTCTGCCCCCACCTCCACAAAGCCCAGTCCCATGACCACCTCTGGCTCTACTATTCCCATTTTACAGGTGCCCAGAAAGATCCAGTGACCTATCTAATGTGGGGGGGCTGAAGGGTCAGATCTCACCTCCTGCGACATTTTTCTCATCCTCTGCTGCCACCGGGCCCTCTCTCCTTTTAGATGTTCAGCATATTCATCCCTCTCTAGCTGGACTTCTTTAAGTGACTCCTTCAACTGCAAGAATGGGCACAGAAATTAGGAAGGGCTGTCACTGGTCCTCACCTGCTCCTGGTTACCTGGGGTCATCTTCCTTCCACATCCCTCCCTCTGAACACCTCACCTGTGTCAGCTGCGCTTTCAGCAGTGCCTGCTCCCGCATGGACTGCTCTAACTTCCACTCCGTACGTGCTTTACTGCGGCTGGAGAACTGCTGAAGAGTGAGAAGTTTCAATCTGGGGAGGCCGGGCCATTCCACACAGTGCCCCTTAAAAGGGCCAGGGCTAGGCCCAATATACAACTCGGTCAGTAAAGATCAAGGCATTTCCAAGCCCGTGGTTTGGTTTTTAAAGAACTCAGTAAAGTTGGAAGGGACAGGGAAAGAGATCGAATTTATAGCTGGCTAACAGAGGCCCAGAGAGATCAGATAATATTGCTGTTGTTATTACTGTTATTATTACCACTGTTTGAACTTTTATGGAGTGCTTCACCAGATACCATGCTAGCAATCCCATTTAATCCTCACAACCACCATGGGAGACAGTTACTATGATGACCTCTATTGTGTAGATGAAAAAACATGGAGTATTTGAGGTTAAGTGCTTGCCTAAGATCACTTAGGCAGAGCTGGGATTTAAACACCCAGATCTATCCAATTCTCTAAGCCCATTTTTCTTGCTGGGGGTGGGGGCACAGCTAGGAAGGGGAAAATTAATCTTTTGTTCACTTTTTGAAAGGATAATACATTCAAATAGTCCCAGACTCAGAAGGTACAGAAGGGAAGTATCTCCCAGCCACCCTGTTGCTCTCTCCTGAGTTTTTATGAACACTTGCAAACATATTTTATGTATATTATCATAATATGTACACACACACACACGTTTCCTCTCTCTACAGAAATGGTAACATACTAAAGGTACTCTTCTGTACCTTCACAGTACAAGTACCCAATACCCACTGAGGACTTGGCCAAGACCACAGCCAGGTAAAGGCATGGCAGGCACTTGGCCTCCAAGCTCTACGTCCTGTGCTTTGTCCCCAGAGTGCCCCCCAACTCACCCACAGCAGCTGACTCAGTCCCAAGCTGCCGCTAACAACCATACAAAAAAGCAGTGAGAAATGGCCATGCTGCCTTCTGGGCAGGACACTCCATCCTGCAGAAGGGACCTTTAGGCTCACTCCTCTGTCTGCAAAGCCAGGCTCCCAGGGGACGGGGCAGGTGGTTGGACTCACCCTCTCCGCCTTCTTCTTCTGTGTGGCGGTGACAGCAGAGAGAGCCCGCTCTAACTCTCCTTTACGCTGCAATGAATGTTGCAGACGGACGGCCAGATCCTTGGACTCTTCTGTAATGAGAGAGTTGAGATGGGGCCCAAAGGACTCCCCCTGAAGACCTGTCAAAGTGCCAGGTTGAAGGATGACAGGGTACCCAGATTCCCACCTTCAAAGTATCTGAGAGAACGTTTCGTGTGGTACAGGTCCGTATTTAGTTTCCCTTTCTGTATGTTCAATCTCTGGATTTGAACCTTTGGGAGAAAAGCCAAGCAAGTGCTGAAAGAGAAGGAAAGAAACATTCTCCGGAGGACAGGAGAAAACTGCACACCGTCCACTCACCTCTAGCTCCCTTTCGGCTTTCTGTTTCTCGTTGTTTGCTTTCTTTTCCTGTAGGAAGAGGAAGACAGAGATCTAACCAGGCAGAGGCAGAGATGGTACTGCAAGAGACATGTCCCCAGAATGCCACCACTGCCCCTGCCCCGGGACAGGCCCACCCATGGGACCGGGTTATCAGAGACCCTGTGGGGGATGGGGTGGACTCTGGGGGGTGAGCCTTCTTCCCCAGGCTGGGAGTGGGTGAGACGAGACTCGGGGCCTCTACATCTGAGTGTCCCCCAAACCGAGCAGTCATGTCGCGAGCAAACAAAGAAATCATGTTACTTCTTCCAGCTGATGTACCACTTGTTTCTTCTGTTGTTTCTGTGGGGAGAGTCACATTAAGGTGATGGAGGGTGGCCCCCTCAACTCTATTCCCCAGAGCAGGAAGTGGTAGGCAGGGACCAGGAATGGATTTTAAAGGCAAAGTTCTCAGACCCAGTGGGAACTCGAACTGGTAAACTCTCCTCAAGCTCCCAAGGACAGAGGATTTGGGTCTTTGTTGGCTTTTGCCCACAGCCACAGAACTGAAGGTCTGAATCTGGAATCTCTTGAGAGGACAGCAATATAAACCTCTAGAGATGGAGTTTGAGAAAGGCCCCCCCTTCTGCCAGCTTGTGATTTAGAAAAGTGCATTCATTCAATAAACATTTACTGAGCACGTATGGGCCAAGTACGGTTCTTCACAGAAGATTTAGGGTGGAAAAGGACAGACAGGAGCCTTTGGCCCTGAGGTTTCCATTCTAGGAGGCCTTTAAATCTCAGACTCGAGAGCTAACAGAGACCTTTGATACTCACTACTTCATGGAAACATGAGCCCAAAAAGGAGAGGTGGCTTGTCCAGAATCAAAGAGCAAATTAGGGACTGAGTCATGGCAGAAATACAGGGACCCTGACAACCAGTCAGGCTAGCACTTCCCCAAGAGGCAACAATCCCAGGGCGTGTGTAGCAAGGACTCGAGCAGGGGCATCTGGAGAGGGGAGAGTCAGCAAACAGGGCAGCAAAAAAAGAGCCATGCTGCATGCTCCGGGGTCCCTCCAGGTGAGGCCTGGGCGCCCCAGCTCCCTATTCGCCCTTGGCACCAGGGGCCGCCGTCCCCTTTCTTCAGGGCCCCAAGGGGAAACTAGAGCCCAGGATTGGCAGCGTGGAATCAGGGGACCCCAGTGGACTCTTACCAAAGATTTGATGGTGTTCTTCAGTTGACTGACTTTTACGGACCTCGAGTCTGGGACTACTGCTAGTTCTTGGCACGGGCTCTGAGGCGCATGCAGAGAGGAGGAGGTGGAGGAGGAGTGGGGGGAGAGGTAGAGAGAACAATCATTAGGGCTGGGGTGTGTGTGGACTGTCTCAGCTGGCAGAGGGGCACCCCGTCCCACCTGGAGGAGGAGGTTGGAGGGCTGGCCTGCAGGGTCACTGCACCTCTGCCCAGAGCCTCTTACCTCCAGATCCTTCAGGGTAGCAGATGATGTAGGGCTCTCCCCGTGGATACCTGTTGCTGACTACAAGAGATGAGAGTGCACATGAAGATGTTCTGTCCCACTCAGTATCTAAGCCCTCTGACTTCTTTTCTTCCCCATCAACTGGCACAATTTTCTTTTCTGCCTATCTTGGACCCTTTGTCCCATAACTCCTTTGTGCCAACTTCTCTCATGGTTCTTATCTCCCCACCACAGCACCCTGCGGCCCTTTCAGTGACTCCTGTGCCAAGTGACTGTTCTCATTGTCCTGGCTTCCCCTTGAGACTGGGGATGAGGAAAATCGAACAGCAATGACCATATCCTGGGTGTTCTGGGTGTTTACAGCAGGCCATGTACTAGGGATTAACATAAAAACAACAATAACAAATCTCATTTAAACTTCACAAATGGAAGTGAAACAATACCACCTCTATTATACAGATGTGAAAAGAGAGGCCCGATGAGGTCTAGCAACTTGCCCTAATTCATATCCCTAGCAGACAAAGAGGCAGGATTCAAACCCAGAATTCTTCACAGGTACCCAACAGTCCATCCACAATCTTAACAATTACCCTCTAGTGCCCCTTGGGTCCCCTGTCCCCAGGAACCTAGTCAGCCAAGACTCACATCTCCAGGTGAGTGGCAACCACCAGAAGTGGCTGTCTCATGGATGCTGCCATTTGTTTTCCTGTTCCTCTTGGCTCCTGCTGGAACACCAGGGCTGTTTCTCTGCCAATATTCTTTTAACTGTCAGAAACAAGAGCAGTAATACTCATGAGAACTATCAGCCCCTGCAGCCACATCCTCCTTTACAGTTTTTATAAAATACTCTTATACACCATCTGATTTAATGATACCAACAACTGTACAAGGTGTTGTCACAATCATTTAGTGACTCAAAGAGATTGATATCATGGCTAGAAAAAAAAAGAAGAAAAGAAAAAGGCGACAGATGAACTTTGAAACTCAGTCTTCTGACTCCAAACTCTGGGGTTTTACCAAGAATCATCAGCTGCCAGGGACCAAAACCAGAGGCAGAGCTAGAAAAGTAAACATTAAGTAGGCAGGAACTGTATGCCATGTGGTTTAGTCATACATCCTCACACGTCTGTTAGTGTGAAGAAGTGCACCTGTACCTCTCAAACTCTTATATCAATGTGTCCTCATGGCAGAAGGCAGCCTTTCTGTTAAATCTGGGAATTTATCAGAAAGAGGACAACCCAAGCCTCATTTCAGAGAGAAGTCTGGTATACTGTTAGAAACCTATGTGACTGTCATCCCTAAGTACATTAATGTTTTTTCTCTTGATCTCAAGAGAATCAATGGAAACTGATGCTTCAGAAAGATGTCCCATATGTATCCTGTGGCACTCAAAGTACCCCAGGTTTACATAATATGAGGAAGATTCAAGCTGTCAAGTTCAGTTTCCCAAGATCTATTCCACAGAAGATGAGCAAATCTCACTTCACAGACCACTGACTGAAGGGCAGTCTGGTCCCAGAACCATGGAGAATTAGAATGTGAGGTGGAGAACTCACAAAAAATTTGTTAAAATCTCTCTGGAAAGTAGAAGCCTGGGAGAAAACCAAACCAAGTCAAACCCATTCTCCAGTTGCCATCCAGAGGTACTGTCAATGTTTTGAGCTCACAGGGGAAGTGTAGGCTTTTCCCGCTGTCAATGTTTGTGTTAAGGGAGTGAGGCAGCCTGAAACCTCTTGCTCCTAGGTCCCAATCTCCATTCCCCTTCCAGCTGGAAATTTGTGCTGTGACAAGAGGAACCAGAAATGGGGTGGCAATGCTTAGGGGACTGGGTCATAAGATCAAAGGCCAGTCTCGCAGTAATGACAGTTACTGGATGGACCGTGACATCACTACATTCCACTCTTCCTGGTGAGGGGGAGGGACCACATCAGCATGATGTCCGAGTCACCGCTCCATGATAGGGGAGGGAAAAACAGAGCTGGGACCCAGGTCCTTGGAGACGCCAGTGCACACAGCCTAGGGAGGTCCACCTTGAGGCAGCAGGAGGGAAGGGAAGAGTCAGCAGCAGGGAGCCCCAGGATTCACCAGCCTAAAGTCACCCAGGGATGACTGGTGAGGGTGGGGTCTGGGGCTGTGGGACCCAGGTCCTTGGAGATGTGAGCCCAAAAAGCCCTGGGAGGTCAAGCTTGGGGTGGCAGGAGATGAGGGCCCAGTAAAGGAGCGGGGAGCCCCAGGATTCACCTGCCCAAAGTCACCCTGGGGTGATTGGTGAGGGCAGAGACTGGGCTGCTTGCTGAAGGGGTGGGGCTGACTGGCAAAACTTTGGTGGGGGTAGCCCAGAGGCACTGGTGTGGGGGCCCCAGTCCGGTGAACCTCGGGAGTGGTATGGACTCTGGCAGCAGTCTTGTCGTTGGAGAGGATCTATGGCTGGGTTGGGGGTCCGTGACCTGGTGTGTTTTTACCTTTCTCTTGGCTGCTGCCAATTTACTTTGTCGAGTTTCTTCTGCCATCGCAGGGTGGGGAGGGAGGCGGGCTTGGGGCCACATCAGCAAAATCCCACCAAGCACTGATCAACACCTCCAGTCACCTACCAGGTAGCTGTGCGACTGAGCCAGAGGAGGCGTAACCAGGGATGCAGTAGAAGGCAGAATAGGGGCGTGGCCTTAATGCTCCAAGCCCATTGGTTAATGAGAAAGATGAAAGGGAAAGGGGGCGTGGCCAGGCATCATGTGTCCAGAGGGACCTTTGGCTCACAAGGAAAGCTGCCCATGCAACCACTGTCCCCACCCACTCTAAGAGAGGGGAGAGGCCGCCAACTCTGGGAGAGGGGCAGGGCCGGCTTTTGCTTTAAAAGCTTTTAAAAAATATATATGTGTATACTTTATATATATGTGTGTCTGTGTGTGTGTACCTGTGTGTTCCTCCAGAGCTGTCTTCATGATCCAGCTTCTATGCAAGGTCTATGATTTTGGCCTATATTTTTCATAGAGTACAAAAATTACCAGTATTACCTTAACCGAGATACAGATCCTATGAAAATGGAAAATCCATAGCATGCTTGATGATTACTGAAGCAGACTGTATTATCCAACATTCCAATAAGATAAAATAATCACAATGACTTCTCTTTTTTGGAAAAATGTTTCTCTTATTCTCCTACGTTATTGTGAAGACTTTTTTTCTTAAACAAGAAACATGTGTAATATTTGTAAAAACACAAAGCTTTTGGGCCGGGTGCAGTGGCTTATGCGTATAATTCCAGCACTTTAGGAGCCTGAGGCTGGTGGATCATGAGGTCAGGAGATTGAGACCATCCTGACTAAAAAGGTGAAACCACATCTCTACTAAAAATACAAAAAACTAGCCAGGCGTGGTGGTGGGTGCCTGTAGTCCCAGCTACTTGGGAAGCTGAGGCAGGAGAATGGCGTGAACCCAGGAGGTGGAGCTTGCAGTGAGCTCAGATCGTGCCACTGCACTCGAGCCTGGGCTACAGAGCGAGACTCCTTCTCAAAATAAATAAATAAATAAATAAATAAAACTTCTATTTCTTTCACTTTCTAATATAATTTTAATATCTCCTCCTGGGATTTCACTAAGACACATTTTGGACCTCATTCTGATCTTCCTCTCCCCTCCAAGCCCACCAACTTCTGCCCTATCATCTATCCTCATGTCTCTCTGTGTGACATGCTGACTTACTTTTTGGAGAGAATCGCCTAAACAATTAATTCTTTCTTCTCGTGTCTAATCCATCCACTAGTTTCTTATTTCAACAATTACATTTTTATTTCCTTATTTCATTTTATTCTGCGACTGAGTCTCATTCTGTCACACAGGCTGAATTGCAGTGGTACGAACCTGCAGACTCGGCCTCCTGGGCTCAAGTGATCCTCCCACCTCAGCCTCTTGAGTAGCTGGGACTATAGGCAGGTGCCCCATACCCAGCTAATACCATACCCACACAGCAGAGACATAAAAGATTTCCATCCTCAAAGAAGGTTCCATTGAACAGCACTGCTCTAATTCAATAAAAAATACCACTGAGCACAACATAGTAATAGAAAAGATTGAAGAGGCAGTGCTGATACTTAAAAACCTGGTATTTTCAGCCAGGCATGGTGGCTCATGCCTGTAATCCTGGCACTTTGGGAGGCTGAGGTGGGAAGATCGCTTAAGCCCAGGAGTTCTAGACCAGCCTGGGCAACATGGTGAAACCCTGTCTCTACAAAAAATACAAAAAATTAGCTGGGCATGGTGGCATGTGCCTGTAGTCCCAGCTACTTGGGAGGCTGAGGTGGGAGATCACCCGAGCCTGGGAGGTCAAGGCTGCAATGAGGTGAGATGGCACCATCACACTCCAGCCTGGGTGACAGAGTGAGACCCTGTCTCAAAAACAAAAAACAAAAAACAAAA
This sequence comes from Homo sapiens, assembly GCF_000001405.40. Lineage (NCBI taxonomy): Eukaryota > Metazoa > Chordata > Mammalia > Primates > Hominidae > Homo > Homo sapiens. The sequence continues at coordinate 23,352,942 of NC_000015.10, read as the reverse complement.
CAAAAACACCTGATATTTATTTTTAAGTACACTATTTTCAAACATTCAGAAGTTATTTCATCCTACCTTCATGGTTTCCATTCTATGCCTGGTTTAGAATTGGGATCTGATAAAATAAACGTGTTCAACAGAACCACTTCTCATGGCTGTATAACAGATGATCAATATGTATTTGCTGAGGAAATCATACAATTTTCTTAAATTTTTTTAACAAAAATTGTGCTTTCAAGGGACCAAACTTGAATACTACACCTTCATGTTCTAAGAATCAGGGGACTTATATAAAACCTCAGTTGCCTGATAAGGACTACATCAAAGTGAAAAGCCATGGGAAAGAACTAGAAAGTATACTTTTGACCCTAGTTCTGTAAAGTTTCCTTATGCCACAGGTAATACACATCGCAATTCCTGCCAAATTCTTTCCCTCACTTCTGTTTATGGTCTCGATTCCATAAATAGGAGAAGGGCATGAATTTGCTTTAGTTAGATAGACAGATAGATGGATAGATAGATAGATGGATGGATGGATGGATGGATGGATAGATAGATAGACAGAGATAAAGATAGAGACAAAGATGGAGACAGAGATGGACATAGAGACAGATTTGCAGAAGATAAGTTCTAGGTGAACTAGTGTCAACATTAAAGTGGTATGCCTACATCTAACTATTCTGGAGAGAAAAACATACCTCAAAGAAATTGACTTAAATATATACAGAGAAAAAGTTTAAGCTGAAAGCTACTGCCTTTTTATATGAGACACTTTAGGAAATTACTTGGGGGGCAAGAGAGAAAATGGGTGGACATAGCTCAGAGGTTACACAGTAGCAGATATGTAGGATGAACAAGCCTAGAAATATAATGTACAACGCGAGAAATATAGGTAATAAAATTGTGCTGTATTGGGATTCACGCTAAATGAGATTTTAAGCTCCTCTTGCCACCAAACAAAAAGAAAACGGGTAACTATCTGAGTTGAAGGATACGTTAATTTGCTTCACTGTAGTAATTTTTTTAACCATCTATATGCATCCCACAAAATCATGTTGTATACCTTAAATACACAGAATACAATTTATTTAACATAAAAAACTACTCCAATATTTTCTGCATTTTTAATATGCTCACCCAAAGAAAGCATTAATTTGCATCTTTGATGTTAAACAGATAGCCTAATCAAGTCACTATCAAGATCAAGACTAAAAGTTACAGCTTTTTTCTTTTGATGCCTTTCAGATATATCTATTTATATATAAAAATATATATACACACACACATACATACACACACACATCTATATGTAGTTATGTGTGTGTGTATATATAGTTACAGTTTTGGCCAGGTGCAATGGCTGACACCTGTAATCTCAGCACTTTGGGAGACCAAGGCTGAAGGCTTGCTTGAGGCCAGGAGTTTGAGACCAGCCTGGGCAACGAAGCAAGACCCTATCTCTACAATTTTTTTTTTTAAACAAAATTAGCCAGGGATGATGGCATGCACTTGTAGTCCCAGATACTTGGGAGGCTGAGGCGGAGGATCCCTTGAGCCCAGGAGTTCAAAGCTGCAATGGGCTGTTACTGTGCCACTGGATCCCAGTCTGAGCAACAGAGCAAGACTTTGTCTCAAAAACAAAATTTATAGTTATAGTTTTATGAACCTTGACTGCAACTGAGGGAAAATCCCGTAATTGGCAAAATGAATTCTGCCTGCTTGCAAAACTTCTGACTAATACGGAATGAATAATAGGAAGCCCATATTAGAGGATCCACATCAGTTAAAAAGTTTCCAAATAAGAGTGACTCTGAGTTCTGCAGAGTGAAAAGATTGGGTTCAAACCAAACACTTGCAAGATCTTGAGTAAGATACTTAATCCCTCTGTGACTCACTGTTCTCAAATGTAAGTGAAGATAATTTGTAACTCAAAAAAAATGAAAAAGTTTTCTCTAAGATTGCAAATCCTAAGGATAATTTCATTTTAATATCAGTTATTTAGTCTGGATACACCATAATGCAGACTAATTTTCCCTCTGCTTAAAGACCACACAAAAACATTACCAATAAAATTTACTTGTGTATCAACTTTTACTCCTGAGACTTCATCGTTTGTTTGGTTAAAAAAAAAAAAAAAAAAGCGCACTAGACCGGGCACAGTGGCCCATGTCTGTGATCTCACTTGCGGAGGCCAAGGCAGGTGGATGAGTTTGAGAACAACCTGGGCAACATGGAAAAACCCCGTCTCTACAAAAAAAATATATAAAAATTAGTCAGGTGTGGTGGCACATAACTGTGGTCCCAGCTACTCCAGAGAGTGAGGCGGGAGGATTGCTTGAGCCCACGCAGAGGTTGCAGTGAACCAAGATGGCACCACTGCACTCCAGCCTGGGTGACAGAGCAAGACCCTGTCTCAAAAAAAAAAAAATCACTATAAAATTGAAATTCACAACAAAATGTGCATACTTAACCTTCTTTTTATTTATTTATTTATTTATTTTTAATATTTTGAGACAACATCTTGCTATGTTGCCTAGGCTGGTCTTGAACTCCTGGGTTCAAACCATCCTCCAGTCTTGACTTCCCAAAGTACTGGGACTACAGGTGTGAGCCACCAGCCCCGCCAGCCCTGTTACACTATTCTTGGCCCCTCAAGTGACTGTATGAATTTTAGGATCAGCCTCTCGAGTTCCACAAAAAAATTCTATTGGGATTTGTGTAGGAATTTCTTGAATTTATAGATTAATTTGTTGAGAAGTAGTATGTTTATAGCATTGAGTCCTACGATTCATAATATATATGGCATATATTTCAGTTTAGTCAGTTCTCCCTTTAAGTCCCTGGGTAATTTTTATATTTGTCTTAGTCCCTTCATAGTGCCATAACAAAACACCTGAGACTGGGTAATTTACACAGAGCAGAAGTTTATTTTCTCAGTTCTGGAGGTTGGGAAGAACAAGATCAAGACTCCAGCAGACACAGTGTCTAGTGAGGGCCTGGTCTCTGCTTCCAAGATGGTACGTTGAATGCTGCTTCCTCTGGAGCAGGCAAATGCTATGTTCTCATGAGGCAGAAGGGACAGATTTACCACCACCCACAAGCCCTTTTATAAGGAAGGCACTAATCTCATGCATGAGGGCTCACCCTTATGTCTTAATCACTTCTTAAAGGCCCCACTTCTTAGTACTATCATCTTGGGAATTAAGTTTTAATACATGAATTTTGGGAGACACATTCAGGCTATGGCAATACTCTTCATGAAAGGCCTGTGTATACTTTGCTAGATATATTCTCAGGGTTTTGTTGCTATTGTCAATAGAATCTCTTTTTTTTTTTTTTTTTTGCCACGGAGTCTGGCTCCTTTGCCCAGGCTGGAGTGCAGTGGCGTGATCTCGGCTCACTGCAAGCTCTGCCCCTCCAGGTTTAAGCAGCCTGTTGCCCAGGCTGGAATGCAGTAGCATAGTCATAGTTCAATACAGCCTCAAACTCCTGGGCCCAAATGATTCTCTAAGCTAATATTTTTAATTTTTTAGAGATGGAGTTTCATTCAAGGATCACTAAAGGCCAGTGATCCTCCCGCCTCAGCTTCTGAAATTGCTGGGATTACAGGTGTGATTGAGCCATGGAGCCTGGCCAGACATGGGCTATTGATTCTCGCTGTTACTCTTTTCCCTTTCCTTCTAATCCTTGTATTGGGAAGAAAACAGTATGGAAATTTTATTTCTTCATTTTATTGATACGTAGATCTCTGCTTAGAAGACAATTTTAGTTTTAAATTATAAATGTTTCGTTCATTATTCATAGAAAACTAGATTTGCCATGGGATATTTATAAGTGTTGCACGAATGAAGGGTTTTCTAGTCAAATAAGTTGAAACACATTACGTTAAACAAACTTGGACAGTTTTGTTTCCGGTCATTTTTAGAGTTCTAAATTATGATTCTACTCAAGAGGATATTGTATGCGGTATTTTCAAACCAACTCATCCTGCGTCAGGTTGTGGTTACGCTTTGGGAGAGGAAGCTATAATCTTATACTGAGACTGTAATGAATGTATTAAGGTAATTTTCGTAGCTTTCTCTTTTTGGAGTTACCTGAGAAATTATGACACCCTTTTCCAAACAGGCCAACCTGCTTTGCAAACACGATTTCCATAATTTTAACAATGGTGAGGCCAGGCACGGTGGCTCATACCTGTAATTCCTTCCAGCACTTTGGGAAGCCTAGGCAGGAGGATCACTTAAGCCAGGAGTTCAATACCAGCCTGGGCAACATGGCAAAAACTCATCTCTACAAAAAATACACATATTAGCCAGGCGTGGTGGCACACACCTATAGTCTCAGCTACTCAGAGGTTGAGGTGGGAAAATTGCTTCAGCTCAGGAGCTCGAGGCTGCAGTGAACGGTGATCACGCCACTGCACTCCAGCCTGGGTGACAGAGCAAGACCCTGTCTCAAAAACAAACAAAACAAAACACAAACCAAGGGTGAGAGAGATGTTAGATGTTTTTGTCCTTGTTACAGATGTAAATGCTCAGTTGGAAAGAGGGAAGTATTTAGAGTGAAAAACTTTCGGTGGAACACACACAAAAATAGGAAGATCAGGTATAACTGTTCCAAAAAAAAGAGTATGGCAGTATAGAAGAAAAGGTCTCCATGAAAATGCAGAAGAACAATTTCACAGCTGGTGCTGGCATTTCAGAGACCTTGAGCTGGGAATCAAAAGATGGGAATTTCAGTCTCGGATGTGCCACTCCTTAGAGGTTTAATATCTACTAAACCCGGCGGGCTCCACTTGGTGGTGTTTGCTATTTAAAAAAACAAAAACATGTGGCAATGATCTTCCACGTGATTCTGACTTGAGCCCCACCCGAGTCTGCAGACTTACCCTTCCACTGCTTTGCCCTTCAAGTTTGTGCCCATTAGCAAAGAGAAATTTTCTCTTTGGGATCACTGCTGTGTTGATCTCAGGAATATTTGGCGTTGAATTTAACATATTTTTCATATGTGTGTGCAATAGGGAGGCTGAGAAACTTGTCTTTTTTTTAAGGTGTTCATTTTTGGGGTACAGGTAGCAGCCTGCTCTACAATCCACACAGAAGCTGGAAATAGCCTCTAGAGAATTTCCACGTTTAGAGAAGATAAATTTATACATTTGTATCTAATCAACATTTTTTAGCTAACATAGTAGTCTAATTATACTATGTATAATTATACTATGTATAATTATGGGTACTGAAATGACACCTGGCATATGCTGTATGCTGTGTTATATATACATATATATTTACACATATACATATATATTACACATATACATATATATTTACACATATATATTTACACATATACATATATATTTACACATATACATATATTTACATATTTTACATTTACATTTTACATTTATTTTACATTTTACATTTACATTTGACATTCTACATTTATTTTACATTTACATATTTTACATTTACAAATATTTACATATTTTACATTTATATATACATATATTTACATACATATATTTACGTACATATTTTTACATACATATTTACATGTGTATATATTTACATACATTCACATACATATTTACATATATATTTACATACATACATATTTACATAATATTTACATACACATATTACATACATATATGTACACATATACATATATTTACACATATACATATACTATGTATAATTATGGGTACTGAAATGACACCTGGCATATGCTGTATTTAAAAATGTGAGGTTCAGTGAGAACACATGGACACAGGAAGGGAAACAACACATACTGGGGCCTGTCAGGGCGGGTGGGGGAGGAGCATCAGGAAAAATAGCTAATGCGTGCTGGGCTTAACACTGAGGTGATGAGTTGATAGGTGGACCAAACCACCATGGCACACGTTTCCCTACGTAACACTCCTGCACATGTACCCTAGAACTTAAAACAAAATTTTAAAAATAATAAAAAATAAAAATGTGAAATTCAGCACATAAACTGTTGGTTTTATTATTCATATTTTCTTAATTCAGAAATTATTTTCTGAACTATGGTTTATTAGATAATTTTGACGTAACAATTTTTTAAGAGGAAATTTAAGTTTTACTTTTTAATTGGGGCTCTTGGTTCTTTTTAAGAAAGACAGAGATAAATCATTTATACATTTAATTAGAAGAGACTGGGCTTGAATTTTTAAAAAGTACTAGAAATCATAGCCACTATATATGTTATCTTTGAAATGTTTTAGACACTAATTACCTAAACAAGGAGCAAATAAGTTAAACCTCTTGGATTTTAATAAGAACTAAAATGTACAGTTGTATTTTCTGGTTTTTTAAATTGTTACAGTCTAAATTTATTCTTCCTAATGAAGAAATGTATGTGCCGTCAATATCAGGTTCTTTGTGGGTACTCACAGTTCCCTTTGCCTTTTACGCAGTGAATGTGGGCAACATGCGTGGAACAGAAATGATGTCGTTTTCTTTCTTTTGAATATCACTATGAATCTAATAATTCAAAGATTCCTAACTTTCTGAATGCCATTATTAATTGGATTCACAATGACTTACCAGGTACAGAGTTGTCCCGTGTGTCTTGGGGTGAACTACTGAGAGTGGTATGAGGGAAGCGATTCTCAGCTAGCGCTGAGTGGGGCCACTTCCAAAGAGGTGATGGGGTAAGAAGCACACACAATGTGGCATTTTCACTGCAAAGGGAGGTTTGTGCTGCCTCTCCTCCTGTGGCAGGTCTGCTCGCAGGGGAGGCTCCAAAGTTTGGCTTTGCTGGGTTTGGCATGTGAGAACTGATGAAATATCTGTATGTAGTATCTTTCAAGGATTTATATCAGTTGGATTTCTGTGTAAATTTGCATATCCCTTTGACTGCTTTACCCCATAGAAGCTTTGTATGCTTAACAAAATCTGTAACTTTTCTGTCACTTTCTCATTTAGCATCTGCCTTTCTGGCTTTTTACTTTATCTTTTTATTATTGTTTTTAGTTTAATGAGATTATGGTTAGAGAGAAAGATGGGTGCATGATTCCGCTTCTTTGGAATTTGTTGAGATTTTCCTTATGGCTCAGTACATATGTACTTGGGGGGGTGAATGCTGTCACTTTGGAGAGATATGTTTTTTCTGTACATTAAGTCAAGCTTGTTAATTTTCTAGAGAGATGTAAATCTTCTATGTCTATGCTGATTGTTTTTTGTCTCTTTTATCAGACACTGAGATATGTATTTAAATTGCCCTCTGAGGGTTGCAATTTTGTCATATTTTGCTTTCATGTATTTTGAGTGCTAGTTATTAGATACATTAACATTTTAGATTACCTTCTCCCTTGGTTTATTAGAATTTTTATCATTATATTGTGGCCTTAAAAAATCTCCCATATTGCTTTTTGCCCAAAGCCTATTTTATCTGATAATAATATAGCTTCCAACCCTTCTTTGGGTTAGGTACATATGACAGGTGTATCTTTTTTCAATCTCTCTCAGTCTTTCTGTGACTTTATGTTTTAGATGTCTTTTCATACTGTTTATTTTCTGTTTTTTGTGTTTTTTTGTGTGTTTTTTTTTTTTGATACGGAGTCTTGCTCTGTTGCCCAGGCTGGAGTGTAATGGTGTGATCTCGGCACTGCAACCTCTGCCTCCTGGATTCAAGCGATTCTCCTGCCTCAGCCTCCTGAGTAACTGGGATTACAGATGTTCACCACCACGCCGGCTAATTTTTGTATTAGCAGAGATGGGGTTTCACCATGTTGGTCAGGCTGCTCTCGAACTCCTGACCTTGTGATCCCTCCGCCTGCCTCATCCTCCCAAAGTGCTGGGATTACAGGCATGAGCCACCACGCGTGCCCTAATTCTGTTTTATAGTCATTTTCTCTTAATTATTCAGTCTATTTACATTTATTGTGATTGTTGGCATAGTTTCTTTTATAACTTTCATCGTATTTTGTGCTATTTGTTCCATCTGTTTTTATTTCTTCATGTCTTTTTTGTTTCGTTTTTGCTAATTCCTTTTATATTCATGGTTATTCTGCTCTTGAAATGTATGCTATGTGAATATATTTGTGAGTTGACAATACTTTATTAGCAATTAAATATACTATTTCTCTTTTTTTTTAGAACTTGCTCAAATGTTACATAACCTCAATATCCTTAGTATCTAAATTAAACTGACTTTCTGAACAATCATCATTTTAAGGCAGTTACCACGATCTACTAAAAAATAAAAAAAAATTAGCCGGGAGTGGTGGTGGGCGCCTGTAATCCCAGCTACTCAGGAGGCTGAGGCAGGAGAATCCCTTGACCCTGGGAGGCAGAGGCTGCAGTGAGCCGAGATAGCGCCACTGCACTCCAGCCTGGGCGACAGAGAGACTCCGTCTCAAAAAAATAATAATAATAATAATAATAAAGGAATTTAAAAAAAGACTGGGTTTAACCATGTTGCCCAGGCCGGTCTGGAACTCCTAGGCTCAAGCAATCCCCCACGCTTGGCCAGTCCAAAGTCCTGGAATCAAAAGCGTGAACCACCACGCCAGGCCGATCACGCCTGTCATCCCAGCACTTGGGGAGGCGGAGGTGGGTGGATCACCGGAGGTCAGGAATTTGAGACCAGCCTGGCCAACATGATGAAAACCCGTCTCTACTAAAAATACAAAAAAAAAAATTAGCCGGGTGTGGCGGCAGGCGCCTGTAATCCCAGCTACTCAGGAGGCTGAGGCAGGAGAACCACCAAAACCCGGGATGCAGAATTTGCCGCGAGCGGAGACCCAGCCACTGCACTCCAGCCTGGGCAACAAGAAGGAAACTCCGCCTCAAAAAAAAAAAAAATAATAATAATAAGAGACAGATTTTCACCATGTTGCCCAGGCAGGTCTGGAACTCTTAGGCTCAAGCAATTCCCCACGCTCGGTTGTCCAAAGTCCTGGGATCGAAAGCGTGAGCCACCACGCCAGGCTGATCTATTTCTTTCTGATTAATAAATTGGGCCGGGAGCGGTGGCTCACGCCTGCAGTCCCAGCACCCCGGGAGGCCGTGGCGGGCGGATCACCTGAGGTCGGGAGTTTGAGACCAGCCTGACCAACATGGAGAGACCTGTCTCTACCAGAAAAAAAAAAAAAAAAAAAAAAGAGCCGGGCATGGTGGCTCCCGCCTGCAATCCCAGTCACTCGGAGGCTGAGGCAGGAGAACCACCCAAACCCAGAGGCAGAGGCCGCGGGGAGCCGACACCGCACCACTGCACTCCAGCCCTGCAACAAGAGGGAAACTACGCCTCAAAAAAAAAAAAAGAGAGAGAGAGACCGGTTTTCACCATGTTGCCCAGGCTGGTCTAGAACTCCTAGGATCAAGGGATCCGCCACGCTCGGCCGGTCCAAACTCCTGGGATCAAAAGCGTGAGCCACCACGCCAGGCCGATCCTTCCTGTCATCCCAGCACTTTGGGAGGCCGAGGTGGGTTTACCTGAGGTCCGGAGTTCGAGACCAGCCTGGCCAACATGATGAAAACCCATCTCTACTAAAAATACAAAAAAAAAAAAAAAAAAATTAGATGGGTGTGCTAGCGGGTGCCTGTAATCTCAGCTACTCAGGCGGCTGAGGCAGGAGAATCGCTTGAACCTGGGAGGCAGAGGTTGCAGTGAGCCGAGACAGCGCACCACTGCACTCCAGCCTGGGTGACAAAGTGAGACTCCGTCTCAAAAGTATATATATATAAAAATAAAAAATGAAATAAAAATAAATTGGGTGTGTGCGCTGGCTCACGCCTGCAATTCCAGCATCCCCGGAGGCCGAGGTGGGCGGATAACCTGAGGTCTGGAGTTTGAGATCAGCTTGCCCAGCATGGAGAAACCCCGTCTCTACCAAAAACAAATAAAAAAAAATTAGCAGAGCAATGTTGGTCAGGCCTGCAATCCCAGCCACTCCGGAGACTGAGGCAGGAGAACTACTAAAACCCTGGAGGCAGAAGTCGCTGCGAGCGGAGACCCAGCCACTGCACTCCACCCTGGGCAACAAGAGCGAAACTCCGCCTCAAAAAAAAAAAGAGAGAGAGAGAGAGAGAGAGACCGGGTTTCACCATGTTGCCCAGGCAGGTCTGGAACTCCTAGGCTCAAGGGATACCCCGCGCTGGGCCATCCGAAGTACTGGGATCACAAGCGTGAGCCACCACACCAGGACGATCTATTCCTTTCTGATTAATAAGTTGGGCCGGGAGCGGTGGCTCAAGCCTGCAATCCTAGCACCTCGGGAGGCCTAGGCAGGTGGATCACCTGAGGTCGGGAGTTTGAGACCAGCCTGACCAACAGGGAGAAACCCCATCTGTACCAAAATAAAAATAAAAAAAAAATACAAAATTAGCCGGGCTTGGTGGCTTATGCCTGCAATCCCAGCCACTCTGGAGGCTGATGCAGGACAACGACCGAAACCCGGGAGGCGGAAGTCGCGGCAAGCAGAGACCCAGCCACTGCATTCCAGCCTGGGCAACAAGAGCGAAACTCCGTCTCAAAACAACACAAAACAAAAAGACCAGGTTTCACCATGTTGCCCAGGCCTGTCTGGAACTCCAAGGCACAAGCGATCCACCCTACTTGGCCGTCCAAAGTCCTGGGATCACAAGAGTGAGCCACCACGCCAGGCAGATCAAAGCGTTGAGCTGAATAAAGAGTTATCTTTTAGCATTTTGTGGAGCCCGGGTAGATCTGTGCAGGGGGAAGCATATTACAGAAGCGAGAAACAGAGAGTTATTTAATTGAAGCACGCATTATGTTTTTTTTTTTTTTACGTTTTTAGGAAAAATATGTTTTGTGACTTGCATTTGTTTGTTTAGTGACCTTGCAGTTGCACAGTTAGGGAATTAGGGTTTTGATAATGCCTGGGAAGGGAGCGATAAGGCTCACTAGCCATAGGAAAACAGGTAGTTTTTTTAAAGGACTAAGGCTCTTTCTCATTCTCAGGGGGAATTGGGTTTTTTTTACATACAGCTGAGTTTTTGCTTACACATTTTTTCATTTCTTTTAATTCCTGTTCCAATCCCAGCATCCTTGCGGTGCGGTTTCCCAGCGGCTCTCTTGCCTTGCAGCTTGTGTCGGGAGTTGCAGACAGCCATGGCCCATGGGCCTGGCGCTGACGGACCCTGGAGCGGTGTCTGAGGGAGGTGGGCAAAGCCACTGGCTGGCCCGAGTGCATCCTCACGTAAGTGCACAGATCCCGGGCTCGGGTGCGACTGCGGTCGCACGTGGACACGGGTTGCAGACCCCTGGCAAATTGTGGAGCTGGGGGAAGGTAAGGGGAAATGTAAATCACTTTTCCCCACATTTCAGAGGACCTAGGCTATCAAAATTTTAAAAATTGTTAAAACTTTTACAGTATGGATCTCTCAGTTGAATGTTATTGAAATCAACCTAACCTCAGTTATTCACGCCTATAAGCTCCCCTTGAGGCTTATTACGGCCCCCATCCCCCTACACACAACTGTGTTGGTTTCTCCTTCCGCCTGTGCTCCTAAAGCACTCAGTGTTTACCTGCCATCATACTTTATTGAAAGCACAAACTTGTCACTTGTCTGTCTACCCCACTAAGCTTCTTGAGAATTAGAACTTTCATGTCTCTTCCCAACACAAACGTTTTATGTGTATTTTGTTGAAGAACTTCAAATATGACCTATAAAATTATGACTCATTTATGTTTCAAACTCCAACCTCTCCCTTGAGTTCCTTGCTCACAAGCAACTCCAGACTGAGCTTAGTTGGAATTCAGTAGCGCACAACTGGGATATCCGCACCGTACGGCTTTTAACAATTTTTTAAATTTTGGTCCTCTCAGCATCACAAATTCACCGTGTCCAAAATACAGTAGAATGTTGTTTCTACCCACCTACACTCTGCCATCCGCTGAAGTCCTTTCCCCTTGCTCCACCACTCAAGCCTTGCCTATCGCAGTAAATGGCAGTTCTGTCTCTCCAGTTGCTCGCACATAAAACTAGGCTGCTATTTTGATGTCTTCACTTTTCTCTATTCTGTATCTAATTCCTTAGCAATCCTGTCAGTTCTACCTCCAAACTGTACTCAGCATATTCACTGCTCTAACTCCAGCTTAAATCACCATCATCCTTTGCCTGGAATGCTGCATCAACCTTCTAATCACTCTACTTTCCTCCTCCTCCTTCCTCCCTTTCTTCTTCCTTCGTATAAATCATCATTTCATCCTTCTGCTTAAAATCTTCTCACATTTTCTTATTACACTTAAAACGGCAAACTCTTACCCTTGAGCCCTGCAGAATTTGGCTCCCATCAGTCTCTCCGACTTCACCTTCTGCCTCCTTCACGCTATAGCCATGCTCACTTTTTTATTCCTCAGGCTTACCAAGCTCAATTGCATCTTAGAGAATTTGTTCTTGCTGTTTCTTCTGCCTGGAATACATGTTTCCCAATCTTTATAAGACTATACTTGTCTGTAAGTTTCACCTCAGATGTCACATCTAGGAGAGGTTTTCCTTGACCACTGTAAGCCAAAGCAAATGTTGATCATTGAGTGAATAAGGGAATGAATGAATGGAGTGGTATATAATGTAGCAGAGTAGAAAATTTAAGGCTAATTCTCTATACATCTCCAAGCAAATAGATTTGTAATGCTTTTCCTGCCAACAATCTATACAGCTGATTCACAAATACTTGGTTGACAGGTTTTATATATCACTGTGGCTCATCAGCTTATATATTGTTGGGGCCAGAATCTATACTTACACTTTATTCAAATTTGATTTTACAGAAGAGTTGAGGTTTTTATTTTTCTTTTAATTAAGAGGGCTGTGAAATTATTATCTATAATTCTAAATCTCATTTAATTCCTCCCAATAGGTTTCAAGCTGGATTGGAACCAAAGTTCACTTCTTTAACGAAAGTGCTTTATGACTTTAATAAAACAGTAGAGAATGGTAGAATCCATGGCAGCTCTTTACAAAAACTTGTGATAGAAAGTTTTGATGATGAGCAGACTTTGCAACAACTGGAATTGCAAAATGAAGCAATTTTACAGTGCTTCCAGAATGCGGTTAGTGAAAGAAAGATGAAGATATCAGTCTTCTCCCAGAGAGTGAAGAACAGGAGCATGAAGAGGCTGGTTCAGAAACAGAGGCTGATGGCCAGGAGGACCTAGAAGATTTAGAGGAGGAGGAGGACGTGTCAGATATGGGTGGTGACAATCCTGAAATGGGTGAGAGAGCTAAAAACTCAAGCAAATTCAGGGCCAGGCGCGGTGGCTCACGCCTGTAATCCCAGCACTTTGGGAGGCCGAGGCAGGCGGATCACGAGGTCAGGAGATCGAGACCATCCTGGCTAACAAGGTGAAACCCCATCTCCACTAAACATACAAAAAATTAGCCAGGCGTGGTGGCAGGTGCCTGTAGTCCCAGCTACTCGGGAGGCTGAGGCAGGAGAATGCCATGAACCCGGGAGGTGGAGCTTGCAGTGAGCCTAGATCACGCCACTGCAGTCCAGCTGGGCGGCAGAGTGAGAGACTGCATCTCAAAAACAAAAACAACAATTACTTAACTTTAGGATGCTCCAATAATCAAAATTGATAGTGGCTTGTGAACAGATAGATTACTTGAATAGAATAGAGCCCAGAAATAAACCCAAATGCTTCTGGGGGAGTTTGGTACATTATAAACATGACATTTTAAATCAATGAGGAAAAGAAATCATTTGCAGCTCACCCCACCATACACAGCAGGAATAGGAAGTCATTGGCAGAATAAAAAGATGGTAAGAACAGAACAGAATTGTAGAACAGTACATTTCTTGCTTCCCCACTTTTCAAAGTATTTTTTGCTTTTTCACAAATGTAAGTGTAATTTTATTTTCTAAATGTATACTAATTCTTTTCTTCTCTTTCTTAGATGAATGACAAAAATTACATCTTTAGAAAAAGAGTTGTTAGAAAAAAGCCTTGGCTGCATGTGGGGGAAGTGACAGCACAGAAGAGACCAGAGAAGAGCCTCCTGGAGGAGAGCCTGCACTTTGACCATGCTGTCCGGATGGGTGCAGTGCTCTTTTCTGCAAAGTGTTCACTTCTCTGCTTTTTCTGTGGTCCCATTTCATAGAAAGATTTGGGGTGATGTTTCTTTCCCTCAACTTTTATTTTGAAAACTTGCAAACACAGAAAAGTTGATAAAATCATACAGTGAACATCTGTATGCTATTCAACTGGATTCACTAGTTAATGTTTTGTCACACTTGTTTTCTGTCTTCTGCGTATGGAAGATTGTATATGTGCCCTTTTTCCCCCTGAATCATTTCAAAGTAAGTTGGCAGTATCAGAGCATTTCACTGTTAAGTACTTTCGCAGATATCTTCTAGGAACCAGGACTTCTCCTATATAATCACAATACCATTAATCCACCCCCAAAATTTAACATCAATACACTAATGATACCTACTGTATAGATTATAATCAGCTTCCTTGCAGCAATCTGTTTAGAAGGCTTGCATCCTGTCACTGTCCACTGATTAAATTTTGAACTCTAACTTGAAACCCTGGTCATCTCATTGCCTTCTTGCTTATACCCATTAAGTCAAAAGGAGCTCTCATTTTATTTCAACAGAAAAGAGAATGGAAAAGAGGGGAAGAGTCCCTAGTACCTTGGATAAAGTATGAGCACTTACTACCATATGTATTCTAGTTCTGTAGTTTTCAAACTTCAGGGAGCATCTCAAGGCTTATTAAAGCACAGATAGCTGTCCTTCCCCACTTTCTGATTCAGGAGGTGTGGGGCTGGCCCAGGAATTTGCATGTCTAACAAGTTCCCACGTGTTTCTGATGCTGAGGGTGTAAGGACTACAATGCGTGAATCCGTGGTTTAGTGGATCCACCTAATGAATACATGTTGTATTTCCTTTGGCACCCGTGATTACAGAGGAAACACCTTTCAACTGGAAGGTATCATTAAACAGAGGATAAGAGATCAGGTCAGTAAGAATTAAATTTCACTTAATTGAAATGTCACTCAAATGTTTAGAAATAATATGACAGGCCAGGCACAGTGGCTCATGCCTGTAATCCCAGCACTTTGGGAGGCCAAGGCAGACGGATCACTTGAGGTCAGGAGTTCGAGACCAGCCTGTCCAAGATGGTAAAACTTCCTCTCTACTAAAAATACAAAAATTAGCTGGGCATGGTGGTGCATGCCTATAGTCCCAGGTACTCGGGAGGCTGAGGCAGGGGAATCGCTTGATCTCGGGATATGGAGGTTGCAGTGAGCTGAGATGCGCCACCGCACTCCAGCCTGGGCAACAGAGTGAGACTCCATCTCAACATAAATAAATAAATAAATAAATAAATAAATAAATAAATAAATAAATAAATAAGATAAAAATAAAAATAAAGGGAAGATGGGGCAGCTTTGTGTATTGCATGTCCTGAAAATGGGCTGATTTCTCTCAAGAGGCAGGGATTTAAGCTCTGTAGCCTATGTGGGATACATACAGGAGAAAAAAGAAGAAAAAGAAAAGAAATGTAAATATAAATAAATGAAAATAACACTTTTCCATGATTATAAAGGAAATCACATTGTTTTTGTAATAATTTGGATGACAAAATGTAAAGAAAAATCTTTAATTTTGCCACTCAAAACATTCCGGTTTGTTGCTTTTCACACTTTTTATGCTGTAAACATTTTAAAAAGTAGAATCACAATACATGGTCTTTTGTCACTTACTATATTTTAAGCATGTTTCTATGGAGAAATATACCCTGGCATCATCACTGGATGTATGTTAAGTGAGTCATTGCCACCCCAGAGGTGGATTTCCTTCTATATATATTTTAATGGACTCGAGTCAGGATTTTTGCACTGAATTCATAGAAGTAGAATTTCTAGAGGAAAGTAATATAAAACAGTTTTAGGATTTTTAAAAGAAATGTTCAAATCATCCTACAGGAAAATTGGTTGAGTTTATGCTCCCACCAACAGGGACAGAGCTCCAGGTTCCCCCTTCCATTTGTCATCTTCGCTGGTCTTTAAGCAGAAAATCTCATTGTTTTCATTACCTTTCTTTGATTTCTAGTGCTTTTGAATCTTTTTCATTTGCTCATTGGCCATTTTTATTCTTGTGGGAAGTGCTGGTTTCTCCATTGCCCATTTTCTGCTGCAAATCATTCATTTTTTTTTCTGAGTAATTTTAAAGATTTCTTTATAGGCTAAGGCTACAAACCTTTAATCTGTCATTGAGGTTACAAAGATCTTCTCCCAGTAAGTAATTTGTCACTTCACTTTATTTATTTATTTTTTGCTAGCAAAGCACCAAAGTCAAATTTCACTTAATTTTTATCCTGCTGAATGAACACATTTTAAGTTAGTGATTTTAGTGGAAACAGGAGCAGGACAGAATGTAATAATTAGATCTCGCTCTGTCACCCCAACTGGAGTGCAGTGGCATGATCATAGCTACTGCAGCCTCAAACTTCTGGGCTCAAGTGATTTTCCCACCTCAGCCTCCCAAGTAGCTCTAGGACTACAGGTGTGTGCCGCCAAGCCCAGCTAATTTTTAAATTTTCTTTGTAGAGATATGAATTCGCTATGCTGCCCAGGCTGGTCTTTAACTCCTGACTTACCCCACCTTAGCTTGCCAATATGCTGGGAGTACGGGCGTGAACTACTGCTCCCGGCCAAGAGCTTACTTTGGTTTGCTAGCAAGGTTCTTGGTATCTTTTTATATTTGAGGCTTTCGTGCTAGTGCTGAAGTATTACACTCACCATCTGAGGTTTACAGGACTTTTGTTTTAATATTGAACCGAGGGAACTGTTTAGTTTTGCATCTTTGCAGGTATACAAAATGTGCCTACCAGGACTCTGCTTTATATCCATTGAAAAGCAAGAAGTAATACAGTAAAAGTTTGCCTGGCTACAGGCTTTGGAAGAATGGAGTATTCTGGTTTAATTCTATTAACTTGGAAGGATGAAGGTGGAAAAAATTCAAAACTTTAATTTCCTGTTGAATGCAATTTGAAAATATAGCCAATGAGTCCACTTTTCTTCTCTAGTAAGTTTGGACATTCAGATCTACTTGGTCTTTTATCATAGAACTCCTAGTGCGCCTGAGTCTTACGTTGTGAAAATCCTTTTCTAAAACTTTAGATGTAAGAGGATAGAAATGATATTGGATGAGATCAGGCTGGATGAGAACTGATACCTGTAGATATATTTTTTAGATGAAATCTCTGATTGCCACACGTTTTCTTATTGAACTCATAAAAATAAAACACACTGGCTGGAGGGTGGAAGTAGGAAGGAGATTTATGTCTTTTAATTGCATGTCATTGTTTCATATTGAGACAGAACATATAGTATCCCTGGCTTTGGACCTACAGAAGGAAACACATTTTTCTACCTGCTGTATGGCAGAGGTTCCTGAGCACCTGGAGGGATTATTGCAGCACGGATTGCTGGGCCCTACTGCAGAGTTTCTGATTCATTCGTGTCTAGGGTGGGGCCTGAGAATTTACATTTATAAGAAGTTCCCAGGTGCTCCTGGTCCGGAGACTACATGTTTGAGAGCCACCCTTACATACTAACTGTAAATTGTAGAACTCTAGAAAAAAGCGTAGTTTGGACTGGGAGAAGAAGCACACAGGTAATGGAGCAAATCATGAAAAAGTCAACCCTTGATCCCAGGTAACAAGCAATACACAGTGACATAACACAATTCTTGGTTTTCATGATTGCAAGTCATAGCCAAGTATCGAGTGAGAAATTCAGTTTCATTTTCAGGGCTTAGAGGCCAGGTGATTCTAGAAAAATCGGATTTAGTGATTAACTCATGAGAGTAGGAGTTATTTATGTCCTTTTTCTCTCCCCCATCACTTAGCATTTAGCCTTACTTTAGAAGGGTCCTGTATTTGCTTTAACCTTGTAAAGAACTTTGAGTGCTTATTAAATGGAAAGCCTTGTGTGTGTGTGTGTGTGTGTGTGTGTGTGTGTGTGTGTCTGTGCGTGTGTGTGTGTGTGTGTGTGTATTTAGAGACAGAGTCACATTCTGTAGCAGCCCAGGCTGAAGTGCAGTGGCATGATTTTGGCTCACTGCAACCTCTGCCTCACAGGTTCAAGGGATTCTCCTGCCTCAGCCTCCCAAGTAGCTAGGATTACAGGCACCTGCCACCATGCCCAGCTACTTTTGTATTTTTAGTAGAGACAGGATTTCATCATGTTGGCCAGGCTGGTCTTGAACTCCTGAATTCGGGTGATCCACCCGCCCCAGCCTCCCAAAGTGCTGGGATTACAGGCATGAGCCATCACGCCTGGCTCAAAGCTTTGTATTTTTAAAGATATTAGACATGTTTCTTGTTTGTTTGTTTTTTTAAAAAAAACTAAACGCTAATGTAGGAGAATAAGAGAAAGTTTTTCCAAAAAAGAGAAAACATTGTGATTATCTTATTGGAATGTTGGATAATAAAGTCTGCTTTATCAATCATCAAGCACACTATAAAATTTCCATTTTAATAGGACTTGTACCTCAATTGAGGTAATAAAGTTTTAAAGTTTTTAAAGTGAAAGCCAGCCCCGCCCCTCTCCTGGAGTGGGCGGGGACAGCGGTTGCATAGGCAGCTTTCCTTGTGACAACACAGGTCCTTGATGACACGCTGCTGTCTGGCCACACCTCCTTTTCCTTTCATCTTTCTCATTGACCAATGGGCTTCAAGCATGAAGGCCACACCCCTATTCTGCATTCTAGTGCAGCCCTGGTTACGCCTCCTCTGGCTCAGTCACACAGCGACGTAGAGGTGACTGGAGGTATATACTTGTCCTCACCTGGATCATGCTGATGTGGCCCCAACCCCACCTCCCTACCCATCCCCACCTCCCTACCCATCCCCACCTCCCTACCCATCCTATGATGTCCAAAGAAACCAGACAGAGCAAATTGGCCGAGGCCAAGGAACAGGTAAACGCACCAACACCCCAACCCAACCCGAGGCCCCCTCTGACAGCCGAACTGCTGCCAGAGTCTGTGCCACTCCTGAGGGACACCAGGCTGGGCCCCCCACCCCAGTGCCTCTGGGCTCCCCACACCAAAATCTTGTCAGCCAGCCCAACCCCCTCATAAGTCCTGCCCCTGCTCTGCCCGGCACACCAGGGTGACTTTGAGCAGGTGACTCCTGGGGCTTCCAACTCCATACTCCGCCCTTACCTCCTGCTACCCCAAACCCGACCTCCCTGGGCTCCTTGAGCTCACATCTCCAAGGACCTGGGTGCCCCAGAACCTGCCCTCACCAGTTGCCACAGGGTGACTTTGGGGATGTGACTCCTGGAGCTCCTTGCTCCTTAATTGGCCCTCACCTCCTGCCGCCCCAAGCCTGACCTCCCGGGGCTCTTTGGGGTCACGTCTCCAAGGACCTGGCTCCCAATTTTGTGACCCCCTCCCCAGTCTCAAAGCGGCAACTTGGGCATTGCACTCATGTGTCCCCCCCAACCACTCCACCGAGGAGTAGAATGTAGTGATGTCACAGTCCCGCTACAAACTGTCATTACTACCACAAGACCGGCCTTTGGTCTTAGGACCCAGTCCCCTAAGTGTTCTTGCCCACTTCTGTTTCCTCTGGTTGCAGCACAGGTTTCCAGCTGGAAGGGGAATGGGGACTGTGGGACCTAGAAGAGAGAGGTTTCAGGCTGCCTGACTTCCTTACCACAGACCTTGACAGTGTGAAAAGCCTACACCTCCCCCATGAGCTCGACACGTTGACAGTGTCTCTGGGTGGCAATGGGAGAACGGGTTTGGTTTGGTTTTCTCCCAGGCTTCTACTCTCCAGAGAGATTTTAACATTTTTTCTCAGTTCTGCACCTCAGATTTGAATTCTCCATTGTTCTGGGACCAGAGTGCCCCTCAGTCACTGGTTCTGGAGTGAGATCTGCTTATCTTCTGTGGAACAGATCTTGGGAAACTGAACTTAGCTTGAGTCTTCCTCATCTCATCTCAACCTGGGGTACTTTGAGTGCCACAGGATAAATATGGGGCATCTTTCTGAAGCATCAGTTTCCCTTGATTCTATTGAGAGGCAAAACATTAATGTACTTAGGGATGAAAGTCACGTAGATTTATAAGCGTATACAAGACTTCTCTCTGAAATGAGGCTTGGGTTGTCCTCTTTCTGTTAAATTCCCAGATTTAGCAGAAAGGCTGCCTTCTGCCATGAGGAGACATTGATGTAAAGGTTTGAGAGGTACTGGTGTACTTTTTAACACTAACAGACGTGTGAGGGTGAATAACCCTAAACCACATAGTGCACAGTTCCTGCCTACTTAATATTTGCTTTTCTACCTCTGCCTCTGGTTTTGGTCCCTGGCAGCTGCTGATTTAGGGCAAAATCCCAGAGCTCAGAGTCAGAAGACTGAGTTTAAGTTCCATTACTGCCTTTTTTTTCAGCCATGGTATCAATCTCTCTCAGTCACTAAGTGATTGTGACAACATTTCCTACAGTTGGTGGCATTAAATCAGATGGTCTATAAGGGTATTTAGTATAAACTGTAAAGCAGGATGTGACTGTAGGAGCTTGTAGTTCTCATGAGTATCACTGCTCTTCCTTTCCACAGTTGACAGACCATCATCCCCAGACCAACCCTAGTGTTGGTACAGCAGCAAGCGACACCAAAAAGAAGAAAATAAATAATGGCACTAACCCTGAGACAACCACTTCTGGTGGTTGCCACTCGCCTGAGGATGTGAGTCTTGGCTGGCCGGGCTCCTGGGGACAGAGGGCCCAAGGGGTGGTGGAGGGTAATTGTTAAGATTGTGGAAGAACTGCCAGGTACTGGCTAAGAATTCTGGGTTTGAATCCTACCCCTCCATCTGCTAGGGACATGATTTAGCGCAAATTGCTTGAGCTCTTTGGGCCTCTCTTTTCACATCCGTAAAATACGAGTGGTATTGTTTTCCTTACGTTTGTGAAGTTTAAATGAGATTTGTCATTGTGTTTTTATGTTAATCCCTCGTCCAGGACCTGCTGTAAACTCTCCTTCTTGGGCTTGCGTTTCCTGAGGTAGAGTTAGAGAGTATCAGAGGTTTCTGTTAGCTCTGAGAGCCCGAGAGTTAAAGGCCCACTAGAATGGAAACCTCGGGGCCAAGGGCTCCTGTCTGCCTTTTCTGACCTCTATTCCCGCTGTGAAGAACCGTCCCTGGCCCGTATGTGCTCAACGTTTGCTGAGTGAATGCACCTTTCTAAATCACAAGCTGGCGGAAGGGTGGGCTTTTCTCGCACTCCACCTCTGAAGGTTTCTGTTACTGTCTTTTCAAGAGAATCTAGTTTCAGACTTTGAGTTCTGTGGCTGTGGGCAAAAACCAAAAAGACCCAAATCCTTCTTCTTTGGGAGTTGAGGAGAGGTGACCAGTTCATGTTCCCATTGGGTCTGAGAACTGTGCCTTTTAAATCCATTCCTGGCCCCTGCCTATCGCTTCCTGGCCTGGGGAATAGAGTCAAGGGGGCCACCCTCAGTCACCTTCCTTTGACTCTCCCCACAGAAACAATAGAACCGAGCTCAGCTGGAAGAAGTAGTGTGATTTCTTTGCTCACGACATGACCGCTGGGTTTGGGGGCACTCAGATGTAGAGGCCCCAGGCTCATCTCACCCACTCCCAGCCTGGGGAAGAAGGCTCACCCCCAAGATTCCACCCCATCCCCACAGGGTCCCTGATAAACTGGTCCCATGGGTGGGCCTGTTCTGGGGCAGTGGTGCCATTCTGGGGGCATGTCTCTTGCTGTGGATCTCTGCCTCCCCCTAGTAAGAGCTCTGTTTTCCTCTTTCTATAGGAACAGAAGGCAAGCCACCAACATCAGGAAGCCCTAAGGAGGGAGCTAGAGGTGAGTGGAGGGTGTGAAGTTCCCTCCTGCCCTCTGGAGAATGTTTCTTTGCTTCTCTTTCAGCATTTGCTTGTCTTTTCTCCCAAAGGCCCAGGTTCATACCATACGAATCCTTACATGTCAGAAAACTGAGCTTCAGATGGCACTCTACTACAGCCAGCATGCTGTCAAGCAGTTGGAAGGTGGGAATCTGGCACCCCATCATCCTTCAACCTGGCACTTTGACAGGCCTTTAGGGGGAGTCCTTTGGGCCACATCTGAATGTCTCTCATTCCAGGAGAGGCCAGGGATCTGATCAGCCGCCTGCATGATTCATGGAAGTTTGCAGGAGAGTTAGAGCAGGCTCTCTCTGCTGTCGCTACACAGAAGAAGAAGGCGGATAGGGTGAGTCCAAACACGGCCCCGTCCCTTGGGAGCCCAGCTTCGCAGATGGAGGAGTGAGCCTAAAGGTCCCTTCTGTAGGATGGAGTGTCCTGCCCAGAAGGCAGCATGGCCATTTCTTGCTGCTTTTGTGTGTGGTTGTTAGAGGCAGACTGGGGCTGAGTCGGCTGTTGTGGGTGAGTTGGGGAGCACTGTGAGGAGCGAGCACTGGACATAGAGCTCAGAGGCCAAGTGCCCGCCCTGCCCATACTTGGCTGTGGCCTTGGCCAAGTCCTAAGTGGCGGTTAGGGTACTTGTACCATAAAGGTACAGAAGAGTATCTTGAGTATGTTATTATTTGTGTGGAGAGAGGGGGCAGGTGTATATGTGTGTGTGTGTACGTATTATGGTAACATACATAAAACACGTTTGTAAGGATTCATTAAAAAACTCAGGATAGAGGCACAGTGTTGGGGGGAGATATTTCCCTTCTGGACTTTCTGAGTTTTGGACTATGCGAACGTATCATCCTTTCAAAAATTCAACAAAGGATTAATTTCCTCCTTCTTAACTGTGCCCCTACCTCCAGCGGAAGAATGGGCTTAGAGAATCAGATATAGCTGGGTGTTGAAATCCCAGCTCCAAGTGATCTTAGGCAGCACTTAACCTTTAATACCGCATGTTTTTCATCTACACAATAGAGGTAATAATGGTAACCATCTCCTATGGAGGTTGTGAGGATTAAATGGGATTGTTAGCATAGTGCCTGGTGAAGCACTCAAGAAAGGTTCGAACAATGGTAGTACTAACAGTAATAACAATAACAATATTATCTGATCGCTCTGGGCCCCTGTTAGCCAGCTCTAAATTCAATCTCTTTCCCTGTCCCTTCCACATCCACTGAGTTCTTTGAAAAACAAATGAGGGCCAGGTGCTCTCGCTCACGCCTGTAATGCCAGCACTTTGGGAGGCTGAGGTGGGCGGATCACCTGCGGTCAGGAGTTCAAGACTAGACTGACCAACACGAAGAAACCCCGTCTCTACTAAAAATACAAAATTAGCCCGGTGTGGTGGCACATGCCTGTAATCCCAACTACTCGGGAAGCTGAGGCAGGAGAATTGCTTGAACCCAGGAGGTGTAGGTTGTGGTGAGCTGAGATTGTGCCATTGCACTCCAGTGAGGGCAACAAGAATGAAACTCTGCCAAAAAAAAAAAAAAAAAGAAAGAAAGAAAGAAAGAAAAACAAATGAGACCATGGGCTTGGAAATGCCTTGAGAACACGTCAGGTGTGATTGAGAGTGAGGAAGTGTTACTGTGGAGTAGTCACTGTAGCAGTTGTTCCTGGTCGTCCAGCTACTGCTGTGCCTGCTCTATCCTGACTTAACCTTTCTCTATTTGCAGTACATTGAGGAGTTAACAAAGGAGAGGGACGCCCTGAGTCTGGAACTGTACAGGAACACGTAGGATGGGGGAAGGTGGAATGGGAGGTCTGGGGGCCCTTAGCATGGGTGGTGTGCTGGGAGGTGGGGGGTCCAGGTGAGTGTGGGGAGTGGCTCATACATGTTTTCATGTGTGCACACGGAAGCTCTAGTGCTGGCTGTGCCACTGACTCATGGGGTAGCCTCAGGCAACTCATGTCTTCTCTCTGGCCTGCCACCTGGGACTTTTAATTCCTGGGGTCCCTTCCAGCGCCACGGTTCTGTGGTTGTGGGGCGAGGGTAGGGGGTCAATCACCAAAGTGGTCTTTTATGTTCTTCATTCATTCCTTTCTCTACTGCCTCTGGCCATAGCATAACTGATGAGGAGCTGAAGGAGAAAAATGCCAAACTACAAGAAAAACTTCAACTTGTAGAATCTGAAAAGTCTGAGATCCAGCTCAACGTAAAGGAGCTAAAAAGGAAACTGGAGAGGGCCAAGCTCCTGCTGCCACAGGTGAGCAGCTGCAGCCCCGGGGGTTGTGGGAGACCCATCCAGCTGGGACCATGGTCTAGGGATCATGCAGGGTATGGGGAGGCTCCAGCCAAGAGCTGGAAAATTTGGGTCCTTGTTCTGGTCCCGCCATAGAATCCTCTAGAGTGTACTAAAAATGTACAAATTGGGGCCCTGCCTGGGGAATCAGAATCTCAAGAGTTAGGGCTTAAAAATATTTTTTTAAAGGATCATGGATGAAAACCATTATTTTATAGATTACATTTATTTATTTATTTATTTATTTATTTATTTATTTGAGAAGTAGTCTCACTCTGTCACCCAGGCCAGAGTGCAGTGGCGCAATCTCGGCTCACTGCAAGCTCCACCCCCCGGCTTCACGCCATTCTCCTGCCTCAGCCTCCCAAGTAGCTGGGACTACAGGTGCCCACCACCACACCCGGCTAATTTTTTTGTATTTTTAGTAGAGACGGGGTTTCACTGTGTTAACCAGGATGGTCTCGATCTCCTGACCTCGTGATCCGCCCACCTCGGCCTCCCAAAGTGCTGGGATTACAGGCGTGAGCCACCGCTCCCAGCCTATAGATTACATTTATGTGGCTAGCTCATGATTCTGCTTCCTTCTGAGGTTCAAAAAAACACTTTCACTATTCCAGCAGCAGCTGCAGGCGGAGGCTGACCACCTGGGTAAGGAGCTGCAGAGTGTGTCAGCAAAGCTCCAAGCCCAGGTGGAAGAGAACGAGTTGTGGAACCGCCTGAACCAGCAACAGGAGGAGAAGATGTGGAGGCAGGAGGAGAAGATACAGGAGTGGGAGGAGAAGATACAGGAGCAGGAGGAGAAGATACGGGAGCAGGAGGAGAAGATACGGGAGCAGGAGGAGAAGATGCGGAGGCAGGAGGAGATGATGTGGGAGAAGGAGGAGAAGATGCGGAGGCAGGAGGAGATGATGTGGGAGAAGGAGGAGAAGATGCGGAGGCTGGAGGAGATGATGTGGGAGAAGGAGGAGAAGATACGGGAGCTGGAAGAGAAGATGCACGAGCAGGAGAAGATACGGGAGCAGGAAGAGAAGAGGCAGGAGGAGGAGAAGATACGCGAGCAGGAGAAGAGGCAGGAGCAGGAGGCGAAGATGTGGAGGCAGGAGGAGAAGATACGGGAGCAGGAAGAGAAGATACGGGAGCAGGAGAAAAAGATGTGGAGGCAGGAGGAGAAGATTCACGAGCAGGAGAAGATACGGGAGGAGGAGAAGAGGCAGGAGCAGGAGGAGATGTGGAGGCAGGAGGAGAAGATAAGGGAGCAGGAGGAGATATGGAGGCAAAAGGAGAAGATGCACGAGCAGGAGAAGATACGGAAGCAGGAGGAGAAGGTGTGGAGGCAGGAGGAGAAGATGCACGACCAGGAGGAGAAGATACGGGAGCAGGAGGAGAAGATGTGGAGGCAGGAGGAGAAGATAAGGGAGCAGGAGGAGAAGATACGGGAGCAGGAGGAGAAGATACGGGAGCAGGAGGAGAAGATACGAGAGCAGGAGGAGATGATGCAGGAACAGGAAGAGAAGATGGGGGAGCAGGAAGAGAAGATGCAAGAACAGGAGAAGATGCGGAGGCAGGAGGAGAAGATAAGGGAGCAGGAGGAGAAGATACGGGAGCAGAAGGAGAAGATACGAGAGCAGGAGGAGAAGATATGGGAGCAGGAGGAGAAGATACGAGAGCAGGAGGAGATGATGCAGGAACAGGAAGAGAAGATGTGGGAGCAGGAGGAGAAGATGTGTGAGCAGGAAGAGAAGATGCAAGAACAGGAGGAGAAGATGCGGAGGCAGGAGGAGAAGATGTGGGAGCAGGAAGTGAGGCTGCGGCAGCAGGAGGAGAAGATGCAGGAACACCAGGTGAGGCTGCAGGAGCTGGAGGAGAGGCTGGGGAAGCTGGGGCAGAAGGCCGAGCTCTTGGGGGGAGCAGGCGGAGGTGTGTGCAAACCCTGGAGATCATACAGAATGACCTCACCACAACTTAGCAGATGGTGGTTGGCTCCCTCTGCTTTTCCACCAGTCTGTGGCCTACAGTTTAAATGGTGGGAAGAAGGGTGTGAGATTTGAGGCTGGGGAGGGAGGCATGGGCCTCTAGGCAAGGGAGGCAGTCATTTAGGCCTGGAGGAAGGGGCCAGGGCCAGGGGCCTGGGTAGGCGACAGAGCCCCGCAGTGCCCTCACTACCCTGTTTATGGGCCCAGAATCTGGAAGCCAGCCACTACCTACCCTGACGCCTATCCTGCAGGTGGAGCTGAAGAGCCAAGAGGCTGAGTCTGCAGCAGCAGCGAGACCATTACCTGGGTCACCTGCAGCAGTACGTGGCCGCCTATCAGCAGCTGGCCTCTGAGAAGGAGGCACTGCCCAGCTGCAGCAGCAGGAAGCTCAGGGCGAAGCGGTGGCCGAGATGGCCCACCAATAGTTGCAGGAGACCCGGTTGAGGGAGTTGATGAGGGCGGGGCCCCAAGGGGGATGATCTGGCAACCTCCGTGCCTTCTCACTCTCTTTCCTGGCCCCTTAGGAGCACCTGGAAGCTGCCATCTAATGAGCACATGACAAGAAGGCAAAGACAATAAACATGTAAAAGCCGGCAGCAAGGCCTGGAGAAGAGTAAGCCGCCATGTGACTGTTTAGAATATAGTCTGAGCACAAACCTGAAAAAAAAATTTTATTTATTTTAAATTGTGGCAAAATACTGGCCAGGCATGGTAGCTCACGCCTGTAATCCTAGCAATTTGGGAGGCCGAGGTAAATGGATGACCTGAGGTCAAGAGTTCAAGACCAGCCTGGCCAATACAAAAATTAGCCGGGCATGGTGGCGCATGCCTGTAATCCCAGCTACTTGGGAGGCTGAGGCAGGAGAATCGCTTGAACCTGGGAGGCAGAGGTTGCAGTGAGCTGAGATCGTGCCACTGCACTCAAGCCTGGGTGACAGAGCGAAACTCCGTCTCAAAAAAAAAAGTTTCTTCCTTACATGTATGTTTCTATTAGTTTTCTTCTTGGTCTTTCTCATTTAGTCTTGTGTTGTCTTTTGACATTCATAGTAAACTTTTATCTGCCTCCAGAGAGTATTGACTTTGAGTTTATGGCACACAATTGGAGTAAGGGCAGATCGCCTTCATCTACTTTGGGACTAAGCTGGTTCAAAGCAGGTTTTAGGTTTTCTGATGGCTGGTCTATGTTTTATTCATTTGGACTCCCAGGGGTGGCCCTTCCAGGGTCCCCACCAAGGTCCCATCTCCTTCCTGGGACCCAAATTCTCATTAGGTCATTTCAGCCCTGTGAGAGTGCCAAACATTCAGCTAGGCTCTCCAGCCTCTTAACTACCACTTCATACTCAGTTTCTTAGCCTCTTAGCCCTCTACTGTTGACCAATCACCAAATGTGGGAAAGCACTACAGACTGTCAGGATCACCTCCTAGGCCTGGTCACTCAAGTCCTGACTGAGGTCTCCAATTACCTTCCAACAATTGTTTTTGATTGGGGGCGGGGCACATTTTTATCCAGTTTTTCTAACTGCTCTTGTGGGGAGGCGAATCTGTAACAAGCTCCTCTGCCTTTACTGAAAGTTGAAAACCTTCATCTGTCCTTTTTTTGTTGTTGTTGAGATGGAGTCTTGCGCTGTTGCCCAGGCTCTAGTGCAATGGCACGATCTCTGCTCACTGTAACCTCTGCCTCCTGGGTTCAAGCAATTCTCCTGCCTCAGCTTCCCGAGTAGCGTGTGCCACCATGCCTGGCTAATTTTTTTTTATACCTTTAATAGAGGCAGGATGTCACCATGTTTTCCAGGCTGGTCTCGAGCTCCTGACTCAGGTGATCTACCTGCCTCAGCCTCCCAAAGTGCTGGGATTACAAGTATGAGCCACTGCATCCGGCCCATCTGTCTTTTAAAACATGTTTTTAATTGGAGGTATAATTTCTATTAGTGAAATGCACAGGTCTGGTTTACATTTTGATGAGTTTTAACTCATTTAACATTACTATGGAACCCACCTCCTTTGAAGATACAGAGTATTTCTATCATCCAGAAAGTTCTCCTGTGCTTTCATGCTGTCCCGCACTCCCCCAGCAGCTGATGAACATGCTGAGGACATTGGTACTGGATTCTGGCCGCCCCAAAAGAGCCGCTTTGACCAGGCTTACCCAGCACTAAATCCCTGCCTGCTCTCTCAAAATTTCCATCTTTAAACTGGTTGTACCTATAACCCTCCCTCATCAAGTCAATAGATAAACAAACCCTGAAAAATAAACAACTCTTCCTGGCCCAGCAGCCCACAGCCTAATATTTACTGTATTCCCAGGCTTTCAGAAATGTAACTCGCCTGCCGGTTCACCCTCACTAGGGCGGCAGCTGCACGGGAGCAGCTGGGCTCACCCATTAAGCAAGAAGCCAATAGCTGGACAGTGACACTCAGACCCCAGCCTGGGCGAGCCTGGCTGAAAGCCCCCTTCTTTCCATCCGACTGTGGAGAAAGGGGGCGGAGCACACACAACTCTACTGCCCTCCACATCCTTCACCTGTGCTTCCTCCTGGGAGAGGGAGCCGCTCCTTAATTTGGCCAAAGCCTTCTTGAGGGCTGTAGGTTTCACAGGCTGGGTGTGTGGGGGCCACCGTGCTAGAGACAGAGGCTGGTGTGTCAGAAGGCAGCCACCTGGCCAGAGGGGGGTCAACCCCCTTGGTGACCTCCTTCCCCCGGCTGGACACAGTGCCCTGCACTCTCTACATGTGACTGTTCCCCTCAGAGCTGCTTCCAGGGGAGGGGTTCTAATCCTGTGGGTGGGGACATTGTGTTACTTTACAGTGGGCCATGGCTCCCTCTGACATCTCCAACTCAGAGGCAGTAGAGAGAAGATGAGAAATTCCCTGCCCCTCCTCCCTCAGCACCCCCACCTCTGCACACGTCCACATGTGGAGACCCTGACAATGGGCCCTGGGAGTGCCGCCATCTGTGCCTGCTTTCCATGCCTGCAGCAGCCATGCCCACTCTCCAGACCCTCACCCGCCTGGGTCAGTAGACGCTTCACTGCCTGTGGTCCTGCGCCTACACCTGGGCCTCTGTACCCGTCAGTTCCCCCAGTCTGGTTCTTATTCCCTGCAAAGAGTAGGGAGCCTGTAAGGTCACCTGTTGAGCAAGCTGGGGGAGAAAAGTAGGGTGGGGATGGGAGGATCAGGATGAGAAGCTCATGGTCGTGCTGGAGACTCAGCTGAGCAGAGTCTCTGCAGGCCCATTGGCTGCCTAGCCAGTGGTGATCTCGCTCCCACCCTCATTTCTTCTTTGTTAACAAAACCATGACCTCATTAAATACTGGACACCTATAAACCTCATGGACCCTCCTCCAGCCTCCCCACCGTGTACCGGTGAGTCTAAGTCAACTCTAGTCATTTCATTCCTCTGGACATTGACTGCTTAGGGCTTGGGCATGAGCTGCCTCTTCACCTGAGCCTGAGCCACAGGTACCCTCTGCACCTACCACGCTGATGCACTGGGCCAGGGAGAGCGCCGTCTGGATGGAGATGAGCTGTGAGGAGCTGGTGGCTGGGCGGATCAGGTTGTTGTAACAGGTTTTGTTCAGAAGGTCGTCCATCAGTTTCTGCTCGGCATGGGCCATGCGGCAGTCCCCTGGGTAAACACACAGACATGCTGGGCCCTTGTGCAGCTGTCTCCCACTGCAGCTGACAGCTATGAAGCAGGAGCTGAGAGGGCCAGGGAGCACAGACACCCTGAGAGCTGGCTGAAGCAGTGAAGGTGCTGGCCGGCCTGGCTTTCCCTGGGGACTTCAAATGACATTCACGACAGAGCTCAGCTACCTCCTCCCCATGCCATACCTCTTCCTCCTCCTCCTCCCTCCGTCAATGAACAGCATCCCACGCTCTACACATCTGATACAAAACTGGGTGTCTCTTCCTGACTCCTCCCTTGGTTCACCCAAGTGGCCACCAAGTCCTGTCTGTCCTCCCATCTCCACGGCTACAGCCATGTCCCTGCCTCCCCCGCCCTGCCCACCTTCTGTTCTCTCCACCTGCACTCTGCCCCTGCCATCCATGTGCCATACAGTGGCAGACTGATCTTTCTACAGCAAACTGGACTAGGGCCCTTCCCTACCCACAGCTCTCAGAGCTGGAGGTGGAGTTGAAGCTCATGTTTTGGCTTGGCATTCAGAGCTCTTTCCCCCTCAGCACTGGCTTATCCAGAGTGCTCACAGTGCAGGGCAGGAGCCTCGTGACTCAAATGTGGGTTTGGTGCAGAACTGGGTCTGAGGTGGTGCTTTCCCTGTGAAGAGACAGGGCCGACATGGGGGAATTTTCTGGGTTCAAAGTTAGACCTAGAGAGTGCAAAGTTTCTCTGAGGCACCAAATGGAGGGGTCCAGCTATCAGCTGGCTCCTGGTCTGGAGCTTCAAGGAGAGGTCTCAGCTCAGAGCCACATTCAATAGCCAGCTTACATGTGGCCTCCTGAAGGGAGCCCCTGGAGCTTCCACAGCCTCCGTTCTGCCCCTCTGCATACCCCAGATCTCCTGCTAAGTGGCGTTTGGGTCTTCATGTCATCTCCCTCCCATGTCTGGGAGTAAAGGTGAGGTGCAGGGACTTGCGCTTGTGTACTCTGGTGTCTTAAGGGAGACTGTGTCAAGTAGAGTGGAGGCGGCTTGGAAAGAGGGAGACTCAGAGGAGAGTGAAGGACACATGACCAGGCGAGCCTGGGAGCAGGAAAAGAGAGTGAGCAGAGGCAACTGCTGGGTCAGGGGAGCGGATGGGAGGATCAGGGAATGCGGGGGGGCTGGAGAGGTAGGGGTGGGGACGTTGGCGAGGGGCTGCCTGGCTCGCCAGGCTCAGGAGTCAGTTACATCCTCCCACAAGGGCCAGCTCACCTGGTCGCCCCAAAGACCTCCCTCTGTGGGTGGGACCAGAGGGCCAAGAGCACGGATAACCCAATTGAGCAGGACTGAGGCGGACTCAGGTGGGTGCTGGGCCGGACTCCTGGCTGTGGGGAGCAGCCGCCACCCTGCCTATTGCATCCACTTTCCAACTCGCTGCCTATCTGAGCAGATGCGATATTGGGCACCTTGTGAAACATGCTCCTGGTGCACCTGCTGCCTGCTGCCCCTCCTGCAGAGTGCCCGGGCTCTCCAGAGGGGATTCCTATGGAGGCTTGGCCTAGATTCTGAGTCCTGCCTCTCATACCTGGGGCTGCTACCCCAGAGGCCAGCTGCTTGAGTACCCCGGAAGCCAGTCTGTAGCCCCAGGCTACAGCTGGGTCCATCCCACAGCCCTTCTCTAATGTACCTATTTGGACTGGCTGCTCATTTCATAGAGAGGGGTGTGTCTTGCCCCAGACCATCTGGCATGTCTAAGGCAGCTGTGGGGTCAGAATCTGCAGCTCCCAGCCCTCAGCCCAGCAATAGTAGGAAAGGCTGGACCCCACATCTCTGAAGTCCCACTGGGTTGGTGCGAGCGGGCTCCCGAGTACAGGGCTGCTCTGCAGGCTGTGGGGCTCATGCGCCAGCTCTGAGCCCACCTGATGTGCTCACGTTGCTCACCTTTGGGCCTGTCCGGCCTCTCAGGCATTCGGCTGACCCTGAGGGCCTCTCCCTCATCTTGACCACCAGCTACGGGCTCTGATTTAGAGGTTCCCAGAACCTTAGACCATTTGGCCGGCCCCCCATTTCTCACCTGAGGAAACTGAGACCAGAGAGGGATAGCAACTTTCTCAAGGACCCCCAGCAATTCAGAGGCAGAACCAGGTCTAGGAGCCTCTTCTCGATAGAGGTTCCCCCTGTCCCCTGAGCCTTCGTTAGTGCCTCATTAACTTCCCTGTAAGGAAACTGCCCCGCTGAGGCTGGAAATGGTGCTGTCCAGAGTGGTGTGTGCCAGTGACTGTGCTTGTGTTTGTACTTGTGAGTGTGTATGGGGGTGGGGATGAGGGGTGGGAATAAACGGCAGGGATGCTGGGGGCTGGATGCACTCCACCTCACCCCAAAAAGGGGCGCAGGAGAGCCCAGCCAAGCACAGCACATGCTTCGACTTTCCAATCTGCTGAATGCCTGTGAGGCCGGCTGGGCCCAGAAGACAAGGGACAGGCCTTTCCCCATAGATGGCAGGGGGGGCCCAGGATGGGTGGAAGCTTCTGCCGCAGCTTTGGGGGTCACAACCCAGCCCATGGGCTGACACTTAAGCAGAAAAGCCACCTCTAGGGGTCAGTCATAATCTAGTGATTCTGATGAGGAGGGCCCCACCAACCTCTGTCCAGGGTCTTGTCTGGGAAAAACTGCTCCCTGGCAGAAAGAGGCTAATAATTTGAGAGGAAGCCATAGCTGAAACCCTAAGCTGTGTGAGTGCGTGTCCAGTTTGAGAAAGCATATCCGACTTAAACATTTGTATTGAAAAAATGGAAACATATTCCCCTTGTTTTGGAATACAAACTGCAGAAAGCAGCAGTTAACAGAATCTTATCGGAAAGGTCAGATTCTGCATCTGGAAAGGCACAGTGATTTTCAACTGCGGTGTGTGTCCTTAACTGAGGAAGGGAAGGTGAGATTTATGTTTAGTAAAAGGCAGCTATGAATTTACCTTTTATAAAGAGCTTGCTATATACTATTAGTGCTTTTCAGTCATGTCAGAATCAGCCAGATGCCTGTGGAAATGCAAATTCCCAGGCTTCATTCCCAGAGATTCTGGTCCTGTGAGCCTAGGGTGGGGCCCAGAAATCTCTATGGGGTGGTGCAGCCTGCCCCAGGACCACACCAAGAAACACTGCAACTGGCCCACACACATCCCAGTCCACAAATATGTAGGCAGGCATCTTATCTCCACGGAACAGATAGGGAAACTGAGGTCAGAGTGGGGAAAGAAACGTCATGGGGCCACCCAGCAAGTAGTAGCAGAGCCACGATACACCCACTGCCTGCAGACACCATCTCTGATGACAGCTCCACCTCCCCACAGGAATCTTGCCTACCCCCACCCCTACCTCCTGCTGCCCCTATGGTGGGTCTCTGTCCAAGGAAGATGTATCCTAGGTCCTCTAGGCTGACTGCGGCTCAGAGGAAACCTTGGCCCAGAGTGTAGGAGCTAGAGGGGTCCTTGGAATTCACGTGGGGAATTTGAGGCCCAAAGAAGGCAGTCCTCACATTTGAACTCTGTCTGGAGAAGGGCTAGGTCTTCTTCCTGAGTGGTAGTTTTGACTTCACCAGCCTGGCCCTCAGTCAAGCTGGCTGTCCAGGCCCGCCACACCTCGGGGTGGGTGACCAGAGGCGGTGGTGCCATAAAAACACGTTTCCTGGGAGATCCACCCCCAAAGCTCCAAACATTCCAGGGCTGGTGATTTGGGCAAGCCCCCTTCCCTCTCAGCCCAGTTTCCCCATCTCTGCAACAGCCGTGCTGGTGGAGACTTCTGATACTGAGCTGCAGATTTTCTCCTGGGTGCCTACACAGCCCAGGTTGCCGGCTCCTCTGTGCCCACTCTTCAAGAAAGTCAGCTCTTAGGTAAGGAAGGTGCCTTGGCCCTATCAGGAGCAGGAGCCGGTGCACCCCCAGCTTCCCAGGCCAGTGGGGATGACCCAGGCTGCCTACAAAGCTGCTGCCCAGCCCAGAGACACCCGCCTGGGAGGGTGGCCCTGGCCCTTGCAGCGGCTCTGAGAAGAGTCGGCCCCCACTCCAAAACTGGCAGAGCCACCCATGCCTTCCCTCAGCCCAAAGAGGCTTTTAGGAACATGAATCGTCTCAAGTTCAAACCCATGGGGTTGCTGAAAGACAAGACAGTGCAGGGTGAGCTGGTGCGAGGGAGCGCTGCTCGGTGCAGACTTTGCAGGGAGGGCACTTAGGAAAAAGGACTGGAGTCTGGGAGGGTTAACTAGCTTAGGGTTAAAGGGAGGGGATGGAGCTGGAGTGAGCTGGCCTCGTCCTCCCCCTTGGGCCTTCCAGCCTGGGCTCAGGTGATTCAAGGGAGCAAGCACCTCCCTCTCCCAGCCAGGGAGTTCTCGCCACATTCTGCAATCAGTACCATTCCCCTGGGGGCTGGGTGACAGCCCCCACCTCTGGACCTGGCTGGAACTGCTGTCTCAATTCTAGATCCAAAAGAATCTCTGGCAGCTTCTCCATCTCCCTCTCAGTCCAGCCTCACCTCTTCGCCCGTGGAGGAGCTCCAACAGCAAATCTGGCAACTGGAGGAACAAGGCAGGAAGGGCAGGGTCTGAGGAAGGAACCACCTTCAAAAGGCAGCTCTGCCACCTTCTCTCCAGGACTCTCAGGCTTGCTTTCCTATTGCTCCCTCGACATCCTTTTGCTATAATCTGGCATGTTGACGTATAGTCTTTAAAAGCAACAATGCTGTTGACGTGGAGCAGACTTCCCATTTGGGATGGTTTGGAGAAGTTAGGTTTGAGGGCATCCTCTCTTCTGCAAACTGCAGCAGTAATAGATGAGATATACAAAGTAAATAAAGGCTGGGTGCGGTGGTCGTGCCTGTAATCCCAGCACTCTGGGAGGCTGAGGCAGGAGGATCACTTGAAGCCAGGAGTTCGAGACCAGCCTGGCCAATATGGCGACACCCTGTCTCTACTAAAAATGTAAAAATTAGCTGGGCATAGTGGTGCACACCTGTAGTCCCAGCTACTCAGGAGGCTGAGGCAGGAGAATCACTTGAACCCGGGAGGCAGAGGCTGCAGTGAAATGAGATCCCGCCACTGCATTCCAGCCTGGGCGACAGAGTGAGACTCCATCTCAAAAAATAAAAATAAAAAATAAAGTAAATAAAAAAGACATGCCCAGGCTGAAAAATAAGTTAATTATCTCCATGAACGAAAAGCAGACAAGAAATGCAAAGTGGTTGGAGGCTGAAGAGCCTGGACCCTCCTGGGCTTTGGGAACCAAAGATGGTGGCAAGTCCTTTGGGATAAAGAGGGACAAAATGACTCCTAGCTAGAAGCTGGGAGCTTGGGTGTACCCCAGTACTTGAAAGGATGCTAGCTGGGCGCGGTGGCTAATGCCTGTAATACCAGCACTTTGGGAGGCCGAGGGAAAGTAACTCTTATGTCAGTGTGAAGCAAATCAGACAGGACAGGGGAACATGGAGGGGAGGAGAGCCAAACCAGGGCCTGGTTCCAGACCCACCACACCCGCCCCGTTGAGCCAGGAGCACAGGTGGCTCTCTGCACAACATCAAGAGCGAGGACATGCTTTCAGCTCCACTTTAACTCAGGTTCCTAATGTGACAGCAGGCTTGTCAATCCCACTTGCCCCCGTGTCTCACACCAGAAAACTACCAGCAGTGTGAGTAAGGACAGAAGCAGGAGACAGAGGAGCCAGGGTTGGGGAATCCCATAGCAACCCACAGGCCCTCATCACACACGGCAAGGATGCGCCTTCACTGGGCTCACCACCACCACTCGACATCACCTTCACTACATGATACCCTGCCTGGATAACACCACTGTAACACAAGAAACAGGTCTAGAATCTAGCATGTATGCTACACCTGAAGGAGCAAGAGACGGTAATACAATACAATGAAATTTTTAGTTTATTTAATATAAAATTTAGAGCCATAATCAAAATGTGTAATTCTGATGGGATTCACTACTTATAAAAACTTCGCAGCGCTCTATTTTCAAATGTAAATGGTATTCTGTGGCTCCTCGCCAGCATGTAAATAACGATCTACTCTGAAATACATTTCACGGCTTATTTTTGGCAAGCAGCGATTTCTCCAACCCACGTTTTCCAAGGGAAAAAAGGACATGAAATGTCTCCAAAAGTCTCTTACGATCTTTAGATAAACTACTGTTCAACAACTGCATCTGCCAAGTCAACACATCAAGAATCCTTCACTCACAAACACTTAAGGTGAGAAAACAGTGTCTACCCATGCAGGAGAGGGACACATGATCCATGCTGATGAAGACAGCCTGGATATCGGCTACTGGAAAGCTGCGAATGCATTTTTCTTTTTCTACTTTCCAAAAGTTTTGTGAGGTGATACTTATTTCTATGTTTGTGTCTATTCTTTTTATTTTGTATTTTTTAGTAGGTACATCCTTACTATAAATCTGCTGTAGAACCAATGTCCCATACAGGACCCCACGTGCCACAGGAACCAAAAAGTCACACGCAGCGAAGACGAAGACACAGGAGACAACCTGTGTGGACAGCACAGAGCCACCTGCCCAGGACACCAATGGAGCCACAGGTGCAATTCAAAATGTTCTTAGTCGTATTAATAAACATGGCCAGGTGCGGTGGCTCACGCCTGTAATCCCAACACTTTGGGAGGCTGAGGTGGGCAGATTACCTGAGGTTGGGAGTTCAAGACCATCCTGGCCAACATGGTGAAACCCCATCTCTACTAAAAATACAAAAATCAGCCAGGTATGGTGGCATGCTTCTGTTAGTCCCAGCCACTCAGGAGGTTGAGGCAGGAGAATCATTTGAACCCAGGAGGCAGAGGCTGCAGTGAGCTGAGATCGTGCTACTGCACTCCAGTCCAGGCAACAGAGTGAGGATCCATCTCCGGGTGGGGAAAAAAAATTGTTCTTAGTCACATTAACAAAAGTAAAAAAAAAAAAAAAAAAAAACACCAAGAAGAAAAACAACAACACATAAAATTAATTGTAATAATGGCTGGTTGCAGTGGCTCATGCCTGTAATCCCAGCACTCTGGGAAGCCAAAGCGGGCAGATTACTTGAGGTCAGGAGTCCGAGACCAGCCTGGCCAACATGGTGAAACTCTGTCTCTACAAAAATACAAAAATCAGCCAGGCGTGGTGGTAGTGCCAGCTGCTCGGGAGTCTGTAGTCCTGTAGTCCCAGCTGCTCAGGAGGCTGAGGCAGGAGAATCACTTGAACACAAGAGGCGGAGGTTGCAGTGAGCCAAGATTGCACCACTGCACTCCAGTCTGGTCAACAGAGTAAGATTCCATCTTAAAAAATAAAAATAATTTTAATAATGTATCATAGTTATTCCAACAGATCAAAAATATGACCATTTCAACATGAAATCAATCTAAGAAAAATTATTGAGATATTTTACATAGGTTATTTCATATTAAGTCCTCAAAAACCATCTGAGTAGCTTACATATGTAACACATTTCAATTTGGACCGTGAAATTTGCATTGAAAACATCTGATCTCCATTTAGACTCATAAAATACACAGTTGACAAAGTAGACTCCCAAGGCCAAGTGATTCTAAACATACTTAAGTGCTTTCTAATAACGGAATCAAATTTTCAAACCTGCATTTTAATGAATAAAAATTAAACAGATAAAATATTCAGTGTCTCAGCTATGACGGACAGACTTCAAGTGCTGATCAGCAAACGGTGTTGAGTGTAGCCAGATGGGCCAGCGCAGGCTACACAGCTGCAGCTCAAACAGCACAGCTGCAGGTCAAACAGGCCAGTCTCTCTGCGCACGGGAACAGTCTGGGCAAGCAGGAGACGGGGAAAACGGGCACTGCCCTCGTGAGAACAAAGGACCCACAACAGGAACCCTGCACTCACCCCCTGCCAAAGACCAACAGCCCCACGAAGCAGCCACTTCAGAAAAGGGAGAGGCATTCAAGAACTTAGAAAAGCACCTCTGGAAAATGCTCACTTTAAAACTTTGCATGTAACTGTACATTTTAATTACAAGGTTTTTAACATCCATTTTCTCATGTATTCTTAATTAACTCTGTGAAAGTAAACACAGCTTTTATTCTTACTCCCATAGTTACTGTGTTGGAAGTCCACCTATATGAACAAACTGTTGTAACTGAAATTTTCTGAGAACAAATCCCAAGCTCTTTCCATCGACACAAACTATATTGTTTAGTTCTCTTTATTTCCATTTGTTAAAGACCAGAATGTGTGAAATATGCATTATCAGATTAGAAAAACAAAACAAACATCAGAAAAAGGTTTTGCAAAATAGCATTTACTAAAATCTATGACAGAAACTAGCTCTAAAACTTCCTGTTTCAAAATTTCACTGTGTGTGCACTAAGTTAGTTTTTCTGGCTGTGGACAGCAGGCCCACCCCATGCCGCGGGCCCACCCCATGCCGCAGGCCCACCCCACGCCGCGGGCCCACCCCACGCCACAGGCCCACCCCACGCCACAGACCCACCATGGCCCCATGAACAGGCCAGCTGAGAGCTGCAGCCACTGCCCAGGGCTCCCTGGTCTGTACTCGGCTGCCTGACCCAAGCTGCCAGGGCTCTGCTTTCTCTATGTGTAGAAACAAAAACCAGGAGCATCAGTTGACGAAAAGCAGATTTTTATTGAACAGAGGTATAAATGTGTTTCATTTTCTAATAAATCTCTTTCACAAATCACCTTGCTGTTTCGCTCTTCTTGAATGATCATTTTTAGACAACACTGTCTGACTGTTTTGGCTTCTGCCAAGGTTAGCGTCTGTTCACAGGCTGAGTCTGACTTCTTCCTCCCACCTCCTCCTAGTCTGGCCTTCCAAAATAATGCTCACCATTCTATCACATTGACTTCAGTTTTGAAAAGAAAAGTTATCTTACAAAGTAGTATGTATAACTCTGTAATATATAAAGTGAGGCAATGATAGAACCAGTTTTAAAAATAACCTTCCATGATGATTTTCATTTGCATCCACCTGCTTATTAGTAAGAATCTTTTTACATGTTTACTGCACGCCCCAATTTCTCTTCAGTGAAAAACTTTTGAGTATCATCACACCCTCCAACTTCTCCTCTCACCTATATTGAAAAGGGTCTGCTCTTTATCCTAACATCTATACTAGGTAATTTTCAGAATATTCCTTCAATCATCAAACAAATTTTTGAGATCCTTGCGCTAGATTTCACTATCTTAATATGAAAACCAATAATCACCTATTAAAATACAATACAGGCCAGGCACAGTGGCTAACACCTGTAATCCCAACATTTTGAGAGGCCAAGGCAGGTGGGTCACCTGACGTCAGGAATTTGAGACCAGCCTGACCAATATGGTAAAACCCCATCTCTACTAAAAATACAAAAATCAGCCAGGTGTGGTTGCAGACGCCTGTAGTCCCAGCTACTCGGGAGGCTGAGGCAGGAGAATAGCTTGAACCCAGGAGGCGGGGGTTGCAGTGAGCCAAGATCGTGACACTGCACTCCAGCCTGGACGATAGAGCAAGACTCCATCTCAAAAAAAAAAAAAACAAAAAAAAAACACCATTAATAAGTAAATAAATAGGCCAGGCGTGGTGGCTAATGCCTGTAATCCCAACATTTTGGGAGGCCAAAGTGGATGGACCACCTGAGGTCGGGAGTTCAAGACCGGCCTGACCAACATGAAGAAACCCTGTCTCTAACAAAACTACAAAATTAGTGGGGCATGGTGGCGCATGCCTGTAATCCCAGCTGCTCGAGAGGCTGAGGCAGAGGAATTACTTGAACCTGGGAGGCGGAGGTTGCAGTGAGTCAAGATCGCACCACTGCACTCCGGCCTGGGCAACAAGAGCGAAACTCTGTCTCAAAAAACAAAAAAGTAAATAAATAAAACACAATACAATACAGCTAATATGATTTACCTAAGAAGCTGTTGTATGAGCTGAACCAGAGGCAAACACTGTTTGCCAGAAGACTCACAGATCCCCGTATTAATAAGGCCTTTATCCAATGGAGTCCTCCTTCTATGAAATGTTGAGGCATTTGCTTCCTGTTCATAAATTTCTTTTTCCTTCCGTGCTTCTTTTTTTGTATCCTGTAATTGATAAACAGAAATTGTTTACAAGTGATCTCATTACCAGGTGTGAAGGCACACAGGCTGGCTGAGCCCTGACCCCAGTGCCAAGCTATCCCAGCCTCTGTGGCTGCCACACCCATCCACCCACAGGCCCCCACCTGCCCTGTTGGAAACCCCAACTCATTTGTGCAGTTTCAAACAGTGTCTTCTTTTTACAGATCCAAGGTCTAGGCTGCCTCTGCTGATGCTCTCCAGCCTCCTTCTGTGAAGTCCCTAAAATCCTTAACCCTGCTAATGGCTCACACAAAACCCAATGTGATCGGCTCCACACACGCAGCATCCAGCTGCTCTGTAAGGACAAGAAGGAGCTAGAATTCTCACACACAAAAGTCCTGGTTCAAATGCAAATGGCAAAGCCACTTTGGGAAACTATGA
Source organism: Homo sapiens (assembly GCF_000001405.40). NCBI lineage: Eukaryota > Metazoa > Chordata > Mammalia > Primates > Hominidae > Homo > Homo sapiens. Next base: position 23,312,687 of record NC_000015.10, on the reverse strand, counting down.
ACACACACTAACCCCAGGACCTAACAAATTCCACTCCAAGTGTTTATCCAAAGGGAGAACATATGTTCACTGAAGTACTTGTTCACAGCACAATTGTGGCAGCTCTACACGGCCAAAAACCAGAAAGCCTGGGCGCGGTGGCTCACGCTTGTAATCCCAACACTTTGGGAGGCCAAGGTGGGGGGATCACTGGAGCCCAGGAGTTGAAGACCAGCCTTGCAACACAGTGAAACCTTGTCTCTACAAAAAAATCAAAAAACTAGCCGGACATGGTGACATGTATGTGGTCCCTGCAACACAGGAGGCTGAGGTGGGAGGATCATTTGAGCCTAGGAGTACAAGGCTGCAGTGAGCCAACATCAGGTCACTGTATACAGCCTGGGTGACAGAGCAAGACCCTGTCTCAAAAAAAAAAAAAAAAAAAAAAAAAGAAAACAAAAACCAAAAACAATTACATGTCCTTCAATAGGAAAATGAACTAACAAACAGTACTACACCTATAAAATGGAAAACTTCCCAATAATAAAAACGAAGTCGCAATACACACAACAGTGAGCGAATCTGAAAATCATTCTCCAAGGCAAAGCAGGAAAGAGTGCATACTATACAGTTATATTGCTGCGACACTCAGAGCAGGAAAAATGAATCTAATCTCAGGGCAGGGGAGTATCCTGGCTGCAAGTGCCAAGGAGCACAGGGATCTTTCCGGGTGACGGGAATGGTCTACATGAGGAACAGGTTACCTGTTAACTTCACTGAAACAGACAACATGCAGTATTTTATCACAATTAAATCATCTCAGTAATTTTTAAAATTAGCACAAAAAAGAATTTTAATTTAAAAAAATACTTGGATATAAGTTTAGTGTTTTACTGTTTTCAGTTATTCTTCACATGTGTGAGTGTGGTATTTCCGATCTCAGCCCACCACCAGGTCACGTGTGCCTCCAAGGCCATACCTGGATCTCTGCAGTAATGGCTGCGTGTAAGGCTGACTCCAACCCTCCAGCAGCCATCAAGCTGCCCACCAGAAGATCAATCACCAATCGATGACCTGGACTTATGCTCACTTCATTGCCTGAAACTGAAATAGAAAGTGTGTGCCAATTTGAGTGAAACGCCATCCCCTCCCAGCACCCTGACCCATGGCCTCTCCTGTTCCTTCCCCGAGCCCACCTCCGCAGGGCAGGAGAGCAGAGTGCCCGGGCCTGCTTCTCAGCGGTGGGCAACAGCATGGACCAGCCGCTCTGCAGCATGGCCTGGGAGGCCGACTGCTCGGTGCTCAGCACGTCTGCGCTGCTTGCCAGGGTCACCACCGTCTGCTTCAGGCTGTTCAGGAAGACGTCCACACCTATTAAGGGGGGGGCTGGTACTAAACACAGTGACAGCTCAGGTGACATGCCCTGCACAGAGCCCAGTACAAAGGAAGGGCCAACAAAGCAAGCCACTATTTTCGTTGTTCTTTTCTGGTATTGATTTAAAAGTGCATGTTTCAAGCTTGGTTCTGTGCTGACAAGGAAGTCGGCGCGCACTGATCTGAGTCTTCTCCACAAACAAGTGGCCTCCCACACCTGTCTCATCTGACTCGCTGCTGTTACCACCAAACACACAGACACCAGAGAAAAACACTGCCATGCACAAGCACGCTGGTCTTGCGTAAAAAATAACTAGACTCGAGTGCCACCTAAACACAAAGTTCCATCATGACACTCACGTGCATGTCGCCCTCGGAGTGGGGTGCATCCTTCCTGCAAATGATGCTCTGGAACCTTTGCAGCAAGGGCAAAAGCGGGGCGCTGGTGCCCTGGGCGGAACGCTCATTGTCAGTCTCCTGTGCCCCGCTGTCCCACAGCTGAAGCAACAACAGGATGGCAGACAACATTTGGCTAAAGAAGAAAACATATTTATTCCTAGTAAAAACAGATTAACTTTTTTTTTTTTCATGGTTGATCAAAAATAAAAGCAAACAGCTAGATAGAAGTGAAGAAATACTTGGGATATGAAAGGAAACGAAAGTAAAGCCGTGGTAGTTAAATCACTGAATTGACACTGAGATTTTAGCACAAGACATCGCCTTCTGCTGATAGGAAAGACCAGTTAAGAAGCTCAAAGAGCACATTTACATGAAGATCTAGGGTCTTAAATTCATGGAATAAAAATAATTAAATGAGGAAAACTGAAAGAAAAAAAAAGAAGAACAGTTCCCAGGCTAGAAAACTGAGCATAAAACAGGAAGTGAAGAAAAGGAAAAGAGAGAGCCCTGGGACATGGTTCTCTGTAGAGCACCACACCTGCTGCAGTCACACGATTCAGTGAAACGCACACAATGCAACAGGTATTTGGATACAGAGGCGCTTCCCCAAAGCATTCCCGGTCTGCACCAGCCCTCACCTCAGCATGCCTCTCTGCACAGCCAGCTCCAGCAGGATGGCCAGGGCCAAGTGCTGGTCCTGTAGGGGGATGATTCTGGCCCTTTAGTGCCTGGTATTCCGTGAACATCCCTGAAATGAAAACAGTGGATGCAGGAACGAAGCGACCTCCAGAAAGACAGCATGCTTACAATCACAGTAACACATTTGCTACATGCTCCCTCCCAAGGAAGGATGTATCTTTAATATTTAGAATCAAGCTTCTGAGACTTGCTACTCAAATTTATTCACAGATTTTTAAAGTATACAATTAATTTACAGAAATGTATTTTATTTAAAGTATTCATTCAGATACTATATTACAGTAGATGACATACTCCAAGTGTGTGAAGCATAAAATAATTTATCTCATTATCCAAAACATGAGTAGGAGAATATCTAGCTATCTTTTCCAGTTTCAATGACGTGTAAGACTATACCAGTATCAACCTTCTCCCACAGAATTAGAGAACCAATTTCTAAAACCACTTGAGGATCTGGAGGCAAAATGTCTACACTAATTTCTATCTCTGATCAAAGATTACCTGGTTGCTTACTCCATACCCAGCTCTCCAGAATTGACTTGGCCCCATATACAGGTGCAGGAGTTTCATCTTTTTTCTCTCTGTCATCCAGATCTTCTTTCTTTGTTCCACTTGGTTCAACACTATCATCTGCAGAATTAAAATTTTTTTAATCTGTAACCGCTTTTCAGAATGCCATACCATCTGTCAGTCTCTGCAAATGTCCCTCCCCGAAAAGTTACAACACACATCATTAACTGAACGTTTGACAACTTAAAAATAAAATACATCAATCGTACCTGTAACAGATCCAGTATAATTTTCATAAAGCAATATATCGGCCGGGAGTGGTGGCTTACGCCTGTAATCCCAAGCACTCTAAGAGGCCGAGGTGGGTGGATCACGAGGTCAGAAGATGGAGACCATCTTGGCTAACATGGTAAAACCCCGTCTCTACTAAAAATACAAAAATTCACCAGGTATGATGGTGGACGTCTATAGTTCCAGCTACTCAGGAGGCTGAGGCAGGACAATGGCATGAACCCAGGAGGCAGAGCTTGCAGTGAGCCAAGATGGCACCACTGCACTCCAGCCTGGGCAACAGAGCAAGACTCCATCTGAAAAAAAAAAAAGAAAAGAAAAGAAAACAAACCAATATATCAAATTATTTAAAGCATGTCTTCCAAAATGATATTTCATTAGCTTCCTAGTAGATTTCACAACAGAGAAACTTAGTCTTTGATATTTACCTACTTCAGTTTCACACCAATTGCTTTTATCCAGTGAGTCCCAATGCATGTGCACCCATGGGAAAAGGGAGGGTGTAGAACAGGAGTATGATTCAAAAATCTTTTAACTCTTTACAAGGCCCTACTCCACTGCCAACTGGGAAGCAGTGCTATGCAGGGGCACTGTGACTGATAGCATAATTCAAGAGCACTGGGACACAAAGGAAAAGCTGAGAAAAATGACTTTAGGCCACTGACAATGTCAAGTTTCAGTCAAAAACAACTGTCATAAAACTCCTTACACAGTAAGCGAAGAGAAGAGAGAACCTTAACCTTGAAGTGTAAACACACTCCATCACAGAAGGCTGTGACTAAATGTCTAAACAACATAATTAGAAAAATGTATCTCAATCGGTGAAAGACATGATATCCCATCCAGATTACAAATAATGAGTATCTAAAAATCTCTAAGGAAACAGTTCCTCTGTTTACAACACTTCTGACATCAAACGTATGGACTTTTGCACCAAGCAGTTCTCCAGTTCTTTGTGACACCCAGCTATGTGTCCCACAATGCAATTCGATTCTGAAACTAACTACCTAGAATTAGCACAGACCCCACAGGTTAATAACAGGAGAGAAAAGGTGAATGCTGAAAAAAATATCCAAAGAACTAATGGCTGAAAACTTCCTAGGTTCAGCAAATGACATAAACCCAGGCAGATTAAAGAATCTGTGCAAAGCCCACACAAGATAAATCCAAAAGAAGCCATGACAAGGCACATCATAATCAACTGCTAAACACTAAGGACAAAACCCTTCAAAAAGTGCCACAGAGTGTAGATATATAAGAATGTCTTGTGTGGCCTGAAATGAAGACTAAATATTATGTGCTGCCTTGACGTCGGTAAAATCAAGAAGGCCTCAAATAGCCTAACCACAAGGTCTCCTCCAAGCTCTGCTCCCACAGATCAGGTCCCAAAGCCAAACAGCCTCCTTATGGCGGAGAGCTGACTCCAGTCTGCTCATCCCTGCCGGCCCAGAGTTATTCAAACAAGCCAATCACATCTTCCCATGGAAGCAAGGTCATCTCACCCTCCTGTTACTACAAATTTTGCCTTCCACAGCCCCTCGTGGTTCACTCTGTTCCCAAGTGCAGCCCCCGTGTGGCATGCGGTGTCCCCCACCCCAGGGCTGTGAGCATGCATGACTAATAAACTGCTATTTCATCTGTCCAGTGTCGGTGTCCTACGTTCAGCCATCCCATATCCCTAGGGCAGGAATCTTCTAGGGTTATAAACAGAACTTTAATCAACCTCTCCTTGGTTATTTTACTGGTTCCATGATACAGCTTTTTCTGTGCAAAAGATCTGAACAGAAACTTCACAGAGGATACAAGAGTGGCAAAGAAGAACACGATACTCAGCATTCTTAGCCATTACGGAAGTGCAAATTAAAACCACAATGAGATCCCACTAGACTTGTTAGAATGGCTCAACTAAAAAACACTGATAACACCAAGTGCTAACAAAGACACAGAGCAACAGAAACGTGACAGATTGCCAGTGGGAATGCAAACTAAAACAGCCACTTCGGAAAACAGTTCAGCACATGACCCAACTTTCACACTACTAGGTCTTTATCCTAGGGAAATGGAAACTATATTCACACAAAATCTGTACAGAAATGCTCACAGCAGGATTACAATTGGGAAAGAAAAATGGAAACAACCACAAGGTCCTACAATAGCAGAATGGATAAACACCATGTGGTACATCCAAATGATGAAATACCATTCAGCAATAAAAAGAACTATTAATACACAGAACAACAACAAATCTCAAACATATAACTAGGAATAAATGAAGATGGTTTCAAAACGTTACTTAAAATATGGTTCCACTCACATGACATTCTCAAAAAGAATACCCTATACTGATGGAGAACAGATCAGTGGTTGCCAGGGTATGAGACCAGGGAACAGGTGATAAAAAGGAGCAGCACAAGGGAGCTTTTGGGGTGATGACACGTCTCCGTCCTGATGATGATGAGGGTTACATGAATCTATAGAGATCAAAATTTACTCAACTAGATACCACAATAAAATAAATTTCATATAAGTTTTTTAATAAAAAAAAATGTTGGCTGGGTGCTGTGGCTCACACCTGTAATCCCAGCACTTTGGGAGGCCGAGGCGAACAGATCGCAAGGTCAGGATTTCGAGACCAGCCTGGCCAACAAGGTGAAACCCCGTCTCTACTAAAAATGCAAAAATTAGCCAGGTTTGGTGGCACGTGCCTGTAATCCCAGCTACTTGGGAGCCTGAGGCAGGAGAATCGCTTAAACCTGGAAGGCGGAGGTTGAAGTGAGCCGAGATTACGCCACTGCACTCCAGCCTGGACCGCCAAGTGAAACGTCATCACAAAAAAACCAAAAACAAAAACACAAAAAAACAAAGAAAATATCTAGGTCCAGGTTAGGGAAGACAGCTGGAATACAGTCTGGTGGAATCATGTCAGAGCAGGGAGCTGGGTCTGGAGGGCTGGAGTAGGGTGTGGCCCCACTCTAGGAAGGAACTAGGAAACACATCCTGGGTAAAGCAACAGCAGAGTCTCGTTCTGCAACAGGTGAGCATTTATCCTGATCTGAGAAACTACATGCAAATTTAGTATGTCTCACTTAGCCTCTTATTTTCCTTAACAACATGGAAAATGAGAGAACAAACAATTCAGAAGGTTAAGACATGAAACACATTGAATTCAGAAATCATACACAGAAAGGTAGGAAATAAATGGGGGATAAAAGCAGCTAATGAAAAGTGAAAATGGGCCAAGTGCAGTGGCTCACACCTGCAATCCCAGCACGCTGGGAGGCCGAGGCGGGCGGATCACTTGAGGTCAGGAGTTTCAGACCAACTTGGCCAGCATGGTGAAACTCCAACTCTACTAAAAATACAAAAATTGGCCCGGCGTGGTGGCAGGCACCTGTAATCCCAACAGCTCGAGAGGCTGAGGCAGGAGAATTGCTTGAACCAGGGAGGCAGAGGTTGCAGTGAGCCAAGATCATGCCACTGTACTCCAGCCTGGGCAACAGAGCAAGACCCTGTCTCAGAAAATAAAACAAAATATTCATAGCCTTAATAATAGAAAATAAAAACATTTACTGAATGCCAGAAAATCTCCCTAAAAACCCCAATCAGTTGGGATCTACATAAAGAACAATTATGCTCTGCTTTCTAACCACGATTTTTAAAAGAACAAAGGACAAATATATTCATCAAATATGGGCCGGGCGGGGAGGCTCAAGCCTGTAATCCCAACACTTTGGGACGCTGTGGCGGGCGGATCGTGAGGTCAGGAGTTCAAGACCAGCCTGGCCAATATGATGAAACTCCATCTCTACCAAAAATACAAAAATTAGCTGGGCATGGTGAAGGGTGCTTGTAATCCTAGCTACTCAGGAGGCTAAGGCAGAGAACTGCTTGAACTAGGGAGGCAGAGAACTGCTTGAACCAGGGAGGCGGAGGTTGCAGTGAGCCAAGATCATGCCACTGCACTCCAGCCTGAGCGACAGAGCAAGACACCCTCTCGAGAGGAAAAAGAAGCAAACAACAAATTCATCAAAGGTAATAAATAAAACATATACTTTGGATTTTTCCATGTACTTAGCTTTTCTTAGAGCATCTTTTAGAATTATTGTTTCACAAAAAACACTTCGGGAAACGTTTTAATTTATTAACAAATACTGGAGGGCTAGAAAGAAGAGGTTAAAACTTTTTAAAATATACAGAATGAATCACAGATACGTGAAAGAAAAAAGAAAAAAAGGTTGCTGACTCCTGCCATGGAAGGCACTATCATATGGACACTCTTAGCCTCAGCATCCGGAGGTCCAGAAAGCGAAAATTTCAAGTCAGAGAGAATTCTATATATACCATTTATTTGGAACCTTCAGCCCTTAAGATCCCAACATCATGACTTCAGTTTCAACACAATTATCCTTAGACCTTGTACTGGCTACAAACACAAAACAAATAGCTCGACTGAACTAACTCACCTCTCCAGAAACACAAACACAAGACCTCATAAAGTCAGTGAGTTTCTACAGGCCATAATTACTGCAACTTACTTCTCCAATTTTCCCCTCCACAGTTAACTCAACAGCTCAAAAACGATCAGTAACAAACAACAGTCACCATGATATGGTTAGGAGTGTGGCAGATTTCTTAACCAGTAATAATAAATAGGAAAAAAATTTTGCCTACTAATAGATCTCAAGTTTCGTGCACTTACAAGAAACTAATTAAAAGGCAGCCGCGCACGATCTACAAAAACAGCCATAAAGACTGTTACATTTTAAGTTACAGGAAATAAACCTGCTCCTCTAATTCAGCAAGATACAACTGACTTCCCCTTACATACCCTAAAAAAAAGCTTTACACGAGAAATTTAAACATGGAAGCAGAAACACACCAAGAAAAAGACATGTCAAACCCCACCTGTATATCTGTTTTCAACCATTTGGAGTCGAGGCGAGCCCGGGCAGCCAAACACAAAGATTCAGAGGGCATCTTTTCTCCAGCTTCCTCCCAGGTCTCAGGCCTGCAAGTAAACACATACGTTGAAGACCTAACGCTTTTTAATAGTTTACAAAGACACTCCCGAAAGGTTCAATGCAGAAAGGAAAAAAGAGAGAGAGAACAGAAAGGGGGGAGAGAAGAGCTGGTGGAGGGGAGAGAAGGGGAGAGAGGGAAACAGGGAAGAGATGGAGGGAGAGGGAGGTGGGGAAGGGAAAGCCTCCTTCCAAGGTAGGCAGGGTGTGCCGAGTTTCTGCACCACGCTGACGAGACCTTGAGAATGGACGGTCACAGGAAGCCAAGTCACAATGTCATCCCCCTGCCCTCAAATCCAAGAAGTACACACATAACAGGGAGCCCATCGTTTTAACGACAAATGACAGCAGCATGAATCTGCCGCTTTACCCCACAGCAGGGCGCGTGCGTGAAACAAATTACTCAAAAGGATCGCCTGCAGAAAAACCCACAGCCACCACCACTTAAGAGATGGAGAGAGGCCCGAGGCTGCCCCGCGGGTGGTCCGCGCAGGCCCCGGTGCGGCCGCGCCCACGCCCGCCTCCCGGGCTCGGCCGCCCGCCAGCCCCACGCCCGTACCGCCCCCGCCACCGGCCGCCCAGGTGCCCCAGGCCAGGACCTGACGCGCAGGGCCGGGCCGCCTCGCCCCGCCGGCGTGCGGACGCAGCCTCCCAAGAGCCGCTGGCTCAGCCGGCGCCCGCGATCCCGGCGCCTCTCGCGGCCCGAGGGGCGGGCCGACGCGGGACTGCCGCCCCCCGCGTACGGCCAATCGCAACGAGGCTGCTCCGTGGGCGCAGCCAATGGGGAAGAGGAGCCCTTCGCCGCTCCTCCCGACTCTCCCGCTTCCAGCAATCCCGCTTATCTTCCTACTTGGAGCGCCCTGGCTGCGGCCAAGGCCAACAGCGGGCGCCGGAAGGCGGGATTTCCGCCGCACGCACGCACTCCCGCACTCCCACGGGAGACTGCTTGGCCCGGAGCGCTCTTGATCACGCCGCGGCGGGTGGTGGCGCTCACACTAACTATAGCTATCCAGGGCGCGGGTCGAGTGGCGAGACCAGCTCCCCTGGGTATGAGAACGCATCTTTGTGCGGTCGGCTGGCTGGGGCCTGAAGAGCTTCCTCCTGTGTGTTCAACTGAACGCAGCAAAAGTCTTGGGCAGATTCCATGGAGCAGCTGTGGAAGCACTGTGCAGGGAATCGAAGAAGGAAACACCTCCAGCGACCACAAAACAAAATTGAAGAACTATAAAACAATATAGGCCGGGCATGGTGGCTCACGTATGTAATTCTCAGCGCTTTGGGAGGCCGAAGCGGGAGGATCCCTCGAAGCCAGGAGTTGGAGGATCCCATGTTGCCAGACTGGGCAACATAGCAAGACCCCATCTCTAAAAAATAAAAATAAAAAAATTTAACAATTAGCCAGGTGTGGTGGCACACACCTGTGATCCCAGCTGCTCGGGAGGCTGAGACAGGAGAATCGCCTGAGCCTGGGAGATCAATGCTACAGTGAGCTGAGATCGTGCCACTGCACTCCAGCCTGGGCGACAGAGTGAGATCCTGCCTCTAAGAAAGAAAAATAACGGCCGGGCGTGGTGGCTCACGCCTGTAATCCCAGCACTTTGGGAGGCCAGAGCAGGTGGATCATTTGAGGTCAGGAGTTCAAAACCAGCCTGGCCAACATGATGAGACCCCTTCTCTACTGAAAATACAAAGATTAGCCAGGTGTGGTGGCACGTGACTGTAATCCCAGCTACTCGGGAGGCCGAGGCAGGAGAATCGCTTGAACCCGGGAGGCGGAGGTTGCAGTGAGCCGACATTGCACCACTGCACTCCAGCCTGGGGGTCAGAGGCTGCACCACTGCAGCCTTGACTTACCGGGTTCAGGTGGTTCTCCACCTCAGCCTTGCCACTAGCTGGGACTGCAGGCACATGGAACCACACCTGGCTAATTTTTGTAGTTTTTGTAGACGGGATTTTGCCATGTTGCCCAGGCTGGTCTCGAACTCCTGGGCTCAAGTGATCCGCCCGCCTCAGTCTCCCAAAATGCTGGGATTACAGGTGTGAGTCACTGCACTCGGCTAATAGTAATGAACTTTGAACAGAAGGAAAGTTGTTATTATTTTCTTGGTTATGTTCTATTTATATTTTCTAATTTTTCTAAACATGTAAAGATAAAATTCTAAAAACTCAGTAAGACCTCAGAACAAAAAAATTAGAGTATAAATATTTATTTTAGTTAACTTGTACAAATTTGGTTTCTGGAAAAAGAATGGAATAGATTTTCTGAGAAAAAAAATCCACCACTTTGGCCGGGCGCAGTGGTTTACGCGTGTAATGCCTGCACTTTGGGAGGCTGAGGCGGTGGATCACCTGAGGTGAGGAGTTCAAGACCAGCCTGACCGACATGAAGAAACCCCTGTCTCTACTAAAAATACAAAAATTAGTCAGGCCTGGTGGCACGCACCTGTAATCCCAGCTACTCAGGAGGCTGAGGCTGGAGAATCGCTTGAACCCAGGAGGCAGAGGTTGCAGTGAGCTGAGATCGCACCATAGCGCTCCAGCCTGGGTGACAAAAGGAAAACTCTGTCTCAGAAAGAAAGAAAGAAAAGCAGACTGGCTGAAAGGATTGAAGAACAAAATATGATCCACCAATGTGCTATCTACAAGATAAACATTTTAAATACAGAAACAGATTGAAAGTAAAGGGATACAAAGATACAATTAAAATAGTAACCAAAAAAGAGCTGAAGGGGCTGTACTAATATCAAATGTAATACACTTTAAATTAAAGCAGGGCTGGGCATGGTAGCTCAGGCCTGCAATCCCAGCACTTTGGGAGGTGGAGGCAGAGAGATACTTGAGCCCAGAAGTTCGAGATCAGCCTGAGCAACATGGCATAATCCAATCTCTACAAAAAATACAAAAATTAGGCGGGCATGGTGGTACCCACCTGTGGTCCCAGCTATTTGGGAGGCTGAGGTGGGAGGATCATGTGAGCTGGGGAAGTTGAGGCCACAGTGAGCTAAGATCGGGCCCCTGCACTCCACCCTGGGCAACAGAGCGAGACCCTGTCTGAAAATAAAAAAAAATAAAAAACGGGGTTGAGAGACAAAAAAGGACATCCTTTTTTTTATTATTATATTTTGAGATGGAGTTTCGCTCGTTGCCCAGGCTGGAGTGCAATCGTGTGATCTTGGCTCACTGCAACCTCCGCCTCCCAGGTTCAAGTGATTGTCGTGCCTCAGGCTCCCGAGTACCTGGCATTACATGTGCCTGCCATCACGCCCAGCTAATTTTTGTATTTTGGTACAGACAGGGTTTCACCATGTTGGCCAGGGTGGTCTCCAACTACTGACCTCAGGTGATCCACCTGCCTTGGCCTCCCAAAATGCTGGGACTACAGACATGAGCCACCGTGCCAGCCGAAACCTTCATTTTAAAAAAGGCTGGGTCAGGCATCATGCCTCATGCCTGTAATCCCAGCACTTTGAGAGGGCAACGCAGGCGGATCACCTGACGTCAGGAGTTCGAGACCAGACCAACATGGTGAAACCCCGTCTCTACCAAAAATATAAAAATTAGGCGGGTGTGGTGGCACACACCTGTAATCCCAGCTACTCAGGAGGCTGAGGCAGGAGAATTGCTTGAATCTGGGAGGTGGAGGTTGCAGTGAGCTGAGATTGTGCTACCACACTGCAGCCAGGGTGACAGAGTGAGACGCCATCTCAAAAAATAAATAAAGGCTGGGTGCCAGATGTGGTGCATAGGCCTAGTTTGTTGACTCCTGTACTTAACATATAAAACTCTAAAGAACAGTGGGAAGGAGCTTCCCTCTAGAGGCACAGGAGCGGCCAAGTTGGTCCCTGAGCAGTGACTTTATAATAACATGTTACACTGTGTTTTTTGTTTTTGTTTGGTTTTTTGTTTGTTTGAGACGGAGTTTCGCTCTTGTTGCCCAGGCTGGAGTACAATGGCGTGATCTCAGCTCAAAACAACCTCTACCTCCCAGATTCAAGCTATTCTCCTGCCTCAGCCTCCAAAGTAGCTGGGATTTCAGTCATGCAACACCATGCCCGGCTAATTTTGTACTTTTAGTAGGGATGGGGTTTCTCCATGTTGGTCAGGCTGGTCTCGAACTCCTGACCTCAAGTGATCTGCCCGCCTCGGCCTCCCAAAATGCTGGGATTACAGGCGTGAGCCACCACACCCGGCCTATATTTTTTTTCTTTTTTTTTAGACACAGTCTGACTCTATTGCCCAGGCTGGAGTGCAGTAGCACGATCTTGGTTCACTGTAACTTCTGCCTCCCTGGTTCAAGCGATTCTCCTGCCTCAGCCTCCCAAGTAGCTGGGATTACAGGCATGCACCACCACATCCGACTAATTTTTGTATTTTTAGTAGAGATGGGGTTTCACCATGTTGGCCAGGCTGGTCTCAAACTCCTCACCTCAAGTAATCCGCCCGCCTCGGCCTCCCAAAGTGCTGGGATTACAAGGCGTGACCCACCGGGCCTGGCCCTGTGTGTTGTTTTATGTATGTTTCTATATGTGTTATATTTCACAATAAACTAAATATTAAAACAAAGAATAACTGATAGCTATGCACAAAGGTATTTAAATTTCACCCTCACAAATAATTTTTTTTTTTTTGAGACAGGATCTCTGTTACCCAGGCTGGAGTGCAGTGGCACCACCTTGGTTCACTGCAGACTTGACCTCCCAGGCCCAAGCGATCCTTCTACCTCAGCCTCCTGAGTAGCTGGGACTACAGGCACACTCCACCACACCCACCTAATTTTTGTATTTTTGGTAAAGATGGGGTTTCACCATGTTGGCCAGGCTGGTCTCGAACTTCTGGGATCAAGGAATCCTCCAACCTTGGCTTTCCAAAGTGCTGGTATTACAGGCGTGAGCCACTGTACCCGGCCAAGAATAGTTTCTTCTCCTTACCTAGGTAGAGACCTCTGCAGAAATGCTGGGAGATCTTTGGAGAGGGGAGATTTTTTAAATAAAAAATTTAATACTTGGAGGGGCGTGGTGGCTTACCCCTGTAATCCCAGCACTTTGGGAGGCCAAGGCGGACAGATCAGGAAGTCAGGAGATTGAGACCACCCTGGCTAACACGGTGAAACCCCATCTCTACTAAAAAAAATACAAAAAATTAGCTGGGCATCGTGGCGGGCGCCTGTAGTCCCAGCTACTCGGGAGGCTGAGTCAGGAGACTGGCGTGAACCTGGGAGGCGGAGCTTGCAGTGAGCCGACATCGGGCCACTGCACTCCAGCCTGGGCGACACAGCAAGACTTCGTCTCAAAAAAAAAAAAAAAAATTAATACTTTGGGATGCCAAGGCAGGTGGATCACGAGGTCAGGAGTTCAAGAACTGCCTGGCCAAGATGGTGAAACCCCGTCTCTACTAAAAATACAAAAATTTGCCGGGCTTGGTGGCAGGTGCCTGTAATCCCAGCTATTCAGGAGGCTGAGGCAGGAGAATTGCTTGAACCTGGGTGGCAGAGGTTGCAGTGAGCCAAGATAGCACCACTGCACTCCAGCCTGGGCAATAAGAGTCAGACTCTGTCTAAAAAAAAAAAAAAATTGATCTAGTTCAAAACCTCACTTTGAATCCACCCACATTGCTCTAAAATACTTTCATCTTTCCTGTGGCTAAAACCTTAAAGCCTTGCCAGTAACTCCCATTGCACTTAAGGAAATCCAATCTCCCTTGTTGTGGCCCCTGAACAGGCTGCTGCTGGCCCACCACGGTGCCTCTAGTTTGTGTAAAATGCATATGTTAATTTACAATAAATCATATGAGGCTTTTTTAGCTCTAAAAGGCTATTATTCACTAGTTGCTGTGTGAATCAGTATTTCTGGGTGCAGTTAGAAATTATTAGAGTTGATGCCCAAGACTCATCTCCATCAGCACGGGGGAGGCATCTGCTCGTTTTATGGTCAGTGACTCTGGGCCTCCTGCTGGGCTTAGTCCTGAGGTGGGTCTGACTCAGGTCAGGGCTGTGCACCCCGGCCCTCCTCCTCAACGTGCATGAGTGCTCTTTAGGATGGAGCTGAACACTGGCTTCTCAAAACCACTTGGCCCCATCACAGGCCCTGAGAACTGATTGGGTCACTCTGGTGGGCTCCCCAGCCCTAGCCAAGAAGGGTTTCTCTAGGGAGCCTGGCCCCCCACTTATGAGATCTGGAGCCCCAAAGATCCTGACCAGGGGCCTGCCTCCTCCAGGGAGGGGCCACTCGCCCCCACCAAGCTCCCTTCACAGAGACCCATCCAACAGAGCTGAGGAAAACCATGCCTCATAAATGAATAAATACATAAATAAGGATGCCGGGGACCTGTGGATTTTGTAATTCCTGAAAGAAGGCAGAGTGGCTGGCTCACAGCAAGCGCAGTAGGAGATACTGCTCCCCGGCCAGGCTGTTCTCTGTCTCTTTGGAGGGAGCCCTAGGGTACAAGAAAAGCCAGAGGAGACCAGCTGGCCCAGAAGGTGCCTCTCCACCCCTTCCCCAGAGTTTCTGGGAAACAAAGCCCACCCGAGGGACACATGCCTTCTTGGGAGTTGTACCAGGCCTCCTTCCTCATCCGGCCATGCAGTGGTTTTCAGTGCCCGAAACAGATGAATAAAATAGGCCCTTTACTGGATGTTCTTCAGGAACATGCGCACTTCTTTGGATCTTACCATCGTTTTATCTCTATTTAAAGTTAAATGCTGTGTTATACAGAGTATTGGTAAAGATGTAGAGCTACAAGAACTGTCAAGCTGGCAGTAGCATAAAATTGTATAAGCACATTGGAAACCTGTTTGGCAGCTTCCACTAAAGCTATATCTATGCCTACCTTCAGAAATTCCATCCTAAGCATGTACACAAGAGAAACGAGTGCATATGTCCACAAAAAGACTTATATAAGAATGTTCACTGCCATTTTTATTCATAAGAGCCCCAAATGAAAACAACCTAAATGTCCATCAACAGGAGAGTGAATAAATGGTGATACAGTCACATCATGGAATACTACACAGCCAAAAAAGAAAAATGAAGTGGTAGGAACACTCAACGACATGGGTGAATAGAGGGAGCCAGGTATGAGAGACAGTGCACAGTACCAGCCCACCTAGATGAAGCGCAGGAAGGCAGAACTGACGATGATTGAAGTCAGAAGAGTAGTTTCCTTTGTGGGAAAGTGTAGGTCAGGAAGGAGCCTTCTGGGGTACTACAAATCTGCCGTATTTTGGCTGGGTGCAACAGCTCACACCAGCACTTCGGGAGGCATAGGCAAGAGGGTCACTTGAGCCCAGGAGTTAGAGACCAGCTTGGGCAACACAGCGAGATCCCATCTCTACAAAAAAATTAAAAATTAGCGTGGCATGCTGGTGTGCACCTGTAGTCTCAGCTACTCAGGAGGCTGAGGCAGGAGGATTGCTTGAGCTTAAGAGTTTGAGGTTGCAGTGAGCTCCCAAAGTGCTGGGATTACAGGTGTGAGACACTATACCAGCCTGATTTTTAAATACTGACCAAGCCTTGTGTTACTGGGATAGGCATCACTTGGCCACAATTTACTACTCTCTTTCTTTTTTTTTTTTTTTTTTTGAGACAGAATCTCACTCTGTCACCCAGGCTGGAGTGCATTGGTGCAATCTCAGCTCTCTGCAACCTCTGCCTCCTGGGTTCAAGCAATTCTCCTGCCTCAGCTTCCTGAGTAGCTGGGATTAGAGGTGTGCACCACCACACCTGGCTAATTTTGTTTGTTTGTTGTTTGTTTTTAGTAGAGATGGGGTTTCACCATGTTGGCCAGCCTGGTCTCCAACTCCTGACCTCAAGTGATCCACCCTCCTTGGCATCCCAATATTCCTATGATTACAGGCGTGAGCCACTGCGCCCGGCCCTATTCTGTTTCTATATTGCTAAATTTGACTTGCTAACACGTTTTTGAGGATTTTTCTGTTGATGCTCATCAGGGATGTTGGTTTGCAGTTTTCTTTCTTTGTATTACACTATCTCGTCTGGCTTTCTGTCAGGGGAAAGCTGACCTTATACAAAGTATTGGCATGTGTTCCCTCCTTTTCCATTTTCTCTAAGGGATTGTGTAGAATTAGTGTTATTTCTTCTTTAAATGTTTTTGAATCCATCTGAACCTGGAGATTTCTTTCTAAAAGATTTTACGCCGGGCGCGGTGGCTCGTGCCTATAATCCCAGCATGTTGGGAGGCCGAGGCAGGTGGATCACCTGAGGTCAGGAGTTTGAGACCAGCCTGGCTAACATGGTGAAACCCCGTTTCTACTAAAAATACAAAAAATTAGTCAAGCTTGGTGGCGTGCGCCTGTAATCCCAGCTACTCAGGAGGCTAAGGCAGGAGAATCACTTGAACCTGGGAGGCAGAGATTGCAGAGAGCTGAGATTGCACCAATGCACTCCAGCCTGGGTGACAGAGTGAGACTCCGGCTCAAAAAAAAAAAAAAAAATTTTTACAAATTCAATTTATTTAACAGATACAGAACTATTCAGGTAACCTGTTTGTTTCTAGGAGGATTTTCCTGGTTTGTGGCACTCGGACATTGCTTTATTTCATCTAAGTTGTCTGATTTTTAAGTGTCAAGTTTTCCTTAGTGTTCTCTTGCTAACCGTCTGAAGTCTGTGGGGCCTGCAGTGATGTCCCTTCATTCATTCCTGATACTGATAATTTGTATCTTTTCTGTTTTTTTGTCAGTTTTCCTAGAGTTTTTCAATTTTGTTGATCTTTTCAAAGAATGATCTTTAAGTTTCATTAATTTTTCCCTTCTTTTTTTGCTTTCAATCTCATTAGTTTCTGCTTTTATCTTGGCATTTGTTCCTTTGGCTTGTTTTGCGTTCACTTTGCTCTTTTTCTGGTTTCTTAAGGTGGAAACTTAGATTGCTGATTTAGACCTATCTTTTTTGTAATATATAATGATTTGATGCTATAAATTTTCCTCTAAGCAGTGCTTTAATTAAACCCACAAATTTTGGTGCATTTTCATTTATGTTCAAAATATTTTCTCATTTCTTTGGAGAATTGTTCTTTGACCCATGGATGATGATGATGATGATGATTATTATTATTATTATTATTTTTCTTCAATACGGAGTTTCACTGTTGTTGCCCAGGCTGGAGTGCAATGACATGATCTCGGCTCACTGCAACCTCTGTCTCCTGGGTTCAAGCGATTCTCCTGCCTCAGCCTCCTGATTAGCTGGGACTACGGGCACCCGCCACCATGCCCGGCTAATTGTTTTGTATTTTCAGTAGAGATGGGGTTTCTCCATGTTGGCCAGGCTGATCTTCAACTCCTGGCCTCAGGTGATCCCCCCAACTTGGCCTCCCACAGTGTTGGGATTACACGCGTGAGCCAGTGCGCCCGGCCTGACCCATGGATTATTAAGTATGTGGTTTTATTTTGAAGTGTTTGCAGATTGTTTTGTTAATGATTTCTAGTTTAATACCATTGTGATTGGAGAACAAACTGCATATGATTTCATTTCTTTTAAATTTGTTAAGATTTATGTGTCAGGTTATGTTCTCAGTGAACATTCTGTATGTGCTTAAAAAGTATATGTATGGTCTGTATATGTATGGTCTGTATATACATATATGTATACATATATGTGTAAAAAGTATATGTATGGTCTGTATGTGCTTAAAAAGTATATGTATGGTCCAGCACTTTGGGAGGCCGAGGCAGGCAGATCACAAGGTCAGGAGATCGAGACCATCCTGGCTAACAGGGTGAAACTCCGTCTCTACTAAAAATACAAAAAAAATTACCCGGGCATGATGGCGGGCGCCTGTAGTCCCAGCTACTTGGGAGGCTGAGGCAGGAGACTGGCTTGAGCCTGGGAAGCAGAGCTTGCAGTGAACTGAGATCATGCGACTGCACTCCAGCCTGGGCGACAGAGCTAGACTCCATCTCAAAAAAATAAAATTTAAAAAAAGTATATGTAAAGTATATGTATGGCCGGGCACGGTGGCTCACGCCTGTAATCCCAGCACTTTGGGAGGCCAAGGCAGGTGGATCACGAGGTCAGGAGATCAAGACCATCCTGGCTGACATGGTGAAACCCCATCTCTACTAAAAATAAAAATTAAAAAAATAATAATAATTAGCCAGGCGTGGTGGTGAGCACCTGTAGTCCCAGCTACTCAGGAGGCTGAGGTAGGAGAATGGCGTGAACCCAGGAGGCAGAGCTTGCAGTGGGCTGAGATCGTGCCACTGCACTCTAGCCTGGGCGACAGAGCGAGACTCTGTCTCAAAAAAAAAAAAGTATATGTATTTTGCTGTTGTTGGGTGAAGTGTTCCATAAATTAGATCCAGTTTATTGAAGGTGTTCTACAGTTCTCCTAGATTTTTGCCGATTACTTGTTCTCTCACTATGAAAGATATTGTGTGTGTTATATGTGTCTAACAATTCATTGTCTAGTTAGAGTTGCTATTATACCACTTCAAGTGGATGGAGAGCCTCCCTGCCATCCATTAATGTGCATTAATCATTTTGAGAGTGAAAAGATTTTTTAAAATGTTTTTACTCTTTTAGGTATGGCCAAGTGAGATGGGGCTAGTGAAATGGGTGGGAGAATTGGAAGCTGATAGTGTGTGAGCTAGACACCCATGAATGCTTTTCCACTGGGCAGTTAGAGGGATGATAGGTAATAATATAAGGCAGCTCCATCACACAAGCTGGTGACTCCTGTGCGACAGACCAAGAGCTGCATTTGGAGATTCATTTCCGATTGTTGCGTTTCCTCTTAGAGCATTGCTTGGTCATCGTGTTCTGAGTGGTCCATTGGCCTCCATGTCCCTTTTGGGGTGGATATTTGCTCAGTGACTTTTGAGCAGCTGGATCTCCTGCTTCGGCAGGTGAGTGAGGGGATGGATGGCTCCGCGGACTGGCCCCCGCCCCAGGAGAAAGAGTGCGTGGCCGTGGCAACGCTGAATCTTCCCCGACTTCAGGTATTCGTGATTTCCCTTCCTCTTGCTCCTTTTATAAGTGTCTTAGCGATTTGTAAGAAGGTTTATGTATTTTGAAGGACATAGGTTTTAGCCTGTTGGGGGAAGTATTTTAAAGTAAGATTGTAATGCACTAATAATGGACGCAAGGCTTAAAAAACTTGATCTGTTTATTTTATGTTTGTCCTGGAAGTCAGCCTCGGCATGCAGGAAGAGTGTATATGGATTGTGTTATTTTTGCTATAATCATTAGTTTGTTGGTATTCTTACTGTTTTACTGTTGTTGCGTGTGGAGAAATGACTGGGTGAGATCACAGGTGATGGAGAGAGACAGCGCTCAGCTGAGAGACCAGTGCTGGCCTGTCTCTCCTCTGTCCTGTGAAAACCCTGCTCCAGGAGGGTCCAGTCTTTTGGTTTCCCTGGGCCACACTGGAAGAAGAATTGTCTTGGGCTACACATAAAATACACTTATGATAGCTGATGAGCTTAAAAAAAGAATCCCAAAAATATCTCATGATGTTTTAAGAAATTTTACTTTGGGCCACATTCAAAGCTGCCCTGGGCCACATGCTGCCCTCGGGCCGTGGGTTGAACAAGCTTGATCTACTCAGTAAGCTCGGCTCCCAAAGCAATACCTTCCTTTCCTCACCATGAAGGCTGTGGTTAGGGTCAAAATAAAAGCTACAAAAGCCTTCCTCCCTAGCAAAACTAAAGCTGAAGTGTTTGATCATCATCTTTTGTCTTTGTAATAAAACCCTCTAA
Organism: Homo sapiens; assembly: GCF_000001405.40. Classification (NCBI taxonomy): domain Eukaryota; kingdom Metazoa; phylum Chordata; class Mammalia; order Primates; family Hominidae; genus Homo; species Homo sapiens. Next base: position 23,292,707 of record NC_000015.10, on the reverse strand, counting down.
CTTAATGACAAGAACCACGGTTTTCTCGACATAGTAATTTTTCCCTTTTATTACAGTGGTTTCTTGTAACAACCCGTCATGTCCCTCTTCCAGCCCCTCCCCTTTTTGCCCTGCTTCTAGAATGTACAGAACTGAGTGTAGTGTTTAGTTGCAGTAATGAACTGAGCAGAGGTCTGGAGCATGCTTCTCCTCTAGTCCTCTGTAGCACTCATTTATCACCATATCTGTGGCATCCTGGCGTTTGCGTGGTTGCGCCCCAGGTGTTTGCTGCCCCTCCTGGTTTGCGGTGATGTGTCTGTTCTGGTCAGTGCTGTGGGGCGTGGCCTTGCGTATGTCTTAGGCTGTCGAGGTGTCCCAGCGTATGGTTTTGCATTTGCCTCTCCGGGGTCCTGAAGGTTCTGTAGGTTTCACAGACTCCAGGTGAGTTTCGGTGGTCATTTCCTGACCTGTGATATCTATACCTAGATGAGTGGTGTGCTTTTGATTTCACTTCTACTCACAGGGCAAGGCCGGGTCTCTGATTTCTCATGGGGCCTCTTGCTACCCAGAGCCTGGGACGGGCAGTGTGTTGCCCCCTGGCTGCGGTTGGCTGGCAGGCAGGTGATCCTGAGTGGCTCCCAGCCTTCTGCAGGAAGCTCGGGTTCAGTGGGTCCTTGTGTGCATTCCCGTGTGGGAGGTTGTGCTGAAGCCTGGCGGCTTGGCTCTGCTTTCAGAGCCCGGAACCTCTTGACTCCTGCTGTGTGTGCCCACGTGAATTTTGGTTTTGCACTTGAGGAGTTTCCCTGTGTACTCTCAGCTCCGCAGTCTAATTTTTAGCAGCTCTTTTTTTTTTTTTAGACAGGGTGTCACTTTGTCACCCAGGCTGGAATGCAGTGGTACAGTCTTGGCCTGCCAGGTTCAAGTGATTCTCCTGCCTCAGCCTCCCAAGTAGCTGGGACTACAGGTGTGTACCATCACACCCGGCTGATTTTTTTATAGAGATGGGGTTTCATCATGTTGGCCAGGCTGATCTTGAACTCCTGATCTCAAGTGAGCTTTCCCGTCGGCCTCCCAAAGTGCTGGGATGACAGGCATGAGCCACCGCCTGTGGCAGCTTTTGTGGTTACATTGTAGCCATTATTTCTGTGTTTGGTGCAGATTGTTGGGGCGGGGTGGAGGTTGCTGTTGCTAGTTGTTTAGCTCTTCTGCTCATCTTGAGCTTTTCCATATATGTGTTCATAGTGGGGTTAAAAAAAATTCCTCTAGAAAATACTTCAACTATTGTGGGTAAGAGTTTTTTTAGTCCAGTTTTTAAAAATACGTAAACTGAGAAGTTATTTTGTCTATTTAGATAATACTTCAAATTGACTTTTATTCAGTGTTTAATAAGACTTTGAAATTCACTCATTTTTAGGGGTTCTAAGTGAAAATTGTTTTTCTCCTTTCAGTTGCATGCTGCCATTAGTCACCAGGTTGACCTGGAATTCCTTGGTTTAGGTCTGGGCAGCGTCTTCCTGAACAGCCTGAAGCAGAAGGTGGTGACCCTGGCAAGCAGCGCAGACGTGCTGAGCACCGTGCAGTCGGCCTCCCAGGCCATGCTGCAGAGCGGCTGGTCCATGCTGTTGCCCACCGCTGAGAAGCAGGCCCGGGCACTCTGCTCTCCTGTCCTGCGGAGGTGGGCTCGGGGAAGGAACAGGAGAGGGCATGGGTCAGGGTGCTGGGAGGGGATGGCGTTTCACTCAAATTGGCACACACTTTCTATTTCAGTTTCAGGCAATGAAGTGAGCATAAGTCCAGGTCATCGATTGGTGATTGATCTTCTGGTGGGCAGCTTGATGGCTGATGGAGGGTTGGAGTCAGCCTTACACGCAGCCATTACTGCAGAGATCCAGGTATGGCCTTGGAGGCACACGTGACCTGGTGGTGGGCTGAGATCGGAAATACCACACTCACACATGTGAAGAATAACTGAAAACAGTAAAACACTAAACTTATATCCAAGTATTTTTTTAAATTAAAATTCTTTTATGTGCTAATTTTAAAAATTATTGAGATGATTTGTGATAAAATACTGCATGTTGTCTGTTTCAGTGAAGTTAACAGGTAACCTGTTCCTCATGTAGACCATTCCCGTCACCCGGAAAGATCGCTGTGCTCCTTGGCACTTGCAGCCAGGATACTCCCCTGCCCTGAGATTAGATTCATTTTTCCTGCTCTGAGTGTCGCAGCAATATAACTGTATAGTATGCACTCTTTCCTGCTTTGCCTTGGAGAATGATTTTCAGATTCGCTCACTGTTGTGTGTATTGCGACTTCGTTTTTATTATTGGGAAGTTTTCCATTTTATAGGTGTAGTACTGTTTGTTAGTTCATTCTCCTATTGAAGGACATGTAATTGTTTTTGGTTTTTGTTTTCTTTTTTTTTTTTTTTTTGAGACAGGGTCTTGCTCTGTCACCCAGGCTGTATACAGTGACCTGATGTTGGCTCACTGCAGCCTTGTACTCCTAGGCTCAAATGATCCTCCCACCTCAGCCTCCTGTGTTGCAGGGACCACATACATGTCACCATGCCCGGCTAGTTTTTTGATTTTTTTGTAGAGACAAGGTTTCACTGTGTTGCAAGGCTGGTCTTCAACTCCTGGGCTCCAGTGATCCCCCCACCTTGGCCTCCCAAAGTGTTGGGATTACAAGCGTGAGCCACCGCGCCCAGGCTTTCTGGTTTTTGGCCGTGTAGAGCTGCCACAATTGTGCTGTGAACAAGTACTTTAGTGAACATATGTTCTCCCTTTGGATAAACACTTGGAGTGGAATTTGTTAGGTCCTGGGGTTAGTGTGTGTTCATAGTTTCCCAAAGTGGCTTTGCCATTTGCATTTGAACCAGGACTTGTGTGTGAGAATTCTAGCTCCTTCTTGTCCTTACAGAGCAGCTGGATGCTGCGTGTGTGGAGCCGATCACATTGGGTTTTGTGTGAGCCATTAGCAGGGTTAAGGATTTTAGGGACTTCACAGAAGGAGGCTGGAGAGCATCAGCAGAGGCAGCCTAGACCTTGGATCTGTAAAAAGAAGACACTGTTTGAAACTGCACAAATGAGTTGGGGTTTCCAACAGGGCAGGTGGGGGCCTGTGGGTGGATGGGTGTGGCAGCCACAGAGGCTGGGATAGCTTGGCACTGGGGTCAGGGCTCAGCCAGCCTGTGTGCCTTCACACCTGGTAATGAGATCACTTGTAAACAATTTCTGTTTATCAATTACAGGATACAAAAAAAGAAGCACGGAAGGAAAAAGAAATTTATGAACAGGAAGCAAATGCCTCAACATTTCATAGAAGGAGGACTCCATTGGATAAAGGCCTTATTAATACGGGGATCTGTGAGTCTTCTGGCAAACAGTGTTTGCCTCTGGTTCAGCTCATACAACAGCTTCTTAGGTAAATCATATTAGCTGTATTGTATTGTGTTTTATTTATTTACTTTTTTGTTTTTTGAGACAGAGTTTCGCTCTTGTTGCCCAGGCCGGAGTGCAGTGGTGCGATCTTGACTCACTGCAACCTCCGCCTCCCAGGTTCAAGTAATTCCTCTGCCTCAGCCTCTCGAGCAGCTGGGATTACAGGCATGCGCCACCATGCCCCACTAATTTTGTAGTTTTGTTAGAGACAGGGTTTCTTCATGTTGGTCAGGCCGGTCTTGAACTCCCGACCTCAGGTGGTCCATCCACTTTGGCCTCCCAAAATGTTGGGATTACAGGCATTAGCCACCACGCCTGGCCTATTTATTTACTTATTAATGGTGTTTTTTTTTTGTTTTTTTTTTTTTTGAGATGGAGTCTTGCTCTATCGTCCAGGCTGGAGTGCAGTGTCACGATCTTGGCTCACTGCAACCCCCGCCTCCTGGGTTCAAGCTATTCTCCTGCCTCAGCCTCCCGAGTAGCTGGGACTACAGGCGTCTGCAACCACACCTGGCTGATTTTTGTATTTTTAGTAGAGATGGGGTTTTACCATATTGGTCAGGCTGGTCTCAAATTCCTGACGTCAGGTGACCCACCTGCCTTGGCCTCTCAAAATGTTGGGATTACAGGTGTTAGCCACTGTGCCTGGCCTGTATTGTATTTTAATAGGTGATTATTGGTTTTCATATTAAGATAGTGAAATCTAGCGCAAGGATCTCAAAAATTTGTTTGATGATTGAAGGAATATTCTGAAAATTACCTAGTATAGATGTTAGGATAAAGAGCAGACCCTTTTCAATATAGGTGAGAGGAGAAGTTGGAGGGTGTGATGATACTCAAAAGTTTTTCACTGAAGAGAAATTGGGGCGTGCAGTAAACATGTAAAAAGATTCTTACTAATAAGCAGGTGGATGCAAATGAAAATCATCATGGAAGGTTATTTTTAAAACTGGTTCTATCATTGCCTCACTTTATATATTACAGAGTTATACATACTACTTTGTAAGATAACTTTTCTTTTCAAAACTGAAGTCAATGTGATAGAATGGTGAGCATTATTTTGGAAGGCCAGACTAGGAGGAGGTGGGAGGAAGAAGTCAGACTCAGCCTGTGAACAGACGCTAACCTTGGCAGAAGCCAAAACAGTCAGACAGTGTTGTCTAAAAATGATCATTCAAGAAGAGCGAAACAGCAAGGTGATTTGTGAAAGAGATTTATTAGAAAATGAAACACATTTATACCTCTGTTCAATAAAAATCTGCTTTTCGTCAACTGATGCTCCTGGTTTTTGTTTCTACACATAGAGAAAGCAGAGCCCTGGCAGCTTGGGTCAGGCAGCCGAGTACAGACCAGGGAGCCCTGGGCAGTGGCTGCAGCTCTCAGCTGGCCTGTTCATGGGGCCATGGTGGGTCTGTGGCGTGGGGTGGGCCTGTGGCGTGGGGTGGGCCCGCGGCGTGGGGTGGGCCTGCGGCATGGGGTGGGCCCGCGGCATGGGGTGGGCCTGCTGTCCACAGCCAGAAAAACTAACTTAGTGCACACACAGTGAAATTTTGAAACAGGAAGTTTTAGAGCTAGTTTCTGTCATAGATTTTAGTAAATGCTATTTTGCAAAACCTTTTTCTGATGTTTGTTTTGTTTTTCTAATCTGATAATGCATATTTCACACATTCTGGTCTTTAACAAATGGAAATAAAGAGAACTAAACAATATAGTTTGTGTCGATGGAAAGAGCTTGGGATTTGTTCTCAGAAAATTTCAGTTACAACAGTTTGTTCATATAGGTGGACTTCCAACACAGTAACTATGGGAGTAAGAATAAAAGCTGTGTTTACTTTCACAGAGTTAATTAAGAATACATGAGAAAATGGATGTTAAAAACCTTGTAATTAAAATGTACAGTTACATGCAAAGTTTTAAAGTGAGCATTTTCCAGAGGTGCTTTTCTAAGTTCTTGAATGCCTCTCCCTTTTCTGAAGTGGCTGCTTCGTGGGGCTGTTGGTCTTTGGCAGGGGGTGAGTGCAGGGTTCCTGTTGTGGGTCCTTTGTTCTCACGAGGGCAGTGCCCGTTTTCCCCGTCTCCTGCTTGCCCAGACTGTTCCCGTGCGCAGAGAGACTGGCCTGTTTGACCTGCAGCTGTGCTGTTTGAGCTGCAGCTGTGTAGCCTGCGCTGGCCCATCTGGCTACACTCAACACCGTTTGCTGATCAGCACTTGAAGTCTGTCCGTCATAGCTGAGACACTGAATATTTTATCTGTTTAATTTTTATTCATTAAAATGCAGGTTTGAAAATTTGATTCTGTTATTAGAAAGCACTTAAGTATGTTTAGAATCACTTGGCCTTGGGAGTCTACTTTGTCAACTGTGTATTTTATGAGTCTAAATGGAGATCAGATGTTTTCAATGCAAATTTCACGGTCCAAATTGAAATGTGTTACATATGTAAGCTACTCAGATGGTTTTTGAGGACTTAATATGAAATAACCTATGTAAAATATCTCAATAATTTTTCTTAGATTGATTTCATGTTGAAATGGTCATATTTTTGATCTGTTGGAATAACTATGATACATTATTAAAATTATTTTTATTTTTTAAGATGGAATCTTACTCTGTTGACCAGACTGGAGTGCAGTGGTGCAATCTTGGCTCACTGCAACCTCCGCCTCTTGTGTTCAAGTGATTCTCCTGCCTCAGCCTCCTGAGCAGCTGGGACTACAGGACTACAGACTCCCGAGCAGCTGGCACTACCACCACGCCTGGCTGATTTTTGTATTTTTGTAGAGACAGAGTTTCACCATGTTGGCCAGGCTGGTCTCGGACTCCTGACCTCAAGTAATCTGCCCGCTTTGGCTTCCCAGAGTGCTGGGATTACAGGCATGAGCCACTGCAACCAGCCATTATTACAATTAATTTTATGTGTTGTTGTTTTTCTTCTTGGTGTTTTTTTTTTTTTTTTTTTTTACTTTTGTTAATGTGACTAAGAACAATTTTTTTTCCCCACCCGGAGATGGATCCTCACTCTGTTGCCTGGACTGGAGTGCAGTAGCACGATCTCAGCTCACTGCAGCCTCTGCCTCCTGGGTTCAAATGATTCTCCTGCCTCAACCTCCTGAGTGGCTGGGACTAACAGAAGCATGCCACCATACCTGGCTGATTTTTGTATTTTTAGTAGAGATGGGGTTTCACCATGTTGGCCAGGATGGTCTTGAACTCCCAACCTCAGGTAATCTGCCCACCTCAGCCTCCCAAAGTGTTGGGATTACAGGCGTGAGCCACCGCACCTGGCCATGTTTATTAATACGACTAAGAACATTTTGAATTGCACCTGTGGCTCCATTGGTGTCCTGGGCAGGTGGCTCTGTGCTGTCCACACAGGTTGTCTCCTGTGTCTTCGTCTTCGCTGCGTGTGACTTTTTGGTTCCTGTGGCACGTGGGGTCCTGTATGGGACATTGGTTCTACAGCAGATTTATAGTAAGGATGTACCTACTAAAAAATACAAAATAAAAAGAATAGACACAAACATAGAAATAAGTATCACCTCACAAAACTTTTGGAAAGTAGAAAAAGAAAAATGCATTCGCAGCTTTCCAGTAGCCGATATCCAGGCTGTCTTCATCAGCATGGATCATGTGTCCCTCTCCTGCATGGGTAGACACTGTTTTCTCACCTTAAGTGTTTGTGAGTGAAGGATTCTTGATGTGTTGACTTGGCAGATGCAGTTGTTGAACAGTAGTTTATCTAAAGATCGTAAGAGACTTTTGGAGACATTTCATGTCCTTTTTTCCCTTGGAAAACGTGGGTTGGAGAAATCGCTGCTTGCCAAAAATAAGCCGTGAAATGTATTTCAGAGTAGATCGTTATTTACATGCTGGCGAGGAGCCACAGAATACCATTTACATTTGAAAATAGAGCGCTGCGAAGTTTTTATAAGTAGTGAATCCCATCAGAATTACACATTTTGATTATGGCTCTAAATTTTATATTAAATAAACTAAAAATTTCATTGTATTGTATTACCGTCTCTTGCTCCTTCAGGTGTAGCATACATGCTAGATTCTAGACCTGTTTCTTGTGTTACAGTGGTGTTATCCAGGCAGGGTATCATGTAGTGAAGGTGATGTCGAGTGGTGGTGGTGAGCCCAGTGAAGGCGCATCCTTGCCGTGTGTGATGAGGGCCTGTGGGTTGCTATGGGATTCCCCAACCCTGGCTCCTCTGTCTCCTGCTTCTGTCCTTACTCACACTGCTGGTAGTTTTCTGGTGTGAGACACGGGGGCAAGTGGGATTGACAAGCCTGCTGTCACATTAGGAACCTGAGTTAAAGTGGAGCTGAAAGCATGTCCTCGCTCTTGATGTTGTGCAGAGAGCCACCTGTGCTCCTGGCTCAACGGGGCGGGTGTGGTGGGTCTGGAACCAGGCCCTGGTTTGGCTCTCCTCCCCTCCATGTTCCCCTGTCCTGTCTGATTTGCTTCACACTGACATAAGAGTTACTTTCCCTCGGCCTCCCAAAGTGCTGGTATTACAGGCATTAGCCACCGCGCCCAGCTAGCATCCTTTCAAGTACTGGGGTACACCCAAGCTCCCAGCTTCTAGCTAGGAGTCATTTTGTCCCTCTTTATCCCAAAGGACTTGCCACCATCTTTGGTTCCCAAAGCCCAGGAGGGTCCAGGCTCTTCAGCCTCCAACCACTTTGCATTTCTTGTCTGCTTTTCGTTCATGGAGATAATTAACTTATTTTTCAGCCTGGGCATGTCTTTTTTATTTACTTTATTTTTTATTTTTATTTTTTGAGATGGAGTCTCACTCTGTCGCCCAGGCTGGAATGCAGTGGCGGGATCTCATTTCACTGCAGCCTCTGCCTCCCGGGTTCAAGTGATTCTCCTGCCTCAGCCTCCTGAGTAGCTGGGACTACAGGTGTGCACCACTATGCCCAGCTAATTTTTACATTTTTAGTAGAGACAGGGTGTCGCCATATTGGCCAGGCTGGTCTCGAACTCCTGGCTTCAAGTGATCCTCCTGCCTCAGCCTCCCAGAGTGCTGGGATTACAGGCACGACCACCGCACCCAGCCTTTATTTACTTTGTATATCTCATCTATTACTGCTGCAGTTTGCAGAAGAGAGGATGCCCTCAAACCTAACTTCTCCAAACCATCCCAAATGGGAAGTCTGCTCCACGTCAACAGCATTGTTGCTTTTAAAGACTATACGTCAACATGCCAGATTATAGCAAAAGGATGTCGAGGGAGCAATAGGAAAGCAAGCCTGAGAGTCCTGGAGAGAAGGTGGCAGAGCTGCCTTTTGAAGGTGGTTCCTTCCTCAGACCCTGCCCTTCCTGCCTTGTTCCTCCAGTTGCCAGATTTGCTGTTGGAGCTCCTCCACGGGCGAAGAGGTGAGGCTGGACTGAGAGGGAGATGGAGAAGCTGCCAGAGATTCTTTTGGATCTAGAATTGAGACAGCAGTTCCAGCCAGGTCCAGAGGTGGGGGCTGTCACCCAGCCCCCAGGGGAATGGTACTGATTGCAGAATGTGGCGAGAACTCCCTGGCTGGGAGAGGGAGGTGCTTGCTCCCTTGAATCACCTGAGCCCAGGCTGGAAGGCCCAAGGGGGAGGACGAGGCCAGCTCACTCCAGCTCCATCCCCTCCCTTTAACCCTAAGCTAGTTAACCCTCCCAGACTCCAGTCCTTTTTCCTAAGTGCCCTCCCTGCAAAGTCTGCACCGAGCAGCGCTCCCTCGCACCAGCTCACCCTGCACTGTCTTGTCTTTCAGCAACCCCATGGGTTTGAACTTGAGACGATTCATGTTCCTAAAAGCCTCTTTGGGCTGAGGGAAGGCATGGGTGGCTCTGCCAGTTTTGGAGTGGGGGCCGACTCTTCTCAGAGCCGCTGCAAGGGCCAGGGCCACCCTCCCAGGCGGGTGTCTCTGGGCTGGGCAGCAGCTTTGTAGGCAGCCTGGGTCATCCCCACTGGCCTGGGAAGCTGGGGGTGCACCGGCTCCTGCTCCTGATAGGGCCAAGGCACCTTCCTTACCTAAGAGCTGACTTTCTTGAAGAGTGGGCACAGAGGAGCCGGCAACCTGGGCTGTGTAGGCACCCAGGAGAAAATCTGCAGCTCAGTATCAGAAGTCTCCACCAGCACGGCTGTTGCAGAGATGGGGAAACTGGGCTGAGAGGGAAGGGGGCTTGCCCAAATCACCAGCCCTGGAATGTTTTGAGCTTTGGGGGTGGATCTCCCAGGAAACGTGTTTTTATGGCACCACCGCCTCTGGTCACCCACCCCGAGGTGTGGCGGGCCTGGACAGCCAGCTTGACTGAGGGCCAGGCTGGTGAAGTCAAAACTACCACTCAGGAAGAAGACCTAGCCCTTCTCCAGACAGAGTTCAAATGTGAGGACTGCCTTCTTTGGGCCTCAAATTCCCCACGTGAATTCCAAGGACCCCTCTAGCTCCTACACTCTGGGCCAAGGTTTCCTCTGAGCCGCAGTCAGCCTAGAGGACCTAGGATACATCTTCCTTGGACAGAGACCCACCATAGGGGCAGCAGGAGGTAGGGGTGGGGGTAGGCAAGATTCCTGTGGGGAGGTGGAGCTGTCATCAGAGATGGTGTCTGCAGGCAGTGGGTGTATCGTGGCTCTGCTACTACTTGCTGGGTGGCCCCATGACGTTTCTTTCCCCACTCTGACCTCAGTTTCCCTATCTGTTCCGTGGAGATAAGATGCCTGCCTACATATTTGTGGACTGGGATGTGTGTGGGCCAGTTGCAGTGTTTCTTGGTGTGGTCCTGGGGCAGGCTGCACCACCCCATAGAGATTTCTGGGCCCCACCCTAGGCTCACAGGACCAGAATCTCTGGGAATGAAGCCTGGGAATTTGCATTTCCACAGGCATCTGGCTGATTCTGACATGACTGAAAAGCACTAATAGTATATAGCAAGCTCTTTATAAAAGGTAAATTCATAGCTGCCTTTTACTAAACATAAATCTCACCTTCCCTTCCTCAGTTAAGGACACACACCGCAGTTGAAAATCACTGTGCCTTTCCAGATGCAGAATCTGACCTTTCCGATAAGATTCTGTTAACTGCTGCTTTCTGCAGTTTGTATTCCAAAACAAGGGGAATATGTTTCCATTTTTTCAATACAAATGTTTAAGTCGGATATGCTTTCTCAAACTGGACACGCACTCACACAGCTTAGGGTTTCAGCTATGGCTTCCTCTCAAATTATTAGCCTCTTTCTGCCAGGGAGCAGTTTTTCCCAGACAAGACCCTGGACAGAGGTTGGTGGGGCCCTCCTCATCAGAATCACTAGATTATGACTGACCCCTAGAGGTGGCTTTTCTGCTTAAGTGTCAGCCCATGGGCTGGGTTGTGACCCCCAAAGCTGCGGCAGAAGCTTCCACCCATCCTGGGCCCCCCCTGCCATCTATGGGGAAAGGCCTGTCCCTTGTCTTCTGGGCCCAGCCGGCCTCACAGGCATTCAGCAGATTGGAAAGTCGAAGCATGTGCTGTGCTTGGCTGGGCTCTCCTGCGCCCCTTTTTGGGGTGAGGTGGAGTGCATCCAGCCCCCAGCATCCCTGCCGTTTATTCCCACCCCTCATCCCCACCCCCATACACACTCACAAGTACAAACACAAGCACAGTCACTGGCACACACCACTCTGGACAGCACCATTTCCAGCCTCAGCGGGGCAGTTTCCTTACAGGGAAGTTAATGAGGCACTAACGAAGGCTCAGGGGACAGGGGGAACCTCTATCGAGAAGAGGCTCCTAGACCTGGTTCTGCCTCTGAATTGCTGGGGGTCCTTGAGAAAGTTGCTATCCCTCTCTGGTCTCAGTTTCCTCAGGTGAGAAATGGGGGGCCGGCCAAATGGTCTAAGGTTCTGGGAACCTCTAAATCAGAGCCCGTAGCTGGTGGTCAAGATGAGGGAGAGGCCCTCAGGGTCAGCCGAATGCCTGAGAGGCCGGACAGGCCCAAAGGTGAGCAACGTGAGCACATCAGGTGGGCTCAGAGCTGGCGCATGAGCCCCACAGCCTGCAGAGCAGCCCTGTACTCGGGAGCCCGCTCGCACCAACCCAGTGGGACTTCAGAGATGTGGGGTCCAGCCTTTCCTACTATTGCTGGGCTGAGGGCTGGGAGCTGCAGATTCTGACCCCACAGCTGCCTTAGACATGCCAGATGGTCTGGGGCAAGACACACCCCTCTCTATGAAATGAGCAGCCAGTCCAAATAGGTACATTAGAGAAGGGCTGTGGGATGGACCCAGCTGTAGCCTGGGGCTACAGACTGGCTTCCGGGGTACTCAAGCAGCTGGCCTCTGGGGTAGCAGCCCCAGGTATGAGAGGCAGGACTCAGAATCTAGGCCAAGCCTCCATAGGAATCCCCTCTGGAGAGCCCGGGCACTCTGCAGGAGGGGCAGCAGGCAGCAGGTGCACCAGGAGCATGTTTCACAAGGTGCCCAATATCGCATCTGCTCAGATAGGCAGCGAGTTGGAAAGTGGATGCAATAGGCAGGGTGGCGGCTGCTCCCCACAGCCAGGAGTCCGGCCCAGCACCCACCTGAGTCCGCCTCAGTCCTGCTCAATTGGGTTATCCGTGCTCTTGGCCCTCTGGTCCCACCCACAGAGGGAGGTCTTTGGGGCGACCAGGTGAGCTGGCCCTTGTGGGAGGATGTAACTGACTCCTGAGCCTGGCGAGCCAGGCAGCCCCTCGCCAACGTCCCCACCCCTACCTCTCCAGCCCCCCCGCATTCCCTGATCCTCCCATCCGCTCCCCTGACCCAGCAGTTGCCTCTGCTCACTCTCTTTTCCTGCTCCCAGGCTCGCCTGGTCATGTGTCCTTCACTCTCCTCTGAGTCTCCCTCTTTCCAAGCCGCCTCCACTCTACTTGACACAGTCTCCCTTAAGACACCAGAGTACACAAGCGCAAGTCCCTGCACCTCACCTTTACTCCCAGACATGGGAGGGAGATGACATGAAGACCCAAACGCCACTTAGCAGGAGATCTGGGGTATGCAGAGGGGCAGAACGGAGGCTGTGGAAGCTCCAGGGGCTCCCTTCAGGAGGCCACATGTAAGCTGGCTATTGAATGTGGCTCTGAGCTGAGACCTCTCCTTGAAGCTCCAGACCAGGAGCCAGCTGATAGCTGGACCCCTCCATTTGGTGCCTCAGAGAAACTTTGCACTCTCTAGGTCTAACTTTGAACCCAGAAAATTCCCCCATGTCGGCCCTGTCTCTTCACAGGGAAAGCACCACCTCAGACCCAGTTCTGCACCAAACCCACATTTGAGTCACGAGGCTCCTGCCCTGCACTGTGAGCACTCTGGATAAGCCAGTGCTGAGGGGGAAAGAGCTCTGAATGCCAAGCCAAAACATGAGCTTCAACTCCACCTCCAGCTCTGAGAGCTGTGGGTAGGGAAGGGCCCTAGTCCAGTTTGCTGTAGAAAGATCAGTCTGCCACTGTATGGCACATGGATGGCAGGGGCAGAGTGCAGGTGGAGAGAACAGAAGGTGGGCAGGGCGGGGGAGGCAGGGACATGGCTGTAGCCGTGGAGATGGGAGGACAGACAGGACTTGGTGGCCACTTGGGTGAACCAAGGGAGGAGTCAGGAAGAGACACCCAGTTTTGTATCAGATGTGTAGAGCGTGGGATGCTGTTCATTGACGGAGGGAGGAGGAGGAGGAAGAGGTATGGCATGGGGAGGAGGTAGCTGAGCTCTGTCGTGAATGTCATTTGAAGTCCCCAGGGAAAGCCAGGCCGGCCAGCACCTTCACTGCTTCAGCCAGCTCTCAGGGTGTCTGTGCTCCCTGGCCCTCTCAGCTCCTGCTTCATAGCTGTCAGCTGCAGTGGGAGACAGCTGCACAAGGGCCCAGCATGTCTGTGTGTTTACCCAGGGGACTGCCGCATGGCCCATGCCGAGCAGAAACTGATGGACGACCTTCTGAACAAAACCTGTTACAACAACCTGATCCGCCCAGCCACCAGCTCCTCACAGCTCATCTCCATCCAGACGGCGCTCTCCCTGGCCCAGTGCATCAGCGTGGTAGGTGCAGAGGGTACCTGTGGCTCAGGCTCAGGTGAAGAGGCAGCTCATGCCCAAGCCCTAAGCAGTCAATGTCCAGAGGAATGAAATGACTAGAGTTGACTTAGACTCACCGGTACACGGTGGGGAGGCTGGAGGAGGGTCCATGAGGTTTATAGGTGTCCAGTATTTAATGAGGTCATGGTTTTGTTAACAAAGAAGAAATGAGGGTGGGAGCGAGATCACCACTGGCTAGGCAGCCAATGGGCCTGCAGAGACTCTGCTCAGCTGAGTCTCCAGCACGACCATGAGCTTCTCATCCTGATCCTCCCATCCCCACCCTACTTTTCTCCCCCAGCTTGCTCAACAGGTGACCTTACAGGCTCCCTACTCTTTGCAGGGAATAAGAACCAGACTGGGGGAACTGACGGGTACAGAGGCCCAGGTGTAGGCGCAGGACCACAGGCAGTGAAGCGTCTACTGACCCAGGCGGGTGAGGGTCTGGAGAGTGGGCATGGCTGCTGCAGGCATGGAAAGCAGGCACAGATGGCGGCACTCCCAGGGCCCATTGTCAGGGTCTCCACATGTGGACGTGTGCAGAGGTGGGGGTGCTGAGGGAGGAGGGGCAGGGAATTTCTCATCTTCTCTCTACTGCCTCTGAGTTGGAGATGTCAGAGGGAGCCATGGCCCACTGTAAAGTAACACAATGTCCCCACCCACAGGATTAGAACCCCTCCCCTGGAAGCAGCTCTGAGGGGAACAGTCACATGTAGAGAGTGCAGGGCACTGTGTCCAGCCGGGGGAAGGAGGTCACCAAGGGGGTTGACCCCCCTCTGGCCAGGTGGCTGCCTTCTGACACACCAGCCTCTGTCTCTAGCACGGTGGCCCCCACACACCCAGCCTGTGAAACCTACAGCCCTCAAGAAGGCTTTGGCCAAATTAAGGAGCGGCTCCCTCTCCCAGGAGGAAGCACAGGTGAAGGATGTGGAGGGCAGTAGAGTTGTGTGTGCTCCGCCCCCTTTCTCCACAGTCGGATGGAAAGAAGGGGGCTTTCAGCCAGGCTCGCCCAGGCTGGGGTCTGAGTGTCACTGTCCAGCTATTGGCTTCTTGCTTAATGGGTGAGCCCAGCTGCTCCCGTGCAGCTGCCGCCCTAGTGAGGGTGAACCGGCAGGCGAGTTACATTTCTGAAAGCCTGGGAATACAGTAAATATTAGGCTGTGGGCTGCTGGGCCAGGAAGAGTTGTTTATTTTTCAGGGTTTGTTTATCTATTGACTTGATGAGGGAGGGTTATAGGTACAACCAGTTTAAAGATGGAAATTTTGAGAGAGCAGGCAGGGATTTAGTGCTGGGTAAGCCTGGTCAAAGCGGCTCTTTTGGGGCGGCCAGAATCCAGTACCAATGTCCTCAGCATGTTCATCAGCTGCTGGGGGAGTGCGGGACAGCATGAAAGCACAGGAGAACTTTCTGGATGATAGAAATACTCTGTATCTTCAAAGGAGGTGGGTTCCATAGTAATGTTAAATGAGTTAAAACTCATCAAAATGTAAACCAGACCTGTGCATTTCACTAATAGAAATTATACCTCCAATTAAAAACATGTTTTAAAAGACAGATGGGCCGGATGCAGTGGCTCATACTTGTAATCCCAGCACTTTGGGAGGCTGAGGCAGGTAGATCACCTGAGTCAGGAGCTCGAGACCAGCCTGGAAAACATGGTGACATCCTGCCTCTATTAAAGGTATAAAAAAAAATTAGCCAGGCATGGTGGCACACGCTACTCGGGAAGCTGAGGCAGGAGAATTGCTTGAACCCAGGAGGCAGAGGTTACAGTGAGCAGAGATCGTGCCATTGCACTAGAGCCTGGGCAACAGCGCAAGACTCCATCTCAACAACAACAAAAAAAGGACAGATGAAGGTTTTCAACTTTCAGTAAAGGCAGAGGAGCTTGTTACAGATTCGCCTCCCCACAAGAGCAGTTAGAAAAACTGGATAAAAATGTGCCCCGCCCCCAATCAAAAACAATTGTTGGAAGGTAATTGGAGACCTCAGTCAGGACTTGAGTGACCAGGCCTAGGAGGTGATCCTGACAGTCTGTAGTGCTTTCCCACATTTGGTGATTGGTCAACAGTAGAGGGCTAAGAGGCTAAGAAACTGAGTATGAAGTGGTAGTTAAGAGGCTGGAGAGCCTAGCTGAATGTTTGGCACTCTCACAGGGCTGAAATGACCTAATGAGAATTTGGGTCCCAGGAAGGAGATGGGACCTTGGTGGGGACCCTGGAAGGGCCACCCCTGGGAGTCCAAATGAATAAAACATAGACCAGCCATCAGAAAACCTAAAACCTGCTTTGAACCAGCTTAGTCCCAAAGTAGATGAAGGCGATCTGCCCTTACTCCAATT